>NC_000001.11:124459405-124785432 GCF_000001405.40 Homo sapiens | reverse complement strand
TCTGTCTAGCAGAATATGAAGAAATCCCGTTTCCAACGAAAGCCTCAAAGAGGTCTGAATATCCCCTTGCAGACTTTACAAACAGAGTGTTTCCTAACTGCTCCATGAAAAGAAAGGTTAAACTCTGTGAGTTGAACGCACACATCACAAAGGAGTATCTGAGAATCATTCTGCCTAGTTTTTCTACGAAGATATTTCCTTTTCTACTATTGACCTCAAAGCGGCTGAAATCTCCACTTGCAAATTCCACAAAAAGAGTGTTTCAGGTCTGCTCTGTGTAAAGGATCGTTCAACTCTGTGAGTTGAATACACACAACAGAAGGAAGTTACTGAGAATTCTTCTGTCTAGCAGAATATGAAGAAATCCCGTTTCCAACGAAGGCCACAAGATGTCAGAATATCCACTTACAGAATTTACAAACAGAGTGTTTCCTAACTGCTCTATGAAAAGAAAGGTTAAACTCTGTGAGATGAACGAACACATCACAACGCAGTTTGTGGGAATGATTCTGTCTAGTTTTGAAACGAAGATATTTCCTTTTCTGCCATTGACCTTAAAGCGCTTGATATCTCCACTTGCCAATTGCACAAAAAGAGTGTTTCAAATCTGCTCTGTCTAAGGGAACGTTCAACTCTGTGAGTTGAATGTACACAACACAAGGAAGTTACTGGGAATTCTTCTGTCTAGCCTTACAGGAAAAGAACCCGTTTCCAACGAAGGCCTCTAAGTGGTCAAAATATCCACGTGCAGACTTTACAAACAGAGTGTTTCCAAACTGCTGAATGAAAAGAAAAGTTAAACACTGAGAGTTGAACGCACACATCGCAGAGCAGTTTCTGAGAATGATTCTGTCTAGTTTTTATACGAAGATATTTCCTTTTCTGCCTTTGGCCTCAAAGCGCTTGAAATCTCCACTTGCAAATTCCACAAAAAGAGTGTTTCAAATCTGCTCTGTGTAAATGAAAGTTCAACTCTGTAAGTTGAACACACACAACACAAGGAAGTTACTGGGAATTCTTCTGTCTAGCATAATATGAAGAAATCCCGTTTCCAACCAAGGCCTCAAGGAGGTCTGAATATCCACTTGCAGACTTTACAAACAGAGTGTTTCCTAACTGCTCTATGAAAAGAAAGGTTAAACTCTGTGAGTTGAACGCACACATCACAAAGGAGTTTCTGAGAATCATTCTGTCTAGTTTTTCTACGAAGATATTTCCTTTTCTACTATTGACCTCAAAGCGGCTGAAATCTCCACTTGCAAATTCCACAAAAAGAGTGTTTCAAGTCTGCTCTGTGTAAAGGATCGTTCAACTCTGTGAGTTGAATACACACAACACAAGGAAGTTACTGAGAATTCTTCTGTCTAGCAGAATATGAAGAAATCCCGTTTCCAACGAAGGCCTCAAGGAGGTCTGTATATCCACTTGCATACTTTACAAACAGAGTGTTTCCTAACTGCTCTATGAACAGAAAGGTTAAACTCTGTGAGTTGAACGCACACATCACTAAGGAGTTTACTGAGAATCATTCTGTCTAGTTTTGAAACGAAGATATTTCCTTTTCTGCCATTGACCTTAAAGCGCTTGAAATCTACACTTGCAAATTGCACAAATAGAGTGTTTCAAATCTGCTCTGTCTAAGGGAACGTTCAACTCTGTGAGTTGAATGCACACAACACAAGGAAGTTACTGGGAATTCTTCTGTCTAGCCTCACATGAAAAAAACCCGTTTCCAACGAAGGCCTCTAAGTGGTCAAAATGTCCACGTGCAGACTTTACAAACAGAGTGTTTCCAAACCGCTGAATGAAAAGAAAAGTTAAACTCTGAGAGTTGAACGCACACATCACGCAGCAGTTTCTGAGAATGATTCTGTCTAGTTTTGAAACGAAGATATTTCCTTTTCTGCCTTTGGCCTCAAAGCGCTTGAAATCTCCACTTGCAAATTCCACAAAAAGAGTGTTTCAAATCTGCTCTGTGTAAATGAAAGTTCAACTCTGTGAGTTGAACACACACAACACAAGGAAGTTACTGGGAATTCTTCTGTCTAGCCTTATATGAAAAAAACCCGTTTCCAAAGAAGGCCTCAAAGAGGTCTGAATATCCACTTGCAGACTTTACAAACAGAGTGTTTCCTAACTGCTCTATGAAAAGAAAGGTTAAACTCTTTGAGTTGAACGCACACATCACAAAGGAGTTTCTGAGAATCATTCTGTCTAGTTTTGAAACGAAGATATTTCCTTTTTTACCATTGACTTCAAAGCGGCTGAAATCTCCACTTGCAAATTCCACAAAAAAAGAGTGTTACAAGTCTGCTCTGTGTAAAGGATCGGTCAACTCTGTGAGTTGAATACACACAACACAAGGAAGTTACTGAGAATTCTTCTGTCTAGCCTTACATGAAAAAACCCGTTTCCAACGAAGGCCTCTAAGTGGTCAAATTATCCACGTGCAGACTTTACAAACAGAGTGTTTCCAAACTGCTGAAGGAAAAGAAAAGTTAAACTCTGAGAGTTGAACACACACATCACAGAGCAGTTTCTTAGAATGATTCTGTCTAGTTTTTATAGGAAGATATTTCCTTTTCTACCTTTGACTTCAAAGCGGCTGAAATCTCCACTTGCAAATTCCACAAAAAGAGTGTTACAAGTCTGCTCTGTGTAAAGGATCGTTCAACTCTGTGAGTTGAATACACACAAGACAAGGAAGTTACTGAGAATTCTTCTGTCTAGCCTTACAGGAAAAAAACCCGTTTCCAACGAAGGCCTCTAAGTGGTCAAGTTATCCACGTGCAGACTTTACAAACAGAGTGTTTCCAAACTGCTGAATGAAAAGAAAAGTTAAACTCTGAGAGTTGAACGCACACATCGCAGAGCAGTTTCTGAGAATGATTCTGTCTAGTTTTTATACGAAGATATTTCCTTTTCTGCCTTTGGCCTCAAAGCGCTTGAAACCTCCATTTGTAAATTCCACAAAAAGAGTGTTTCAAATCTGCTCTGTGTAAATGAAAGTTCAACTCTGTGAGTTGAACACACACAACACAAGGAAGTTACTGGGAATTCTTCTGTCTAGCATAATATGAAGAAATCCCGTTTCCAACGAAGGCCTCAAAGGGGTCTGAATATCCACTTGCAGACTTTATAAACAGAGTGTTTACTAACTGCTCTATGAAAAGAAAGGTTAAACTCTGTGAGTTGAACACACACATCACAAAGGAGTTTCTGAGAATCATTCTGTCTAGTTTTTCTACGAAGATATTACCTTTTCTACTATTGACCTCAAAGCGGCTGAAATCTCCAATTGCAAATTCCACAAAAAGAGTGTTTCAAGTCTGCTCTGTGTAAAGGATCGTTCAACTCTGTGAGTTGAATACACACAACACAAGGAAGTTACTGAGAATTCTTCTGTCTAGCAGAATATGAAGAAATCCCGTTTCCAATGAAGGCCTCAAGGAGGTCTGAATATCCACTTGCAGACTTTACAAACAGAGTGTTTCCTAACTGCTCAATGAAAAGAAAGGTTAAACTCTGTGAGTTGAACGCACACATCACAAAGGAGTTTATGAGAATCATTCTGTCTAGTTTTGAAACGAAGATATTTCCTTTTCTGCCGTTGACCTTAAAGAGCTTGAAAACTACAATTGCAAATTGCACAAATAGAGTGTTTCAAATCTGCTCTGTCTAAGGGAACGTTCAACTCTGTGAGTTGAATGCACACAACACAAGGAAGTTACTGGGAATTCTTCTGTCTAGCATAGTATGAAGAAATCCCGTTTCCAACGAAGGCCTCAAAGAGGTCTGAATATCGACTTGCAGAGTTTACAAACAGAGTGTTTCCTAACTGCTCTATGAAAAGAAAGGTTAAACTCTGTGAGTTGAACGCACACATCACAAAGAAGTTTCTGAGAATCATTTCTGTCCAGTCTTTATACGAAGATATTTCCTTTTCTACCATTGACCACAAAGCGGCTGAAATCTCCACTTGCAAATTCCACAAAAAGAGTGTTTCAAGTCTGCTCTGTGTAAAGGATCATTCAACTCTGTGAGTTGAATAAACACAACACAAGGAAGTTACTGAGGATTCTTCTGTCTAGCAGAATATGAAGAAATCCCGTTTCCAACGAAGGTCTCAACGAGGTCTGAATATCCACTTGCAGACTTTACAAACAGAGCGTTTCCTAACTGCTCTATGAAAAGAAAGGTTAAACTCTGTGAGTTGAACACACACATCACAAAGGAGTTTCTGAGAATCATTCTGTCTAGTTTCTATAGGAAGATATTTCCTATTCTACCATTGACCTCAAAGCGGCTGAAATCTCCACTTGCAAATTCCACAAAAAGAGTGTTTCAAGTCTGCTCTGTGTAAAGGATCCGTTCAACTCTGTGAGTTGAATACACACAACACAAGGAAGTTACTGAGAATTCTTCTGTCTAGCATCATATGAAGAAATCCCTTTTCCAACGAAGGCCTCTAAGTGGTCAAAATATCCACGTGCAGACTTTACAAACAGAGTGTTTCCAAACTGCTGAATGAAAAGAAAAGTTAAACTCTGAGAGTTGAACGCACACATCACAGAGGAGTTTCTGAGAATCATTCTGTCTAGTTTTGAAACGAAGATATTTCCTTTTCTGCCATTGACCTTAAAGCGCTTGAAATCTCCATTTGCCAATTGCACAAAAAGAGTGTTTCAAATCTGCTCTGTCTAAGGTAACGTTCAACTCTGTGAGTTGAATGTACACAACACAAGGAAGTTACTGGGAATTCTTCTGTCTAGCCTTACATGAAAAAAAAACCCGTTTCAAACGAAGGCTTCTAAGTGGTCAAAATATCCACGTGGAGACTTTACAAACAGAGTGTTTCCAAACTGCTGAATGAAAAGAAAAGTTAAACTCTGAGAGTTGAACGCACACATCACAGAGCGGTTTCTGAGAATGATTCTGTCTAGTTTTTATACGAAGATATTTCCTTTTCTGCCTTTGACCCCAAAGCGCTTGAAATCTCCACTTGCAAATTCCAAAAAAACAGTGTTTGAAATCTGCTCTCTCTAAATGAAAGTTCAACTCTGTCAGTTGAATACACACAACACAAGGAAGTTACTGAGAATTCTTCTGTCCAGCCTTACATGAAAAAAACCCGTTTCCAACGAAGGCCTCAAAGAAGTCCAAGTATCCTCGTGGAGACTTTACAAACAGAGTGTTTCCTAACTGCTCTATGAAAAGAAAGGTTAAACTCTGTGAGTTGAACGCCCACATCACAAAGGAGTTTCTGAGAATCATTCTGTCTACTTTTTATACGAAGATATTTCCTTTTCTACCATTGACCTCAAAGCGGCTGAAATCTCCACTGGCAAATTCCACAAAAAGAGTGTTTCAAGTCTGCTCTGTGTAAAGGATCGTTCAACTCTGTGACTTGAAAACACACAACACAAGGAAGTTTCTGAGAATTCTTCTGTCTAGCAGAATGTGAAGAAATCCCGTTTCCAACGAAGGCCACAAGATGTCAGAATATCCACTTACAGAATTGACAAACAGACTGTTTCCTAACTGCTCTATGAAAAGAAAGGTTAAACTCTGTGAGTTGAACGAACACATCACAACGGAGTTTGTGGGAATGATTCTGTCTAGTTTTGAAACGAAGATATTTCCTTTTCTGCCATTGACCTTAAGCGCTTGAAATCTCCACTTGCCAATTGCACAAAAAGAGTGTTTCAAATCTGCTCTGTCTAAGGGAACGTTCAACTCTGTGAGTTGAATGTACACAACACAAGGAAGTTACTGGGAATTCTTCTGTCTAGCCTTACATGACAAAAACCCATTTCCATCGAAGGCCTCTAAGTGGTCAAAATATCCACGTGCAGACTTTACAAACAGAGTGTTTCCAAACTGCTGAATGAAAAGAAAAGTTAAACTCTGAGAGCTGAACGCACACATCGCAGAGCAGTTTCTGAGAATGATTCTGTCTAGTTTTATACGAAGATATTTCCTTTTCTGCCTTTGGCCCCAAAGCGCTTGAAATCTCCACTTGCAAATACCACAAAAACAGTGTTTCAAATCTGCTCTCTCTAAATGAAAGTTCAACTCTGTCAGTTGAATACACACAACACAAGGAAGTTACTGAGAATTCTTCTTTCTAGCAGAATATGAAGAAATCCCGTTTCCAACGAAAGCCTCAAGGATGTCTGAATATCCACTTGCAGACTTTACAAACAGAGTGTTTCCCAACTGTTCTATGAAAAGAAAGGTTGAACTCTGTGAGTTGAACGCACACATCACAAAGGAGTTTCTGAGAATCATTCTGTCTACTTTCTATAGGAAGATATTTCCTATTCTACCATTGACCTCAAAGCGGCTGAAATCTCCACTTGCAAATTCCACAAAAGGAGTGTTTCAAGTCTGCTCTGTGTAAAGGATCGTTCAACTCTGTGAGTTGAAAACACACAACACAAGGAAGTTTCTGAGAATTCTTCTGTCTAGCAGAATATGAAGAAACCCCGCTTCCAACGAAGGCCTCAAAGAAGTCTGAATATCCACTTACAGACTTTACAAACAGAGTGTTTCCCAACTGCTCTATGAAAAGAAAGGTTGAACTCTGTGAGTTGAACGCACACATCACAAAGGAGTTTCTGAGAATCATTCTGTCTAGTTTTGAAACGAAGATATTTCCTTTTCTGCCATTGACCTTAAAGCGCTTGAAATCTCCACTTGCCAATTGCACAAAAAGAGTGTTTCAAATCTGCTCTGTCTAAGGGAACGTTCAACTCTGTGAGTTGAATGTACACAACACAAGGAAGTTACTGGGAATTCTTCTGTCTAGCCTTACATGAAAAAAACCCGTTTCCAACGAAGGCCTCTAAGTGGTCAAAATATCCACGTGCAGACTTTACAAACAGAGTGTTTCCAAACCACTGAATGAAAAGAAAAGTTAAACTCTGAGAGTTGAACGCACACATCACGCAGCAGTTTCTGAGAATGATTCTGTCTAGTTTTGAAACGAAGATATTTCCTTTTCTGCCTTTGGCCTCAAAGTGCTTGAAATCTCCACTTGCAAATTCCACAAAAAGAGTGTTTCAAATCTGTTCTGGGTAAATGAAAGTTCAACTCTGTGAGTTGAACACACACAACACAAGGAAGTTACTGGGAATTCTTCTGTCTAGCCTTATATGAAAAAAACCCGTTTCCAACGAAGGCCTCAAAGAGGTCTGAATATCCACTTGCAGACTTTACAAACAGAGTGTTTCCTAACTGCTCTATGAAAAGAAAGGTTAAACTCTGTGAGTTGAACGCACACATCACAAAGGAGTTTCTGAGAATCATTCTGTCTAGTTTTTATAGGAAGATATTTCCTTTTCTACCTTTGACTTCAAAGCGGCTGAAATCTCCACTTGCAAATTCCACAAAAAGAGTGTTACAAGTCTGCTCTGTCTAAGGGAACGTTCAACTCTGTGAGTTGAATGTACACAACAAAAGGAAGTTACTGGGAATTCTTCTGTCTAGCAGAATATGAAGAAATCCCGTTTCCAACGAAGGCCACAAGATGTCAGAATATCCACTTACAGAATTGACAAACAGACTGTTTCCTAACTGCTCTATGAAAAGAAAGGTTAAACTCTGTGAGTTGAACGAACACATCACTACGCAGTTTGTGGGAATGATTCTGTCTAGTTTTGAAACGAAGATATTTCCATTTCTGCCATTGACCTTAAAGCGCTTGAAATCTCCATTTGCCAATTGCACAAAAAGAGTGTTTCAAATCTGCTCTGTCTAAGGGAACGTTCAACTCTGTGAGTTGAATGTACACAACACAAGGAAGTTACTGGGAATTCTTCTGTCTAGCCTTACAGGAAAAAAACCCGTTTCCAACGAAGGCCTCTAAGTGGTCAAAATATACACGTGCAGACTTTACAAACAGAGTGTTTCCAAACTGCTGAATGAAAAGAAAAGTTAAACTCTGAGAGTTGAACGCACACATCGCAGAGCAGTTTCTGAGAATGATTCTGTCTAGTTTTTATACGAAGATATTTCCTTTTCTGCCTTTGGCCCCAAAGCGCTTGAAATCTCCACTTGCAAATTCCACAAAAACAGTGTTTCAAATCTGCTCTCTCTAAATGAAAGTTCAACTCTGTCAGTTGAATACACACAACACAAGGAAGTTACTGAGAATTCTTCTGTCTAGCATAGTATGAAGAAATCCCGTTTCCAACGAAGGCCTCAATGAGGTCTGAATATCCACTTGCAGAATTTACAAACAGAGTGTTTCCTAACTGCTCTATGAAAAGAAAGGTTAAACTCTGTGAGTTGAACGCACACATCACAAAGAAGATTCTGAGAATCATTCTGTCTAGTTTTTATATGAAGATATTTCCTTTTCTACCATTGACCTCAAAGCGGCTGAAATCTCCACTTGCAAATTCCACAAAAAGAGTGTCTCAAGTCTGCTCTGTGTAAACGATCGTTCAACTCTGTGAGTTGAATACACACAACACAAGGAAGTTTCTGAGAATTCTTCTGTCTAGCAGAATATGAAGAAATCCCGTTTCCAACGAAGGCCACAAGATGTCAGAATATCCACTTACAGAATTGACAAACAGACTGTTTCCTAACTGCTCTATGAAAAGAAAGGTTAAACTCTGTGAGTTGAACGAACACATCACAACGCAGTTTGTGGGAATGATTCTGTCTAGTGTTTATAGGAAGATATTTCCTTTTCTACATTTGACTTCAAAGCGGCTGAAATCTCCACTTGCAAATTCCACAAAAAGAGTGTTACAAGTCTGCTCTGTGTAAAGGATCGTTCAACTCTGTGAGTTGAATACACACAACACAAGGAAGTTACTGAGAATTCTTCTGTCTAGCCTTACATGAAAAAAACCCGTTTCCAACGAAGGCCTCTAAGTGGTCAAATTATCCACGTGCAGACTGTACAAACAGAGTGTTTCCAAACTGCTGAATGAAAAGAAAAGTTAAACTCTGAGAGTTGAACGCACACATCGCAGAGCAGTTTCTGAGAATGATTCTGTCTAGTCTTTATACGAAGATATTTCCTTTTCTACCATTGACCTCAAAGCGGCTGAAATCTCCACTTGCAAATTCCACAAAAAGAGTGTTTCAAGTCTGCTCTGTGTAAAGGATCGTTCAACTCTGTGAGTTGAATACACAGAACACAAGGAAGTTACTGAGAATTCTTCTGTCTTGCAGAATATGAAGAAATCCCGTTTCCAACGAAGGCCTCAAAGAGGTCTGAATATCCACTTGCAGACTTTACAAACAGAGTGTTTCCTAACTGCTCTATGAAAAGAAAAGTTGAACTCTGTGAGTTGAACGCACACATCACAAAGGAGTTTCTGAGAATCATTCTGTCTAGTCTTTATACGAAGATATTTCCTTTTCTACCATTGACCTCAAAGCGGCTGAAATCTCCACTTGCAAATTCCACAAAAAGAGTGTTTCAAGTCTGCTCTCTGTAAAGGATCGTTCAACTCTGTAAGTTGAATACACAGAACACAAGGAAGTTACTGAGAATTATTCTGTCTAGCAGAATATGAAGAAATCCCGTTTCCAACGAAGGCCACAAGATGTCAGAATATCCACTTACAGAATTTACAAACAGACTGTTTCCTAAGTGCTCTATGAAAAGAAAGGTTAAACTCTGTGAGTTGAACGAACACATCACAACGCAGTTTGTGGGAATGATTCTGTCTAGTTTTGAAACGAAGATATTTCCTTTTCTGCCATTGAACTTAAAGCGCTTGAAATCTCCATTTGCCAATTGCACAAAAAGAGTGTTTCAAATCTGCTCTGTCTAAGGGAACGTTCAACTCTGTGAGTTGAATGTACACAACACAAGGAAGTTACTGGGAATTCTTCTGTCTAGCCTTACATGAAAAAAACCCGTTTCCAACGAAGGCCTCTAAGTGGTCAAAATATCCACGTGCAGACTTTACAAACAGAGTGTTTCCAAACCGCTGAATGAAAAGGAAAAGTTAAACTCTGAGAGTTGAACGCACACATCACGCAGCAGTTTCTGAGAATGATTCTGTCTAGTTTTTATACGAAGATATTTCCTTTTCTGCCTTTGGCCCCAAAGCGCTTGAAATCTCCACTTGCAAATTCCACAAAAACAGTGTTTCAAATCTGCTCTCTCTTAATGAAACTTCAACTCTGTCAGTTGAATACACACAACACAAGGAAGTTACTGAGAATTCTTCTGTCTAGCATAATATGAAGAAATCCCGTTTCCAACGAAGGCCTCAAAGAGGTCTGAATATCCACTTGCAGACTTTACAAACAGAGTGTTTCCTAACTGCTCTATGAAAAGAAAGGTTAAACTCTGTGAGTTGAACGCACACATCACAAAGGAGTTTATGAGAATCATTCTGTCTAGTTTCTATAGGAAGATATTTCCTATTCTACCATTGAACTCAAAGCGGCTGAAATCTCCACTTGCAAATTCCACAAAAAGAGTGTTTCAAGTCTGCTCTGTGTAAAGGATCGTTCAACTCTGTGAGTTGAATACACACAACACAAGGAAGTTACTGAGAATTCTTCTTTCTAGCAGAATATGAAGAAATCCCGTTTCCAACGAAAGCCTCAAGGATGTCTGAATATCCACTTCCAGACTTTACAAACAGAGTGTTTCCTAACTGCTCTATGAAAAGAAAGGTTAAACTCTGTGAGTTGAACGCACACATCACAAAGGAGTTTCTGAGAATCATTCTGTCTAGTTTTGAAACGAAGATATTTCCTTTTCTGCCATTCACCTTAAAGCGCTTGAAATCTACACTTGCAAATTGCACAAATAGAGTGTTTCAAATCTGCTCTGTCTAAGGGAACGTTCAACTCTGTGAGTTGAATGCACACAACACAAGGAAGTTACTGGGAATTCTTCTGTCTAGCCTTACAGGAAAAAAACCCGTTTCCAACGAAGGCCTCTAAGTGGTCAAAATATCCACGTGCAGACTTTACAAACAGAGTGTTTCCAAACTGCTGAATGAAAAGAAAAGTTAAACTCTGAGAGTTGAACGCACACATCGCAGAGCAGTTTCTGAGAATGATTCTGTCTAGTTTTTATACGAAGATATATCCTTTTCTGCCTTTGGCCTCACAGCGCTTGAAATCTCCACTTGCACATTCCACAAAAAGAGTGTTTCAAATCTGCTCTGTAAATCAAAGTTCAACTCTGTGAGTTGAACACACACAACACAAGGAAGTTACTGGGAATTCTTCTGTCTAGCAGAATATGAAGAAATCCCGTTTCCAACGAAGGCCTCAAAGAGGTCTGAATATCCACTTGCAGACTTTATAAACAGAGTGTTTCCTAACTGCTCTATGAGAAGAAAAGTTAAACTCTGTGAGTTGAACGCACACATCACAAAAGATTTTCTGAGAATCATTCTGTCTAGTTTCTATAGGAAGATATTTCCTATTCTACCATTGACCTCAAAGCGGCTGAAATCTCCACTTGCAAATTCCACAAAAAGAATGTTTCAAGTCTGCTCTGTGTAAAGGATCGTTCAACTCTGTGAGTTGAATACACACAACACAAGGAAGTTAATGAGAATTCTTCTGTCTAGCAGAATATGAAGAAATCCCGTTTCCAACGAAGGCCACAAGATGTCAGAATATCCACTTACAGACTTTACAAACAGAGTGTTTCCTAACTGCTCTATGAACAGAAAGGTTAAGCTCTGTGAGTTGAATGAACACATCACAACGCAGTTTGTGGGAATGATTCTGTCTAGTTTTGAAACCAAGATATTTCCTTTTCTGCCGTTGACCTTAAAGAGCTTGAAAACTACACTTGCAAATTGCACAAATAGAGTGTTTCAAATCTGCTCTGTCTAAGGGAACGTTCAACTCTGTGAGTTGAATGCACACAACACAAGGAAGTTACTGGGAATTCTTCTGTCTAGCCTTACAGGAAAAAAACCCGTTTCCAACGAAGGCCTCTAAGTGGTCAAAATATCCACGTGCAGACTTTACAAACAGAGTGTTTCCAAACTGCTGAATGAAAAGAAAAGTTAAACTCTGAGAGTTGAACGCACACATCGCAGAGCAGTTTCTGAGAATGATTCTGTCTAGTTTTTATACGAAGATATTTCCTTTTCTGCCTTTGGCCTCAAAGCGCTTGAAATCTCCATTTGCAAATTCCACAAAAAGAGTGTTTCAAATCTCCTCTGTGTAAATGAAAGTTCAACTCTGTGAGTTGAACACACACAACACAAGGAAGTTACTGGGAATTCTTCTGTCTAGAGTATGAAGAAATCCCGTTTCCAACGAAGGCCTCTAAGAGGTCTGAATATCCACTTGCAGACTTTACAAACAGAGTGTTTCCTAACTGCTCTATGAAAAGAAAGGTTAAACTCTGTGAGTTGAACGCACACATCACAAAGGAGTTTCTGAGAATCATTCTGTCTAGTTTTTATACGAAGATATTTCCTTTTCTACCATTGACCTCAAAGCGGCTGAAATCTCCACTTGCAAATTCCACAAAAAGAGTGTTTCTAATCTGCTCTGTGTAAAGGATCATTCAACTCTGTGAGTTGAATGCACACAACACAAGGAAGTTATTGAGAATTCTTCTGTCTAGCATAATATGAAGAAACCCCGTTTCCAACGAAGGCCTCAAAGAGGTCTGAATATCCACTGGCAGACTTCACAAACAGAGTGTTTCCTAACTACTCTATGAAAAGAAAGGTTAAACTCTGTGAGTTGAACGCACACATCACAAAGGAGTTTCTGAGAATCATTCTGTCTAGTTTTGAAACGAAGATATTTCCTTTTCTGCCGTTGACCTTAAAGCGCTTGAAATCTACACTTGCAAATTGCACAAATAGAGTGTTTCAAATCTGCTCTGTCTAAGGGAACGTTCAACTCTGTGAGTTGAATGCACACAACACAAGGAAGTTACTGGGAATTCTTCTGTCTAGCCTTACATGAAAAAAACCCGTTTCCAACGAAGGCCTCTAAGGGGTCAAAATGTCCACGTGCAGACTTTACAAACAGAGTGTTTCCAAACCGCTGAATGAAAAGAAAAGTTAAACTCTGAGAGTTGAACGCACACATCACGCAGCAGTTTCTGAGAATGATTCTGTCTAGTTTTTATACGAAGATATTTCCTTTTCTGCCTTTGGCCTCAAAGCGCTTGAAATCTCCACTTGCAAATTCCACAAAAAGAGTGTTTCAAATCTGCTCGGTCTAAATGAAAGTTCAACTCTGTCAGTTGAATACACACAACACAAGGAAGTTACTGAGAATTCTTCTGTCTAGCATAATATGAAAAAATCCCGTTTCCAACGAAGGCCTCAAAGAGGTCTGAATATCCACTTGCAGACTTTACAAACAGAGTGTTTCCTAACTGCTCTATGAAAAGAAAGGTTAAACTGTGTGAGTTGAACGCACACATCACAAAGGAGTTTCTGAGAATCATTCTGTCTATTTTCTATAGGAAGATATTTCCTATTCTACCATTGACCTCAAAGCGGCTGAAATCTCCACTTGCAAATTCCACAAAAAGAGTGTTTCAAGACTGTTCTGTGTAAAGGATCATTCAACTCTGTGAGTTGAATACACACAACACAAGGAAGTTACTGAGAATTCTTCTGTCTAGCAGAATATGAAGAAATCCCGTTTCCAACGAAGGCCACAAGATGTCAGAATATCCACTTACAGACTTTACAAACAGAGTGTTTCCTAACTGCTCTATGAACAGAAAGGTTAAACTCTGTGAGTTGAACGAACACATCACAACGCAGTTTGTGGGAACGATTCTGTCTAGTTTTGAAACGAAGATATTTCCTTTTCTGCCATTGACCTTAAAGCGCTTGAAATCTACACTTGCAAATTGCACAAATAGAGTGTTTCAAATCTGCTCTGTCTAAGGGAACGTTCAACTCTGTGAGTTGAATGCACCCAACACAAGGAAGTTACTGGGAATTCTTCTGTCTAGCCTTACAGGAAAAAAACCCGTTTCCAACGAAGGCCTCTAAGTGGTCAAAATATCCACGTGCAGACTTTACAAACAGAGTGTTTCCAAACTGCTGAATGAAAAGAAAAGTTAAACTCTGAGAGTTGAACGCACACATCGCAGAGCAGTTTCTGAGAATGATTCTGTCTAGTTTCCATAGGAAGATATTTCCTATTCTACCATTGACCTCAAAGCGGCTGAAATCTCCACTTGCAAATTCCACAAAAAGAGTGTTTCAAGTCTGCTCTCCGTAAAGGATCGTTCAACTCTGTGAGTGGAATACACACAACACAAGGAAGTTACTGAGAATTATTCTGTCTAGCATAATATGAAGAAATCCCGTTTCCAACGAAGGCCTCAAAGAGGTCTGAATATCCACTTGCAGACTTTACAAACAGAGTGTTTCCTAACTGCTCTATGAAAAGAAAAGTTAAACTCTGTGAGTTGAACGCACACATCACAAAGGAGTTTCTGAGAATCATTCTGTCTAGTCTTTATACGAAGATATTTCCTTTTCTACCATTGACCTCAAAGCGGCTGAAATCTCCACTTGCAAATTCCACAAAAAGAGTGTTTCAAGTCTGCTCAGTGTAAAGGATCGTTCAACTCTGTGAGTTGAATACACACAACACAAGGAAGTTACTGAGAATTCTTCTGTCTAGCAGAATATGAAGAAATCCCGTTTCCAACGAAGGCCACAAGATGTCAGAATATCCACTTACAGAATTTACAAACAGACTGTTTCCTAACTGCTCTATGAAAAGAAAGGTTAAACTCTGTGAGTTGACCGAACACATCACAACGCAGTTTGTGGGAATGATTCTGTCTAGTTTTGAAACGAAGATATTTCCTTTTCTGCCATTGACCTTAAAGCGCTTGAAATCTCCATTTGCCAATTGCACAAAAAGAGTGTTTCAAATCTGCTCTGTCTAAGGGAACGTTCAACTCTGTGAGTTGAATGTACACAACACAAGGAAGTTACTGGGAATTCTTCTGTCTAGCCTTACGTGAAAAAAAACCCGTTTCCAACGAAGGCCTCTAAGTTGTCAAAATATCCACGTGCAGACTTTACAAACAGAGTGTTTCCAAACTGCTGAATGAAAAGAAAAGTTAAACTCTGAGACTTGAACGCACACATCACAGAGCGGTTTCTGAGAATGATTCTGTCTAGTTTTTATACGAAGATATTTCCTTTTCTGCCTTTGGCCCCAAAGCGCTTGAAATCTCCACTTGCAAATTCCACAAAAACAGTGTTTCAAATCTGCTCTCTCTAAATGAAAGTTCAACTCTGTCAGTTGAATACACACAACACAAGGAAGTTACTGAGAATTCTTCTGTCTAGCATAATATGAAGAAATCCCTTTTCCAACGAAGGCCTCAAAGAGGTCTGAATATCCACTTGCAGACTTTACAAACAGAGTGTCTCCTAACTGCTCTATGAAAAGAAAGGTTAAACTCTGTGAGTTGAACGCACACATCACAAAGGAGTTTATGAGAATCATTCTGTCTAGTTTTTATACGAAGATATTTCCTTTTCTACCATTGACCTCAACGCGGCTGAAATCTCCACTTGCAAATTTCACAAAAAGAGTGTTTCAAGTCCGCTCTGTGTAAAGGATCGTTCAACTCTGTGAGTTGAATACACACAACACAAGGAAGTTACTGAGAATTCTTCTGTCTAGCAGAATATGAAGAAATCCCGTTTCCAACGAAGGCCACAAGATGTCAGAATATCCACTTACAGACTTTACAAACAGAGTGTTTCCTAACTGCTCTATGAACAGAAAGGTTAAACTCTGTGAGTTGAACGAACATATCACAACGCAGTTTGTGGGAATGATTCTGTCTAGTTTTGAAACGAAGATATTTCCTTTTCTGCCATTGACCTTAAAGCGCTTGAAATCTACACTTGCAAATTGCACAAATAGAGTGTTTCAAATCTGCTCTGTCTAAGGGAACGTTCAACTCTGTGAGTTGAATGCACACAACACAAGGAAGTTACTGGGAATTCTTCTGTCTAGCCTTACATGAAAAAAACCCGTTTCCAACGTAGGCCTCTAAGTGGTCAAAATATCCACGTGCAGACTTTACAAACAGAGTGTTTCCAAACCGCTGAATGAAAAGAAAAGTTAAACTCTGAGAGTTGAAAGCACACATCACGCAGCAGTTTCTGAGAATGATTCTGTCTAGTTTTTACACGAAGATATTTCCTTTTCTGCCTTTGGCCCCAAAGCGCTTGAAATCTCCACTTGCAAATTCCACAAAAACAGTGTTTCAAATCTGCTCTCTGTAAATGAAAGTTCAACTCTGTCAGTTGAATACACACAACACAAGGAAGTTACTGAGAATTCTTCTGTCTAGCAGAATATGAAGAAATCCCGTTTCCAACGAAGACCTCAAGGAGGTCTGAATATCCACTTGCAGACTTTACAAACAGAGTGTTTCCTAACTGCTCTATGAAAAGAAAGGTTAAACTCTGTGAGTTGAACGCACACATCACAAAGGAGTTTCTGAGAATCATTCTGTCTAGTCTTTATACGAAGATATTTCCTTTTCTACCATTGACCTCAAAGCGGCTGAAATCTCCACTTGCAAATTCCACAAAAAGAGTGTTTCAAGTCTGCTCTCTGTAAAGGATCGTTCAACTCTGTGAGTTGAATACACACAACACAAGGAAGTTACTGAGAATTATTCTGTCTAGCATAATATGAAGAAATCCCGTTTCCAACGAAGGCCTCAAAGAGGTCTGAATATCCACTTGCAGACTTTACAAACAGAGTGTTTCCTTACTGCTCTATGAAAAGAAAAGTTAAACTCTGTGAGTTGAACGCACACATCACAAAGGAGTTTCTGAGAATCATTCTGTCTAGTTTTGAAACGAAGATATTTCCTTTTCTGCCATTGACCTTAAAGCGCTTGAAATCTCCACTTGCCAATTGCACAAAAAGAGTGTTTCAAATCTGCTCTGTCTAAGGGAACGTTCAACTCTGTGAGTTGAATGTACACAACGCAAGGAAGTTACTGGGAATTCTTCTGTCTAGCCTTACATGAAAAAAACCCGTTTCCAACGAAGGCCTCTAAGTGGTCAAGTTATCCACGTGCAGACTTTACAAACAGAGTGTTTCCAAACTGCTGAATGAAAAGAAAAGTTAAACTTCTGAGAGTTGAACGCACACATCGCAGAGCAGTTTCTGAGAATGATTCTGTCTAGTTTTTATACGAAGTATATTTCCTTTTCTGCCTTTGGCCTCAAAGCGCTTGAAATCTCCACTTGCAAATTCCACAAAAAGAGTGTTTCAAATCTGCTCTGTGTAAATGAAAGTTCAACTCTGTGAGTTGAACACACACAACACAAGGAAGTTACTGGGAATTCTTCTGTCTAGCCTTATATGAAAAAAACCCGTTTCCAACGAAGGCCTCAAAGAGGTCTGAATATCCACTTGCAGACTTTACAAACAGAGTGTTTCCTAACTGCTCTATGAAAAGAAAGGTTAAACTCTGTGAGTTGAACACACACATCACAAAGGAGTTTCTGAGAATCATTCTGTCTAGTTTTTCTCCGAAGATATTTCCTTTTCTACTATTGACCTCAAAGCGGCTGAAATCTCCACTTGCAAATTCCACAAAAAGAGTGTTTCAAGTCTGCTCTGTGTAAACGATCGTTCAACTCTGTGAGTTGAATACACACAACACAAGGAAGTTACTGAGAATTCTTCTGTCTAGCAGAATATGAAGAAATCCCGTTTCCAACGAAGGCCTCAAAGAGGTCTGAATATCCACTTGCAGACTTTTCAAACAGAGTGTTTCCTAACTGCTCTATGAAAAGAAAGGTTAAACTCTGTGAGTTGAACGCACACATCACAAAGGAATTTCTGAGAATCGTTCTGTCTAGTTTTGAAACGAAGATATTTCCTTTTCTGCCATTGACCTTAAAGCGCTTGAAATCTCCATTTGCCAATTGCACAAAAAGAGTGTTTCAAATCTGCTCTGTCTAAGGGAACGTTCAACTCTGTGAGTTGAATGTACACAACACAAGGAAGTTACTGGGAATTCTTCTGTCTAGCCTTACAGGAAAAAAACCCGTTTCCAACGAAGGCCTCTAAGTGGTCAAAATATCCACGTGCAGACTTTACAAACAGAGTGTTTCCAAACTGCTGAATGAAAAGAAAAGTTAAACTCTGAGAGTTGAACGCACACATCGCAGAGCAGTGTCTGAGAATGATTCTGTCTAGTTTTTATACGAAGATATTTCCTTTTCTGCCTTTGGCCTCAAAGCGCTTGAAATCTCCACTTGCAAATTCCACAAAAAGAGTGTTTCAAATCTGCTCTGTGTAAATCAAAGTTCAACTCTGTGAGTTGAACACACACAACACAAGGAAGTTACTGGGAATTCTTCTGTCTAGCACAGTATGAAGAAATCCCGTTTCCAACGAAGGCCTCAAAGAGCTCTGAATATCCACTTGCAGAGTTTACAAACAGAGTGTTTCCTAACTGCTCTATGAAAAGAAAGGTTAAACTCTGTGAGTTGAACGCACACAACACAATGAAGTTTCTGAGAATCATTCTGTCTAGTTTTTATACGAAGATATTTCCTTTTCTACCATTGACCTCAAAGCGGCTGAAATCTCCACTTGCAAATTCCACAAAAAGAGTGTTTCAAATCTGCTCTGTGTAAACCATCGTTCAACTCTGTGAGTTGAATACACACAACACAAGGAAGATTCTGAGAATTCTTCTGTCTAGCAGAATATGAAGAAATCCCGTTTCCAACCAAGGCCACAAGATGTCAGAATATCCACTTACAGAATTTACAAACAGACTGTTTCCTAACTGCTCTATGAAAAGAAAGGTTAAACACTGTAGGTTGAACGAACACATCACAACGCAGTTTGTGGGAATGATTCTGTCTAGTTTTGAAACGAAGATATTTCCTTTTCTACCATTGATCTCAAAGCGCTTGAAATCTCCATTTGCCAATTGCACAAAAAGAGTGTTTCAAATCTGTTCTGTCTAAGGGAACGTTCAACTCTGTGAGTTGAATGTACACAACACAAGGAAGTTACTGGGAATTCTTCTGTCTAGCCTTACAGGAAAAAAACCCGTTTCCAACGAAGGCCTCTAAGTGGTCAAAATATCCACGTGCAGACTTTACAAACAGAATGTTTCCAAACTGCTGAATGAAAAGAAAAGTTAAACTCTGAGAGTTGAACGCACACATCGCAGAGCAGTTTCTGAGAATGATTCTGTCTAGTTTTTATACGAAGATATTTCCTTTTCTGCCTTTGGCCCCAAAGCGCTTGAAATCTCCACTTGCAAATTCCACAAAAACAGTGTTTCAAATCTGCTCTCTCTAAATGAAAGTTCAACTCTGTCAGTTTAATACACACAACACAAGGAAGTTACTGAGAATTCTTCTGTCTAGCATAATATGAAGAAATCCCGTTTCCAACGAAGGCCTCAAGGAGGTCTGAATATCCACTTGCAGACTTTACAAACAGAGTGTTTCCTAACTGCTCTATGAAAAGAAAGGTTAAACTGTGTGAGTTGAACGCACACATCACAAAGGAGTTTTCAGAATCATTCTGTCTAGTTTTTATACGAAGATATTTCCTTTTCTACCATTGACCTCAACGCGGCTGAAATCTCCACTTGCAAATTCCACAAAACGAGTGTTTCAAGTCCGCTCTGTGTAAAGGATCGTTCAACTCTGTGAGTTGAATACACACAACACAAGGAAGTTACTGAGAATTCTTCTGTCTAGCACAGTATGGAGAAATCCCGTTTCCAACGAAGGCCTCAAAGAGGTCTGAATATCCACTTGCAGAGTTTACAAACAGAGTGTTTCCTAACTGCTCTATGAAAAGAAAGGTTAAACTGTGTGAGTTGAACGCACACATCACAAAGAAGTTTCTGAGAATCATTCTGTCTAGTTTTGAAACGAAGATATTTCCTTTTCTGCCATTGACCTCAAAGCGCTTGAAATCTCCACTTGCCAATTGCACAAAAAGAGTGTTTCAAATCTGCTCTGTCTAAGGGAACGGTTCAACTCTGTGAGTTGAATGTACACAACACAAGGAAGTTACTGGGAATTCTTCTGTCTAGCCTTATATGAAAAAAACCCGTTTCCAACGAAGGCCTCAAAGAGGTCTGAATATCACTTGCAGACTTTACAAACAGAGTGTTTCCTAACTGCTCTATGAAAAGAAAGGTTAAACTCTGTGAGTTGAACGCACACATCACAAAGGAGTTTCTGAGAATCATTCTGTGTAGTTTTTATACGAAGATATTTCCTTTTCTGCCTTTGGCCTCAAAGCGCTTGAAATCTCCACTTGCAAATTCCACAAAAAGAGTGTTTCAAATCTGCTCTGTGTAAATGAAAGTTGAACTCTGTGAGTTGAACACACACATCACAAGGAAGTTACTGGGAATTCTTCTGTCTAGCACAGTATGAAGAAATCCCGTTTCCAACGAAGGCCTCAAAGAGGTCTGAATATCCACTTGCAGAGTTTACAAACAGAGTGTTTCATAACTGCTCTATGAAAAGAAAGGTTAAACTCTGTGAGTTGAACGCACACATCACAAAGAAGTTTCTGAGAATCATTCTGTCTAATTTTTATATGAAGATATTTCCTTTTCAACCACTGACCTCAAAGCGGCTGAAATCTCCATTTGCAAATTCCACAAAAAGAGTGTTTCAAGTCTGCTCTGTGTAAAGGATCGTTCAACTCTGTGAGTTGAATACACACAACACGAGGAAGTTACTGAGAATTCTTCTGTCTAGCAGAATATGAAAAAATCCCGTTTCCAACGAAGGCCTCAAAGAGGTCTGATTATCCACTTGCAGACTTTACAAACAGAGTGTTTCCTAACTGCTTTATGAAAAGGAAGGTTAAACTCTGAGAGTTGAACGCACACATCATAAAGGAGTTTCTGAGAATCATTCTGTCTAGTTT
Source organism: Homo sapiens (assembly GCF_000001405.40). Classification (NCBI taxonomy): domain Eukaryota; kingdom Metazoa; phylum Chordata; class Mammalia; order Primates; family Hominidae; genus Homo; species Homo sapiens. Next base: position 124,764,519 of record NC_000001.11, on the reverse strand, counting down.
TTATTCGAAGATATTTCCTTTTCTACCATTGACCTCAAACCGGCTGAAATCTCCACTTGCAAATTCCACAAAAAGAGTTTCTCAAGTCTGCTCAAAGGATCGTTCAACTCTGTGAGTTGAATACACACAACACAAGGAAGTTGCTGAGAATTCTTCTGTCTAGCCTTACAGGAAAAAAACCCATTTCCAACGAAGGCCTCTAAGTGGTCAAAATATCCACGTGCAGACTTTACAAACAGAGTGTTTCCAAACTGCTGAATGAAAAGAAAAGTTAAACTCTGAGAGTTGAACGCACACATCGCAGAGCAGTTTCTGAGAATGATTCTGTCTAGTTTCTATAGGAAGATATTTCCTATTCTACCATTGACCTCAAAGCGGCTGAAATCTCCACTTGCAAATTCCGCAAGAAGAGTGTTTCAAGTCTGCTCTGTGTAAAGGATCGTTCAACTCTGTGAGTTGAATACACACAACACAAGGAAGTTACTGAGAATTCTTCTTTCTAGCAGAATATGAAGAAATCCCGTTTCCAACGAAAGCCTCAAGGATGTCTGAATATCCACTTGCAGACTTTACAAACAGAGTGTTTCCCAACTGCTCTATGAAAAGAAAGGTTAAACTCTGTGAGTTGAACGCACACATCACAAAGGAGTTTCTGAGAATCATTCTGTCTAATCTTTATATGAAGATAGTTTCCTTTTCTACCATTGACCTCAAAGCGGCTGAAATCTCCACTTGCAAATTCCACAAAAAGAGTGTTTCAAGTCTGCTCTGTGTAAAGGATCGTTCAACTCTGTGAGTTGAATACACACAACACAAGGAAGTTACTGAGAATTCTTCTGTCTAGCAGAATATGAAGAAATCCCGTTTCCAACGAAGGCCACAAGATGTCAGAATATCTACTTACAGACTTTACAAACAGAGTGTTTCCTAACTGCTCTATGAACAGAAAGGTTAAACTCTGTGAGTTGAACGAACACATCACAACGCAGTTTGTGGGAATGATTCTGTCTAATTTTGAAACGAAGATATTTCCTTTTCTGCCATTGACCTTAATGCGCTTGAAATCTACACTTGCAAATTGCACAAATAGAGTGTTTCAAATCTGCTCTGTCTAAGGGAACGTTCAACTCTGTGAGTTGAATGCACACAACACAAGGAAGTTACTGGGAATTCTTCTGTCTAGCCTTACATGAAAAAAACCCGTTTCCAACGAAGGCCTCTAAGTGGTCAAAATATCCACGTGCAGACTTTACAAACAGAGTGTTTCCAAACCGCTGAATGCAAAGAAAAGTTAAACTCTGAGAGTTGAACGCACACATCACGCAGCAGTTTCTGAGAATGATTCTGTCTAGTTTCCATAGGAAGATATTTCCTATTCTACCATTGAACTCAAAGCGGCTGAAATCTCCACTTGCAAATTCCACAAAAAGAGTGTTTCAAGTCTGCTCTGTGTAAAGGATCGTTCAACTCTGTGAGTTGAATACACAAAACACAAGGAAGTTACTGAGAATTCTTCTGTCTAGCATAATATGAAGAAATCCCGTTTCCAACGAAGGCCTCAAGGAGGTCTGAATATCCACTTGCAGACTTTACAAACAGAGTGTTTCCTAACTGCTCTATGAAAAGAAAGGTTAAACTCTGTGAGTTGAACGCACACATCACAAAGGAGTTTCTCAGAATCATTCTGTCTAGTTTCTATAGGAAGATATTTCCTATTATACCATTGACCACAAAGCGGCTTAAATCTCCAGTTGCAAATTTCACAAAAAGAGTGTTTCAAGTCTGCTCTGTGTAAAGGATCGTTCAACTCTGTGAGTTGAATACACACAACACAAGGAAGGTACTGAGAATTCTTCTGTCTAGCAGAATATGAAGAAATCCCGTTTCCAACGAAGGCCACAAGATGTCAGAATATCCACTTACAGAATTTTCAAACAGACTGTTTCCTAACTGCTCTATGAAAAGAAAGGTTAAACTCTGTGAGTTGAACGAACACATCACAACGCAGTTTGTGGGAATGATTCTGTCTAGTTTTGAAACGAAGATATTTCCTTTTCTGCCATTGACCTTAAAGCGCTTGAAATCTCCATTTGCCAATTGCACAAAAAGAGTGTTTCAAATCTGCTCTGTCTAAGGGAACGTTCAACTCTGTGAGTTGAATGTACACAACACAAGGAAGTTACTGGGAATTCTTCTGTCTAGCAGAATATGAAGAAATCCCGTTTCCAACGAAGGCCCCAAGGAGGTCTGAATATCCACTTGCAGACTTTACAAACAGAGTGTTTCCTAACTGCTCTATGAACAGAAAGGTTAAACTCTGTGAGTTGAACGCACACATCACAAAAGAGTTTCTGAGAATCATTTCTGTCTAGTTTCTATAGGAAGATATTTCCTATTCTACAGTTGACCTCAAAGCGGCTGAAATCTCCACTTGCAAATTCCACAAGAAGAGTGTTTCAAGTATGCTCTGTGTAAAGGATCGTTCAACTCTGTGAGTTGAATACACACAACACAAGGAAGTTACTGAGAATTCTTCTGTCTAGCATAATATGAAGAAATCCCGTTTCCAAAGAAGGCCTCAAGGAGGTCTGAATATCCACTTGCAGACTTTACAAACAGAGTGTTTCCTAACTGCTCTATGAAAAGAAAGGTTAAACTCTGTGAGTTGAACGCACACATCACAAAGGAGTTTCTGAGAATCATTCTGTCTAGTTTCTATAGGAAGATATTTCCTATTCTACCATTGAACTCAAAGCGGCTGAAATCTCCACTTGCAAATTCCACACAAAGAGTGTTTCAAGTCTGCTCTGTGTAAAGGATCGTTCAACTCTGTGAGTTGAATACACACAACACAAGGAAGTTACTGAGAATTCTTCTGTCTAGCAGAATATGAAGAAATCCCGTTTCCAACGAAGGCCACAAGATGTCAGAATATCCACTTACAGAATTTACAAACAGACTGTTTCCTAACTGCTCTATGAAAAGAAAGGTTAAACTCTGTGAGTTGAACGAACACATCACAACGTAGTTCGTGGGAATGATTCTGTCTAGTTTTGAAACGAAGATATTTCCTTTTCTGCCGTTGACCTTAAAGCGCTTGAAATCTACACTTGCAAATTGCACAAATAGAGTGTTTCAAATCTGCTCTGTCTAAGGGAACGTTCAACTCTGTGAGTTGAATGCACACAACACAAGGAAGTTACTGGGAATTCTTCTGTCTAGCCTTACATGAAAAAAACCCGTTTCCCACGAAGGCCTCTAAGTGGTCAAATTATCCACGTGCAGACTTTACAAACAGAGTGTTTCCAAACTGCTGAATGAAAAGAAAAGTCAAACTCTGAGAGTTGAACGCACACATCGCAGAGCAGTTTCTGAAAATGATTCTGTCTAGTTTTTATACGAAGATATTTCCTTTTCTGCCTTTGGCCTCAAAGCGCTTGAAATCTCCACTTGCAAATTCCACAAAAAGAGTGTTTCAAATCTGCTCTGTGTAAATGAAAGTTCAACTCTGTGAGTTGAACACACACAACACAAGGAAGTTACTGGGAATTCTTCTGTCTAGCATAATATGAAGAAATCCCGTTTCCAACGAAGGCCTCAAAGAGGTCTGAATATCCACTTGCAGACTTTACAAACAGAGTGTTTCCTAACTGCTCTATGAAAAGAAAAGTTAAACTACTGTGAGTTGAACGCACACATCACAAAGGAGTTTCTGAGAATCATTCTGTCTAGTTTTTCTACGAAGATATTTCCTTTTCTACTATTGACCTCAAAGCGGCTGAAATCTCCACTTGCAAATTCCACAAAAAGAGTGTTTCAAGTCTGCTCTATGTAAAGGATCGTTCAACTCTGTGAGTTGAATACACACAACACAAGGAAGTTACTGAGAATTATTCTGTCTAGCAGAATATGAAGAAATCCCGTTTCCAACGAAGGCCACAAGATGTCAGAATATCCACTTACAGAATTGACAAACAGACTGTTTCCTAACTGCTCTATGAAAAGAAAGGTTAAACTCTGTGAGTTGAACGAACACATCACAACGCAGTTTGTGGGAATGATTCTGTCTAGTTTTGAAACGAAGATATTTCCTTTTCTGCCATTGACCTTAAAGCGCTTGAAATCTACACTTGCAAATTGCACAAATAGAGTGTTTCAAATCTGCTCTGTCTAAGGGAACGTTCAACTCTGTGAGTTGAATGCACACAACACAAGGAAGTTTCTGGGAATTCTTCTGTCTAGCCTTACATGAAAAAAACCCGTTTCCAACGAAGGACTCTAAGTGGTCAAAATGTCCACGTGCAGACTTTACAAACAGAGTGTTTCCAAACCGCTGAATGAAAAGAAAAGTTAAACTCTGAGAGTTGAACGCACACATCACGCAGCAGTTTCTGAGAATGATTCTGTCTTGTTTTTATACGAAGATATTTCCTTTTCTGCCCTTGGCCCCAAAGCGCTTGAAATCTCCACTTGCAAATTCCACAAAAACAGTGTTTCAAATCTGCTCTCTCTAAATGAAAGTTCAACTCTGTCAGTTGAATACACACAACACAAGGAAGTTACTGAGAATTCTTCTGTCTAGCCTTATATGAAAAAGCCCGTTTCCAACGAAGGCCTCAGAGAGGTCTGAATATCCATTTGCAGACTTTACAAACAGAGTGTTTCCTAACTGCTCTATGAAAAGAAAGGTTAAACTCTGTGAGTTGAACGCACACATCACAAAGGAGTTTCTGAGAATCATTCTGTCTAGTTTTTATAGGAAGATATTTCCTTTTCTACCTTTGACTTCAAAGCGGCTGAAATCTCCACTTGCAAATTCCCCAAATAGAGTGTTACAAGTCTGCTCTGTGTAAAGGATCGTTCAACTCTGTGAGTTGAATACACACAACACGCGGAAGTTACTGAGAATTCTTCTGTCTAGCAGAATATGAAGAAATCCCGTTTCCAACGAAGGCCACAAGATGTCAGAATATCCACTTACAGAATTGACAAACAGACTGTTTCCTAACTGCTCTATGAAAAGAAAGGTTAAACTCTGTGAGTTGAACGAACACATCACAACGCAGTTTGTGGGAATGATTCTGTCTAGTTTTTATAGGAAGATATTTCCTTTTCTACATTTGACTTCAAAGCGGCTGAAATCTCCACTTGCAAATTCCACAAAAAGCGTGTTACAAGTCTGCTCTGTGTAAAGGATCGTTCAACTCTGTGAGTTGAATACACACAACACAAGGAAGTTACTGAGAATTCTTCTGTCTAGCCTTACATGAAAAAAACCCGTTTCCAACGAAGGCCTCTAAGTGGTCAAATTATTCACGTGCAGACGTTACAAACAGAGTGTTTCCAAACTGCTGAATGAAAAGAAAAGTTAAACTCTGAGAGTTGAACGCACACATCGCAGAGCAGTTTCTGAGAATGATTCTGTCTAGTTTTTATACGAAGATATTTCCTTTTCTGCCTTTGGCCCCAAAGCGCTTGAAATCTCCACTTGCAAATTCCACAAAAACAGTGTTTCAAATCTGCTCTCTCTAAATGAAAGTTTAACTCTGTCAGTTGAATACACACAACACAAGGAAGTTACTGAGAATTCCTCTGTATAGCAGAATATGAAGAAATCCCGTTTCCAACGAAGGCCTCAAGGAGGTCTGAATATCCACTTGCAGACTTTACAAACAGAGTGTTTCCTAACTGCTCTATGAAAAGAAAGGTTAAACTCTGTGAGTTGAACGCAGACATCACAAAGGAGTTTCTGAGAATCACTCTGTCTAGTTTCTATAGGAAGATATTTCCTATTCTACCATTGACCTCAAAGCGGCTGAAATCTCCACTTGCAAATTCCGCAAAAAGAGTGTTTCAAGTCTGCTCTGTGTAAAGGATCGTTCAACTCTGTGAGTTGAATACACACAACACAAGGAAAGTTACTGAGAATTCTTCTGTCTAGCAGAATATGAAGAAATCCCGTTTCCAACGAAGGCGTCAAAGAGGTCTGAATATCCACTTGCAGACTTTACAAACAGAGTGTTTCCCAACTGCTCTATGAAAAGAAAGGTTAAACTCTGTGAGTTGAACGCACACATCACAAAGGAGTTTCTGAGAATCATTCTGTCTAGTTTTGAAACGAAGATATTTCCTTTTCTGCCATTGACCTTAAAGCGCTTGAAATCTCCACTTGCCAATTGCACAAAAAGAGTGTTTCAAATCTGCTCTGTCTAAGGGAACGTTCAACTCTGTGAGTTGAATGTACACAACACAAGGAAGTTACTGGGAATTCTTCTGTCTAGACTTACAGGAATAAAACCCGTTTCCAACGAAGGCCTCTAAGTGGTCAAAATATCCACGTGCAGACTTTACAAAGAGAGTGTTTCCAAACTGCTGAATGAAAAGAAAAATTAAACTCTGAGAGTTGAATGCACACATCGCAGAGCAGTTTCTGAGAATGATTCTGTCTAGTTTTTATACGAAGATATTTCCTTTTCTGCCTTTGGCCTCAAAACGCTTGAATTCTCCATTTGCAAATTCCTCAAAAAGAGTGTTTCAAATCTGCTCTGTGTAAATGAAAGTTCAACTCTGTGAGTTGAATACACACAACACAAGGAAGTTACTGAGAATTCTTCTGTCTAGCATAATATGAAGAAATCCCGTTTCCAACGAAGGCCTCAAAGAGGTCTGAATATCCACTTGCAGACTTTACAAACAGAGTGTTTCCTAACTGCTCTATGAGAAGAATAGTTAAACTCTGTGAGTTGAACGCACACATCACAAAAGATTTTCTGAGAATCATTCTGTCTAGTCTTTATATGAAGATAGTTTCCTTTTCTACCATTGACCTCAAAGCGGCTGAAATCTCCACTTGCAAATTCCACAAAAAGAGTGTTTCAAGTCTGCTCTGTGTAAAGGATCGTTCAACTCTGTGAGTTGAATACACACAACACAAGGAAGTTACTGAGAATTCTTCTGTCTAGCAGAATATGAAGAAATCCCGTTTCCAACGAAGACCTCAAAGAGGTCTGAATATTCACTTGCAGACTTTACAAACAGAGTGTTTCCTAACTGATCTATGAAAAGAAAGGTTAAACTCTGTGAGTTGAACGCACACATCACAAAGGAGTTTCTGAGAATCATTCTGTCTAGTTTTGAAACGAAGATATTTCCTTTTCTGCAATTGACCTTAAAGCGCTTGAAATCTCCACTTGCCAATTGCACAAAAAGAGTGTTTCAAATCTGCTCTGTCTAAGGGAACGTTCAACTCTGTGAGTTGAATGTACACAACACAAGGAAGTTACTGGGAATTCTTCTGTCTAGCCTTACATGAAAAAAACCCGTTTCCAACGAAGGTCTCTAAGTGGTCAAAATATCCACGTGCAGACTTTACAAACAGAGTGTTTCCAAACCGCTGAATGAAAAGAAAAGTTAAACTGCTGAGAGTTGAACGCACACATCACGCAGCAGTTTCTGAGAATGATTCTGTCTAGTTTTTATACGAAGATATTTCCTTTTCTGCCTTTGGCCTCAAAGCGCTTGAAATCTCCACTTGCAAATTCCACAAAAAGAGTGTTTCAAATCTGCTCTGTGTAAATGAAAGTTCAACTCTGTGAGTTGAACACACACAACACAAGGAAGTTACTGGGAATTCTTCTGTCTAGCCTTATATGAAAAAAACCCGTTTCCAACGAAGGCCTCAAAGAGGGCTGAATATCCACATGCAGACTTTACAAGCAGAGTGTTTCCTAACTGCTCTATGAAAAGAAAGGTTAAACTCTGTGAGTTGAACGCACACATCACAAAGGAGTTTCTGAGAATCATTCTGTCTAGTTTTTATACGAAGATATTTACTTTTCTACCATTGACCTCAAAGCGGCTGAAATCTCCACCCTGCCAATTCCACAAAAAGAGTGTTTCAAGTCTACTCTGTGTAAAGGATGGTTGAACTCTGTGAGTTGAAAACACACAACACAAGGAAAGTTACTGAGAATTCTTCTGTCTAGCAGAATATGAAGAAATCCCGTTTCCAACGAAGGCCACAAGATGTCAGAATATCCACTTACAGACTTTAGAAACAGAGTGTTTCCTAACTGCTCTATGAACAGAAAGGTTAAACTCTGTGAGTTGAACGAACACATCACAACGCAGTTTGTGGGAATGATTCTGTCTAGTTTTGAAACGAAGATATTTCCTTTTCTGCCGTTGACCTTAAAGAGCTTGAAAACTACACTTGCAAATTGCAGAAATAGAGTGTTTCAAATCTGCTCTGTCTAAGGGAACGTTCAACTCTGTGAGTTGAATGCACACAACACAAGGAAGTTACTGGGAATTCTTCTGTCTAGCCTTACAGGAAAAAAACCCGTTTCCAACGAAGGCCTCTAAGTGGTCAAAATATCCACGTGCAGACTTTACAAACAGAGTGTTTCCAAACTGCTGAATGAAAAGAAAAGTTAAACTCTGAGAGTTGAACGCACACATCGCAGAGCAGTTTCTGAGAATGATTCTGTCTACTTTTTATACGAAGATATTTCCTTTTCTGCCTTTGGCCTCAAAGCGCTTGAAATCTCCACTTGCAAATTCCACAAAAAGAGTGTTTCAAATCTGCTCTGTGTAAATCAAAGTTCAACTCTGTGAGTTGAACACACACAACACAAGGAAGTTACTGGGAATTCTTCTGTCTAGCAGAATATGAAGATATCCCGCTTCCAACGAAGGCCTCAAAGAAAGTTTGAATATCCACTTGCAGACTTTACAAACAGAGTGTTTTCCAACTGCTCTATGAAAAGAAAGGTTGAACTCTGTGAGTTGAACGCACACATCACAAAGGAGTTTCTGAGAATCATTCTGTCTAGTTTTTATACGAAGAGATTTCCTTTTCTACCATTGACCTCAAAGCGGCTGAAATCTCCACTTGCAAATTCCACAAAAAGAGTGTTACAAGTCTGCTCTGTGTAAAGGATCGTTCAACTCTGTGAGTTGAATACACACAACACAAGGAAGATTCTGAGAATTCTTCTGTCTAGCCTTATATGAAAAAACCCGTTTCCAACGAAGGCCTCAAAGAGGTCAAAATATCCACGTGCAGACTTTACAAACAGAGTGTTTCCTAACTGCTCTGTGAAAAGAAAGGTTAAACCCTGTGAGTTGAACGAACACATCACAACGCAGTTTGTGGGAATGATTCTGTCTAGTTTTGAAATGAAGATATTTCCTTTTCTGCCATTGACCTTAAAGCGCTTGAAATCTCCACTTGCCAATTGCACAAAAAGAGTGTTTCAAATCTGCTCTGTCTAAGGGAACGTTCAACACTGTGAGTTGAATGTACACAACACAAGGAAGTTACTGGGAATTCTTCTATCTAGCCTTACAGGAAAAAAACCCGTTTCCAACGAAGGCCTCAAATAGGTCAAAATATCCACTTGCAGACTTTACAAACAGAGTGTTTCCTAACTGCTTTATGAAAAGAAAAGTTAAACTCTTTAAATTGAACACACCCATCACAAAGGAGTTTCTGACAATCATTCTGTCTAGTTTTTATACGAAGATATTTCCTTTTCTGCCTTTGGCCTCAAAGCGCTTGACATCTCCACTTGCAAATTCCTCAAAAAGAGTGTTTCAAATCTGCTCTGTGTAAATGAAAGTTCAACTCTGTGAGTTGAACACACACAACACAAGGAAGTTACTGGGAATTCTTCTGTCTAGCCTTATATGAAAAAAACCCGATTCCAACGAAGGCCTCAAAGAGGTCTGAATATCCACTTGCAGACTTTACAAACAGAGTGTTTCCTAACTGCTCTATGAAAAGAAAGGTTAAACTCTGTGAGTTGAACGCACACATCACAAAGGAGTTTCTGAGAATCATTCTGTCTAGTTTCTATAGGAAGATATTTCCTATTCTACCATTGACCTCAAAGCGGCTGAAATCTCCACTTGCAAATTCGACAAAAAGAGTGTTTCAAGCCTGCTCTCTGTAAAGGATCCTTCAACTCTGTGAGTTGAATACACACAACACAAGGAAGTTACTGAGAATTCTTCTGTCTAGCAGAATATGAAGAAATCCCGTTTCCAACGAAGGCCACAAGATGTCAGAATATCCACTTACAGAATTGACAAACAGACTGTTTCCTAACTGGTCTATGAAAAGAAAGGTTAAACTCTGTGAGTTGAACGAACACATCACAACGCAGTTTGTGGGAATGATTCTGTCTAGTTTTGAAACGAAGATATTTCCTTTTCTGCCATTGACCTCAAAGCGCTTGAAATCTCCACTTGCCAATTGCACAAAAAGAGTGTTTCAAATCTGCTCTGTCTAAGGGAACGTTCAACTCTGTGAGTTGAATGTACACAACACAAGGAAGTTACTGGGAATTCTTCTGTCGAGCCTTACATGAAAAAAACCCGTTTCCAACGAAGGCCTCTAAGTGGTCAAAATTTCCACGTGCAGACTTTACAAACAGAGTGTTTCCAAACCGCTGAATGAAAACAAAAGTTAAACTCTGAGACTTGAACGCACACATCACGCAGCAGTTTCTGAGAATGATTCTGTCTAGTTTTTATACGAAGATATTTCCTTTTCTGCCTTTGGCCTCAAATCGCTTGAAATCTCCACTTGCAAATTCCACAAAAAGAGTGTTTCAAATCTGCTCTGTGTAAATCAAAGTTCAACTCTGTGAGTTGAACACACACAACACAAAGAAGTTACTGGGAATTCTTCCGTCTAGCCTTACATGAAAAAAACCCGTTTCCAACGAAGGCCTCAAAGAAGTCCAAATATCCACGTGCAGACTTTACAAACAGAGTGTTTCCTAACTGCTCTATGAAAAGAAAGGTTAAACTCTGTGAGTTGAACGCCCACATCACAAAGGAGTTTCTGAGAATCATTCTGTCTATTTTCTATAGGAAGATATTTCCTATTCTACCATTGACCTCAAAGCGGCTGAAATCTCCACTTGCAAATTCCACAAAAAGAGTGTTTCAAGTCTGCTCTGTGTAAAGGATCGTTCAACTCTGTGAGTTGAACACACACAACACAAGGAAGTTAGTGAGAATTCTTCTGTCTAGCAGAATATGAAGAAATCCCATTTCCGACGAAGGCCTCAGGGAGGTCTGAATATCCACTTGCAGACTTTACAAACAGAGTGTTTCCTAAAGGCTCTATGAAAAGAAAGGTTAAACTCTGTGAGTTGAACGCACACATCACAAAGGAGTTTCTGAGAATCATTCTGTCTAGTTTTGAAACGAAGATATTTCCTTTTCTGCCGTTGACCTTAAAGCGCTTGAAATCTACACTTGCAAATTGCACAAATAGAGTGTTTCAAATCTGCTCTGTCTAAGGGAACGTTCAACTCTGTGAGTTGAATGCACACAACACAAGGAAGTTACTGGGAATTCTTCTGTCTAGCCTTACATGAAAAAAACCCGTTTCCAACGAAGGCCTCTAAGTGGTCAAAATTTCCACGTGCAGACTTTACAAACAGAGTGTTTCCAAACCGCTGAATGAAAAGAAAAGTTAAACTCTGAGAGTTGAACGAACACATCACGCAGCAGTTTCTGAGAATGATTCTGTCTAGTTTCTATAGGAAGATATTTCCTATTCTACCATTGACCTCAAAGCGGCTGAAATCTCCACTTGCAAATTCCACAAAAAGAATGTTTCAAGTCTGCTCTGTGTAAAGGATCGTTCAACTCTGTGAGTTGAATACACACAACTCAAGGAAGTTACTGAGAATTCTTCTGTCTAGCAGAATATGAAGAAATCCCGTTTCCAACGAAGGCCTCAAGGAGGTCTGAATATCCACTTGCAGACTTTACAAACAGAGTGTTTCCTAACTGCTCTATGAAAAGAAAAGTTAAACTCTGTGAGTTGAACGCACACATCACAAAGGAGTTTATGAGAATCATTCTGTCTAGTTTTTATAGGAAGGTATTTCCTTTTCTACCATTGACCTCAAAGCGGCTGAAATCTCCACTTGCAAATTCCACAAAAAGAGTGTTTCAAGTCTGCTCTGTGTAAAGGATCGTTCAACTCTGTGAGTTGAATACACACAACACCCGGAAGTTACTGAGAATTCTTCTGTCTAGCAGAATATGAAGAAATCCTGTTTCCAACGAAGGCCACAAGATGTCAGAATATCCACTTACAGAATTTACAAACAGACTGTTTCCTAAGTGCTCTATGAAAAGAAATGTTAAACTCTGTGAGTTGAACGAACACATCGCAACGCAGTTTGTGGGAATGATTCTGTCTAGTTTTGAAACGAAGATATTTCCTTTTCTGCCATTGACCTTAAAGAGCTTGAAATCTACACTTGCAAATTGCACAAATAGAGTGTTTCAAATCTGCTCTGTCTAAGGGAACGTTCAACTCTGTGAGTGGAATGCACACAACACAAGGAAGTTACTGGGAATTCTTCTGTGTAGCAGAATATGAAGAAATCCCGTTTCCAACGAAGGCCTCAAAGAGGTCTGAATATCCACTTGCAGACTTTACAAACAGAGTGTTTCCTAACTGCTCTATGAAAAGAAAGGTTAAACTCTGTGAGTTGAACGCTCACATCACAAAGGAGTTTCTGAGAATCGTTCTGTCTAGTTTCTATAGGAAGATATTTCCTATTCTACCATTGACCTCAAAGCGGCTGAAATCTCCACTTGCAAATTCCACAAAAAGAGTGTTTCAAGTCTGCTCTGTATAAAGGATCGTTCAACTCTGTGAGTTGAATACACACAACACAAGGAAGTTACTGAGAATTCTTCTTTCTAGCAGAATATGAAGAAATCCCGTTTCCAACGAAAGCCTCAAGGATGTCGGAATATCCACTTGCAGACTTTACAAACAGAGTGTTTCCCAACTGCTCTATGAAAAGAAAGGTTAAACTCTGTGAGTTGAACGCACACATCACAAAGGAGTTTCTGAGAATCATTCTGTCTAGTTTCCATAGGAAGATATTTCCTATTCTACCATTGACCTCAAAGAGGCTGAAATCTCCACTTGCAAATTCCACAAAAAGAGTGTTTCAAGTCTGCTCTGTGTAAAGGATCGTTCAACTCTGTGAGTTGAATACACACAACACAAGGAAGTTACTGAGAATTCTTCTGTCTAGCAGAATATGAAGAAATCCCGTTTACAACGAAGGCCACAAGATGTCAGAATATCCACTTACAGACTTTACAGAGTGTTTCCTAACTGCTCTATGAACAGAAAGGTTAAACTCTGTGAGTTGAACGAACACATCACAACGCAGTTTGTGGGAATGATACTGTCTAGTTTTGAAACGAAGATATTTCCTTTTCTGCCATTGACCTTAAAGCGCTTGAAATCTACACTTGCAAATTGCACAAATAGAGTGTTTCAAATCTGCTCTGTCTAAGGGAACGTTCAACTCTGTGAGTTGAATGCACACAACACAAGGAAGTTACTGGGAATTCTTCTGTCTAGCCTTACATGAAAAAAACCCGTTTCCAACGAAGGCCTCTAAGTGGTCAAAATATCCACGTGCAGACTTTACAAACAGAGTGTTTCCAAACCGCTGAATGAAAAGAAAAGTTAAACTCTGAGAGTTGAACGCACACATCACGCAGCAGTTTCTGAGAATGATTCTGTCTAGTTTCTATAGGAAGATATTTCCTATTCTACCATTGACCTCAAAGCGGCTGAAATCTCCACTTGCAAATTCCACAAAAAGAGTGTTTCAAGTCTGCTCTCTGTAAAGGATCGTTCAACTCTAAGAGTTGAATACACACAACACAAGGAAGTTACTGAGAATTCTTCTGTCTAGCAGAATATGAAGAAATCCCGTTTCCAACGAAGGCCTCAAAGAGGTCTGAATATCCACTTGCAGACTTTACAAACAGAGTGTTTCCTAACTGCTCTATGAAAAGAAAGGTTAAACTCTGTGAGTTGAACGCACACATCACAAAGGAGTTTCTGAGAATCATTCTGTCTAGTTTCTATAGGAAGATATTTCCTATTCTACCACTGACCTCAAAGCGGCTGAAATCTCCACTTGCAAATTCCACAAAAAGAGTGTTTCAAGTCTGCTCTCTGTAAAGGATCGTTCAACTCTGTGAGTTGAATACACACAACACAAGGAAGTTATTGAGAATTAAACTGTCTAGCATAATGTGAAGAAATGCCGTTTCCAACGAAGGCCTCAAAGAGGTCTGAATATCCACTTGCAGACTTTACAAACAGAGTGTTTCCTAACTGCTCTATGAAAAGAAAGGTTAAACTCTGTGAGTTGAACGCACACATCACAAAGGAGTTTCTGAGAATCATTCTGTCTTGTTTCTACACGAAGATATTTCCTTTTCTACCATTGACCTCAAAGCGGCTGAAATCTCCACTTGCAAATTCCACAAAAAGAGTGTTTCAAGTCTGCTCTGTGTAAAGGATCGTTCAACTCTGTGAGTTGAATACACACAACACAAGGAAGTTACTGAGAATTCTTCTGTCTAGCCTTACATGAAAAAAACCCGTTTCCAACGAAGGCCTCTAAGTGGTCAAATTATCCACGTGCAGACTTTACAAACAGAGTGTTTCCAAACTGCTGAATGAAAAGAAAAGTTAAACTCTGAGAGTTGAACGCACACATCGCAGAGCAGTTTCTGAGAATGATTCTGTCTAGTTTTTATACGAAGATATTTCCTTTTCTGCTTTTGGCCTCAAATCGCTTGAAATATCCACTTGCAAATTCCACAAAAACAGTGTTTCAAATCTGCTCTCTCTAAATGAAAGTTCAACTCTGTCAGCTGAATACACACAACACAAGGAAATTACTGAGAATTCTTCTGTCTAGCAGAATATGAAGAAATCCCGCTTCCAACGAAGGCCTCAAAGAAGTCTGAATATCCACTTGCAGACTTTACAAACAGAGTGTTTCCCAACTGCTCTATGAAAAGAAAGGTTGAACTCTGTGAGTTGAACGCACACATCACAAAAGAGTTATGAGAATCATTCTGTCTAGTTTTTCTACGAAGATATTTCCTTTTCTACTATTGACCTCAAAGCGGCTGAAATCTCCACTTGCAAATTCCACAAAAAGAGTGTTTCAAGTCTGCTCTGTGTAAAGGATCGTTCAACTCTGTGAGTTGAATACACACAACACAAGGAAGTTACTGAGAATTATTCTGTCTAGCAGAATATGAAGAAATCCCGTTTCCAACGAAAGCCACAAGATGTCAGAATATCCACTTACAGACTTTACAAACAGAGTGTTTCCTAACTGCTCTATGAACAGAAAGGTTAAACTCTGTGAGTTGAACGAACACATCACAACGCAGTTTGTGAGAATGATTCTGTCTAGTTTTGAAACGAAGATATTTCCTTTTCTGCCATTGACCTTAAAGCGCTTGAAATCTCCACTTGCCAATTGCACAAAAAGAGTGTTTCAAATCTGCTCTGTCTAAGGGAACCGTTCAACTCTGTGAGTTGAATGTACACAACGCAAGGAAGTTACTGGGAATTCTTCTGTCTAGCCTTAAAGGAAAGAAACCCGTTTCCAACGAAGGCCTCTAAGTGGTCAAAATATCCACGTGCAGACTTTACAAACAGAGGGTTTCCAAACTGCTGAATGAAAAGAAAAGTTAAACTCTGAGAGTTGAACGCACACATCACAGAGCAGTTTCTGAGAATGATTCTGTCTAGTTTTTATACGAAGATATTTCCTTTTCTGCCTTTGGCCTCAATGCGCTTGAAATCTCCACTGGCAAATTCCACAAAAAGAGTGTTTCCAATCTGCTCTGTGTAAATGAAAGTTCAACTCTGTGAGTTGAACACACACAACACAAGGAAGTTACTGGGAATTCTTCTGTCTAGCCTTATATGAAAAAACCCGTTTCCAACGAAGGCCTCAAAGAGGCCTGAATATCCACTTGCAGTCTTTACAAACAGAGTGTTTCCTAACTGCTCTATGAAAAGAAAGGTTAAACTCTGTGAGTTGAACACACACATCACAAAGGAGTTTCTGAGAATCATTCTGTCTAGTTTTTATACGAAGATATTTCCTTTTCTACCATTGACCTCAACGCGGCTGAAATCTCCACTTGCAAATTCCACAAAAAGTGTGTTTCAAGTCCGCTCTGTGTAAAGGATCGTTCAACTACTGTGAGTTGAATACACACAACACAAGGAAGTTACTGAGAATTCTTCTGTCTAGCACAGTATGAAGAAATCCCGTTTCCAACGAAGGCCTCAAAGAGGTCTGAATATCCACTTGTAGACTTTACAAACAGAGTGTTTCCTAACTGCTCTATGAAAAGAAAGGTTAAACTCTGTGAGTTGAACGCACACGTCACAATGAAGTTTCTGAGAATCATCTGTCTAGTTTTGAAACGAAGATATTTCCTTTTCTGCCATTGACCTTAAAGCGCTTGAAATCTACACTTGCAAATTGCACAAATAGAGTGTTTCAAATCTGCTCTGCCTAAGGGAACGTTCAACTCTGTGAGTTGAATGCACACAACACAAGGAAGTTACTGGGAATTCTTTCTGTCTAGCCTTCATGAAAAAAACCCGTTTCCAACGAAGGCCTCTAAGTGGTCAAAATATCCACGTGCAGACTTTACAAACAGAGTGTTTCCAAACCGCTGAATGAAAAGAAAAGTTAAACTCTGAGAGTTGAACGCACACATCACGCAGCAGTTTCTGAGAATGATTCTGTCTAGTTTTTATACGAAGATATTTCCTTTTCTGCCTTTGGCCTCAAAGCGCTTGAAATCTCCACTTGCAAATTCCACAAAAAGAGTGTTTCAAATCTCCTCTGTCTAAATGAAAGTTCAACTCTGTCAGTTGAATACACACAACACAAGGAAGTTACTGAGAATTCTTCTGTCTAGCATAGTATGAAGAAATCCCGTTTCCAACGAAGGCCTCAAAGAGGTCTGAATATCCACTTGCAGAGTTTACAAACAGAGTGTTTCCTAACTGCTCTATGAAAAGAAAGGTTAAACTCTGTGAGTTGAACGCACACATCACAAAGAAGTTTCTGAGAATCATTCTGTCTAGTTTTTCTACGAAGATATTTCCTTTTCGACTATTGACCTCAAAGCGGCTGAAATCTCCACTTGCAAATTCCACAAAAAGAGTGTTTCAAGTCTGCTCTGTGTAAAGGATCGTTCAACTCTGTGAGTTGAATACACACAACACAAGGAAGTTACTGAGAATTCTTCTGTCTAGCAGAATATGAAGAAATCCCGTTTCCAACGAAGGCCTCAAAGAGGTCTGAATATCCACTTGCAGATTTTACAAACAGAGTGTTTCCTAACTGCTCTATGAACAGAAAGGTTAAACTGCTGTGAGTTGAACGCACACATCACAAAGGAGTTTCTGAGAATCGTTCTCTCTAGTTTTGAAACGCAGATATTTCCTTTTCTGCCATTGACCTTAAAGCGCTTGAAATCTCCACTTGCCAATTGCACAAAAAGAGTGTTTCAAATCTGCTCTGTCTAAGGGAACGTTCAACTCTGTGAGTTGAATGTACACAACACAAGGAAGTTACTGGGAATTCTTCTGTCTAGCCTTACATGAAAAAAACCCGTTTCCAACGAAGGCCTCTAAGTGGTCAAATTATCCACGTGCAGACTTTACAAACAGAGTGTTTCCAAACTGCTGAATGAAAAGAAAAGTTAAACTCTGAGAGTTGAACGCACACATCGCAGAGCAGTTTCTGAGAATGATTCTGTCTAGTTTTTATACGAAGATATTTCCTTTTCTGCCTTTGGCCTGAAAGCGCTTGAAATCTCCACTTGCAAATTCCACAAAAAGAGTGTTTCAAATCTGCTCTGTGTAAATGAAAGTTCAACTCTGTGAGTTCAACACACACAACACAAGGAAGTTACTGGGAATTCTTCTGTCTAGCATAATATGAAGAAATCCCGTTTCCAACGAAGACCTCAAAGAGGTCTGAATATCCACTGGCAGACTTTACAAACAGAGTGTTTCCTAACTGCTCTATGAGAAGAAAAGTTAAACTCTGTGAGTTGAACGCACACATCACAAAAGATTTTCTGAGAATCATTCTGTCTAGTTTTTATACGAAGATATTTCCTTTTCTACCATTGACCTCAAAGCGGCTGAAATCTCCACTTGCAAATTCCACAAAAAGAGTGTTTCAAGTCTGCTCTGTGTAAAGGATCGTTCAACTCTGTGAGTTGAATACACACAACACAAGGAAGTTACTGAGAATTCTTCTGTCTAGCAGAATATGAAGAAATCCCGTTTCCAACGAAGGCCACAAGATGTCAGAATATCCACTTACAGAATTTACAAACAGACTGTTTCCCAACTGCTCTATGAAAAGAAAGGTTAAACTCTGTGAGTTGAACGAACACATCACAACGCAGTTTTTGATAATGATTCTGTCTAGTTTTGAAACGAAGATATTTCCTTTTCTGCCATTGACCTTAAAGCGCTTGAAATCTCCGCTTGCCAATTGCACAAAAAGAGTGTTTCAAATCTGCTCTGTCTAAGGGAACGTTCAACTCTGTGAGTTGAATGTACACAACACAGGGAAGTTACTGGGAATTCTTCTGTCTAGCCTTACATGAAAAAAACCCGTTTCCAACGAAGGCCTCTAAGTGGTCAAATTATCCACGTGCAGACTTTACAAACAGAGTGTTTCCAAACTGCTGAATGAAAAGAAAAGTTAAACTCTGAGAGTTGAACGCACACATCGCAGAGCAGTTTCTGAGAATGATTCTGTCTAGTTTCTATAGGAAGATATTTCCTATTCTACCATTGACCTCAAAGCGGCTGAAATCTCCCCTTGCAAATTCCACAAAAAGAGTGTTTCAAGTCTGCTCTGTGTAAAGGATCGTTCAACTCTGTGAGTTGAATACACACAACACAAGGAAGTTACTGAGAATTCTTCTGTCTAGCAGAATATGAAGAAATCCCGCTTCCAACGAAGGCCTCAAAGAAGTCTGAATATCCACTTGCAGACTTTACAAACAGAGTGTTTCCCAACTGCTCTATGAAAAGAAAGGTTGAACTCTGTGAGTTGAACGCACACATCACAAAGGAGTTTCTGAGAATCATTCTGTCTAGTTTTTATACGAAGATATTTCCTTTTCTACCATTGACCTCAACGCGGCTGAAATCTCCACTTGCAAATTCCACAAAAAGAGTGTTTCAAGTCTGCCCTGTGTAAAGGATCGTTCAACTCTGTGAGTTGAATACACACAACACAAGGAAGTTACTGAGAATTCTTCTGTCTAGCAGAATATGAAGAAATCCCGTTTCCAACGAAGGCCACAAGATGTCAGAATATCCACTTACAGAATTGACAAACAGACTGTTTCCTAACTGCTCTATGAAAAGAAAGGTTAAACTCTGTGAGTTGAACGAACACATCACAACGCAGTTTGTGGGAATGATTCTGTCTAGTTTTGAAACGAAGATATTTCCTTTTCTGCCTTTGACCTTAATGCGCTTGAAATCTACACTTGCAAATTGCACAAATAGAGTGTTTCAAATCTGCTCTGTCTAAGGGAACGTTCAACTCTGTGAGTTGAATGCACACAACACAAGGAAGTTACTGAGAATTCTTCTGTCTAGCATAATATGAAGAAATCCCGTTTCCAACGAAGGCCTCAAAGAGGTCTGAATATCCACTTGCAGACTTTACAAACAGAGTGTTTCCTAATTGCTCTATGAAAAGAAAAGTTAAACTCTGTGAGTTGAACGCACACATCACAAAGGATTTTCTGAGAATCATTCTGTCTAGTTTTTATACGAAGATATTTCCTTTTCTGCATTTGGCCACAAAGCGCTTGAAATCTCCATTTGCAAATACCACAAAAAGAGTGTTTCAAACCTGCTCTGTGTAAATGAAAGTTCAACTCTGTGAGTTGAACACACACAACACAAGGAAGTTACTGGGAATTCTTCTGTATATCAGAATATGAAGAAATCCCGTTTCCAAAGAAGGCCTCAAAGAGGTCTGAATATCCACTTGCAGACTTTACAAACAGAGTGTTTCCTAACTGCTCTATGAAAAGGAAAGTTAAACTCTGTGAGTTGAACGCACACATCACAAAGGAGTTTCTGAGAATCATTCTGTCTAGTTTCTATAGGAAGATATTTCCTATTCTACCATTGACCTCAAAGCGGCTGAAATCTCCACTTGCAAATTCCACAAAAAGAGTGTTTCAAGTCTGCTCTGTGTAAAGGATCGTTCAACTCCGTGAGTTGAATACACACAACACAAGGAAGTTACTGAGAATTCTTCTGTCTAGCAGAATATGAAGAAATCCCGTTTCCAACGAAGGCCACAAGATGTCAGAATATCCACTTACAGAATTTACAAACAGACTGTTTCCTAATGCTCTATGAAAAGAAAGGTTAATCTCTGTGAGTTGAACGAACACAGCACAACGCAGTTTGTGGGAATGATTCTGTCTAGTTTTGAAACGAAGATATTTCCTTTTCTGCCATTGACCTTAAAGCGCTTGAAATCTCCACTTGCCAATTGCACAAAAAGAGTGTTTCAAATCTGCTCTGTCTAAGGGAACGTTCAACTCTGTGAGTTGAATGTACACAACACAAGGAAGTTACTGGGAATTCTTCTGTCTAGCCTTACATGAAAAAAACCCGTTTCCAACGAAGGCCTCTAAGTGGTCAAATTATCCACGTGCAGACTTTACAAACAGAGTGTTTCCAAAATGCTGAATGAAAAGAAAAGTTAAACTCTGAGAGTTGAACGCACACATCGCAGAGCAGTTTCTGAGAATGATTCTGTCTAGTTTTGAAACGAAGATATTTCCTTTTCTGCCTTTGGCCTCAAAGAGGTTGAAATCTCCAATTGCCAATTCCACATAAATAGTGTTTCAAATCTGCTCTGTCTAAATGAAAGTTCAACTCTGTCAGTTGAATACACACAACACAAGGAAGTTACTGAGAATTCTTCTCTCTAGCCTTATATGAAAAAAACCCGTTTCCAACGAAGGCCTCAAAGAGGTCTGAATATCCACTTGCAGACTTTAAAAACAGAGTGTTTCCTAACTGCTCTATGAAAAGAAAGGTTAAACTCTGTGAGTTGAACTCACACATCACAAAGGAGTTTCTGAGAATCATTCTGTCTAATCTTTATATGAAGATAGTTTCCTTTTCTACCATTGACCTCAAAGCGGCTGAAATCTCCAATTGCAAATTCCACAAAAAGAGTGTTTCAAGTCTGCTCTGTGTAAAGGATCGTTCAACTCTGTGAGTTGAATACACACAACACAAGGAAGTTACTGAGAATTCTTCTGTCTAGCAGAATATGAAGAAATCCCGTTTCCAACGAAGGCCACAAGATGTCAGAATATCCACTTACAGACTTTACAAACAGAGTGTTTCCTAACTGCTCTATGAACAGAAAGGTTAAACTCTGTGAGTTGAACGAACACATCACAACGCAGTTTGTGGGAATGATTCTGTCTAGTTTTGAAACGAAGATATTTCCTTTTCTGCCATTGACCTTAAAGCGCTTGAAATCTCCATTTGCCAATTGCACAAAAAGAGTGTTTCAAATCTGCTCTGCCTAAGGGAACGTTCAACTCTGTGAGTTGAATGTACACAACACAAGGAAGTTACTGGGAAATCTTCTGTCTAGCCTTACATGAAAAAAACCCGTTTCCAACGAAGGCCTCTAAGTGGTCAAAATATCCACGTGCAGACTTTACAAACAGAGTGTTTGCAAACTGCTGAATGAAAAGAAAAGTTAAACTCTGAGAGTTGGACGCACACATCGCAGAGCAGTTTCTGAGAATGATTCTGTCTAGTTTTGAAACGAAGATATTTCCTTTTCTGCCTTTGGCCTCAAAGCGCTTGAAATCTCCACTTGCAAATTCCACAAAAAGAGTGTTTCAAATCTGCTCTGTGTAAATGAAAGTTCAACTCTGTGAGTTGAACACACACAACACAAGGAAGTTACTGGGAAATTCTTCTGTCTAGCATAATATGAAGAAATCCCGTTTCCAACGAAGGCCTCAAAGAGGTCTGAATATCCACTTGCAGACTTTACAAACAGAGTGTTTCCTAACTGCTCTATGAAAAGAAAGGTTAAACTCTGTGAGTTGAACGCACACATCACAAAGGAGTTTCTGAGAATCATTCTGTCTAGTTTTTATACGAAGATATCTCCTTTTCTACCATTGACCTCAAAGAGGCTGAAATCTCCACTTGCAAATTCCACAAAAAGAGTGTTTCAAGTCTGCTCTGTGTAAAGGATCGTTCAACTCTGTGAGTTGAATACACACAACACAAGGAAGTTACTGAGAATCCTTCCGTCTAGCATAATATGAAGAAATCCCGTTTCCAACGAAGGCCTCAAAGAGGTCTGAATATCCACTTGCAGACTTTACAAACAGAGTGTTTCCTAACTGCTCTATGAAAAGAAAGGTAAAACTCTGTGAGTTGAACGCACACATCACAAAGGAGTTTCTGAGAATCATTCTGTCTAGTTTTTATACGAAGATATTTCCTTTTCTACCATTGACCTCAAAGCGGCTGAAATCACCACTTGCCAATTGCACAAAAAGAGTGTTTCAAATCTGTTCTGTCTAAGGGAACGTTCAACTCTGTGAGTTGAATGTACACAACACAAGGAAGTTACTGGGAATTCTTCTGTCTAGCCTTACAGGAAAAAAACCCGTTTCCAACGAAGGCCTCTAAGTGGTCAGAATATCCACGTGCAGACTTTACAAACAGAGTTTTTCCACACTGCTGAATGAAAAGAAAAGTTAAACTCTGAGAGTTGAACGCACACATCGCAGAGCAGTTTCTGAGAATGATTTCTGTCTAATTTTTATACGAAGATATATCCTTTTCTGCCTTTGTCCTCAAAGCGCTTGAAATCTCCACTTGCAAATTCCACAAAAAGAGTGTTTCCAATCTGCTCTGTGTAAATGAAAGTTCAACTCTGTGAGTTGAACACACACAACACAAGGAAGTTACTGGGAATTCTTCTGTCTAGCATAATATGAAGAAATCCCGTTTCCAACGAAGGCCTCAAAGAGGTCTGAATATCCACTTGCAGACTTTACAAACAGAGTGTTTCCTAACTGCTCTATGAGAAGAAAAGTTAAACTCTGTGAGTTGAACGCACACATCACAAAAGATTTTCTGAGAATCATTCTGTCTAGTCTTTATATGAAGATAGTTTCCTTTTCTACCATTGACCTCAAAGCGGCTGAAATCTCCACTTGCAAATTACACAAAAAGAGTGTTTCAAGTCTGCTCTGTGTAAAGGATCGTTCAACTCTGTGAGTTGAATACACACAACACAAGGAAGTTACTGAGAATTCTTCTGTCTAGCAGAATACGAAGAAATCCCGTTTCCAACGAAGGCCACAAGATGTCAGAATATCCACTTACAGACTTTACAAACAGAGTGTTTCCTAACTGCTCTATGAACAGAAAGGTTAAACTCTGTGAGTTGAACGAACACATCACAACGCAGTTTGTGGGAATGATTCTCTCTAGTTTTGAAACGAAGATATTTCCTTTTCTGCCATTGACCTTAAAGCGCTTGAAATCTACACTTGCAAATTGCACAAATAGAGTGTTTCAAATCTGCTCCGTCTAAGGGAAAGTTCAACTCTGTGAGTTGAATGCACACAACACAAGGAAGTTACTGGGAATTCTTCTGTCTAGCCTTACATGACAAAAACCCGTTTCCAACGAAGACCTCTAAGTGGTCAAAATATCCACGTGCAGACTTTACAAACAGAGTGTTTCCAAACTGCTGAATGAAAAGAAAAGTTAAACTCTGAGAGCTGAAGGCACACATCGCAGAGCAGTTTCTGAGAATGATTCTGTCTAGTTTTGAAACGAAGATATTTCCTTTTCTGCCTTTGGCCTCAAAGCGCTTGAAATCTCCACTTGCAAATTCCACAAAAAGAGTGTTTCAAATCTGCTCTGTGTAAATGAAAGTTCAACTCTGTGAGTTGAACACACACAACACAAGGAAGTTACTGGGAATTCTTCTGTCTAGCCTTATATGAAAAAAACCCGTTTCCAACGAAGGCCTCAAGGAGGTCTGAATATCCACTTGCAGACTGTACAAACAGAGTGTTTCCTAACTGCTCTATGAAAAGAAAGGTTAAACTCTGTGAGTTGAACGCACACATCACAAAGGAGTTTCTGAGAATCATTCTGTCTAGTTTCTATAGGAAGATATTTCCTATTCTACCATTGACCTCAAAGCGGCTGAAATCTCCACTTGCAAATTCCACAAAAAGAGTGTTTCAAGTCTGCTCTGTGTAAAGGATCGTTCAACTCTGTGAGTTGAATACACACAACACAAGGAAGTTACTGAGAATTCTTCTTTCTAGCAGAATATGAAGAAATCCCGTTTCCAACGAAGGCCACAAGATGTCAGAATATCCACTTACAGACTTTTCAAACAGAGTGTTTCCTAACTGCTCTATGAACAGAAAGGTTAAACTCTATGAGTTGAACGAGCACTTCACAACGCAGTTTGTGGGAATGATTCTGTCTAGTTTTGAAACGAAGATATTTCCTTTTCTGCCATTGACCTTAAAGCGCTTGAAATCTCCACTTGCCAATTGCATAAAAAGAGTATTTCAAATCTGCTCTGTCTAAGGGAACGTTCAACTCTGTGAGTTGAATGTACACAACACAAGGAAGTTACTGGGAATTCTTCTGTCTAGCCTTACATGAAAAAAACCCGTTTCCAACGAAGGCCTCTAAGTGGTCAAATTATGCACGTGCAGACTTTACAAACAGAGTGTTTCCAAACTGCTGAATGAAAAGAAAAGTTAAACTCTGAGAGCTGAACGCACACATCGCAGAGCAGTTTCTGAGAATGATTCTGTCTAGTTTCTACAGGAAGATATTTCCTATTCTACCATTGACCTCAAAGCGGCTGAAATCTCCACTTGCAAATTCCACAAAAAGAGTGTTTCAAGTCTGCTCTGTGTAAAGGATCGTTCAACTCTGTGAGTTGAATACACACAACACAAGGAAGTTACTGAGAATTCTTCTGTCTAGCATAATAGGAAGAAATCCCGTTTCCAAAGAAGGCCTCAAGGAGGTCTGAATATCCACTTGCAGACTTTACAAACAGAGTGTTTCCTAACTGCTCTATGAAAAGAAAGGTTAAACTCTGTGAGTTGAACGCACACATCACAAAGGAGTTTCTGAGAATCATTCTGTCTACTTTCTATAGGAAGATATTTCCTATTCTACCATTGACCTCAAAGCGGCTGAAATCTCCACTTGCAAATTCCACAAAAAGAGTGTTTCAAGTCTGCTCTGTGTAAAGGATCGTTCAACTCTGTGAGTTGAAAACACACAACACAAGGAAGTTTCTAAGAATTCTTCTGTCTAGCAGAATATGAAGAAATCCCGTTTCCAACGAAGGCCACAAGATGTCAGAATATCCACTTACAGAATTGACAAACAGACTGTTTCCTAACTGCTCTATGAAAAGAAAGGTTAAACTCTGTGAGTTGAACGAACACATCACAAAGCAGTTTGTGGGAATGATTCTGTCTAGTTTTGAAACGAAGATATTTCCTTTTCTGCCATTGAGGTTAAAGCGCTTGAAATCTACACTTGCAAGTTGCACAAATAGAGTGTTTCAAATCTGCTCTGTCTAAGGGAACGTTCAACTCTGTGAGTTGAATGCACACAACACAAGGAAGTTACTGGGAATTCTTCTGTCTAGCCTTACATGAAAAAATCTCGTTTCCAACGAAGGCCTCTAAGTGGTCAAAATATCCACGTGCAGACTTTACAAACAGAGTGTTTCCAAACCGCTGAATGAAAAGAAAAGTTAAACTCTGTGAGTTGAACGCACACATCACGCAGCAGTTTCTGAGAATGATTCTGTCTAGTTTTTATACGAAGATATTTCCTTTTCTGCCTTTGGCCTCAAAGCGCTTGAAACCTCCATTTGCAAATTCCATAAAAAGAGTGTTTCAAATCTGCTCTGTGTAAATGAAAGTTCAACTCTGTGAGTTGAACACACACAACACAAGGAAGTTACTGGGAATTCTTTTGTCTAGCATAATATTAAGAAATCCCGTTTCCAACGAAGGCCTCAAAGCGGTCTGAATATCCGCTTGCAGAGTTTACAAACAGAGTGTTTCCTAACTGCTCTATGAAAAGAAAGGTTAAACTCTGTGAGTTGAACGTACACATCACAAAGGAGTTTCTGGGAATCATTCTGTCTAGTTTTTATACGAAGATATTTCCTTTTCTACCATTGACCTCAAAGCGGCTGAAATCTCCACTTGCAAATTCCACAAAAAGAGTGATTCTAGTCTGCTCTGTGTAAAGGATCGTTCAACTCTGTGAGTTGAGTACACACAACACAAGGAGGTTACTGAGAATTCCTCTGTCTAGCATAATATGAAGAAATTCCGTTTCCAACGAAGGCCTCAAAGAGGTCTGAATATCCACTTGCTGATTTACAAACAGAGTGTTTCCTAACTGCTCTATGAAAAGAAAGGTTAAACTCTGTGAGTTGAACGCACACATCACAAAGAAGTTTCTGAGAATCATTCTGTCTAGTTTTTATACGAAGATATTTCCTTTTCTACCATGGACCTCAAAGCGGCTGAAATCTCCACTTGCAAATTCCACAAAAAGAGTGTGTCAAATCTGCTCTGTGTAAAGGATCGTTCAACTCTGTGAGTTGAATACACAGAACACAAGGAAGTTTCTGAGAATTCTTCTGTCTAGCAGAATATGAAGAAATCCCGTTTCCAACGAAGTCCACAAGATGTCAGAATATCCACTTGCAGACTTGGCAAACAGAGCGTTTACAAACGGCTCTATGAAAAGAAAGGTTAAACTCTGTGAGTTGAACGCACACATCACAACGCAGTTTGTGGGAATGATTCTGTCTAGTTTTTATACGAAGATATTTCCTTTTCTGCCTTTGGCCTCAAAGCGCTTGAAATCTCCACTTGCAAACTCCACAAAAAGAGTGTTTCAAATCTGCTCTGTGTAAATCAAAGTTCAACTCTGTGAGTTGAACACACACAACACAAGGAAGTTACTGGGAATTCTTCTGTCTAGACTTACAGGAAAAAAACCCGTTTCCAACGAAGGCCTCAAAGAGGTCTGAATATCCACTTGTAGTCTTTACAACCAGAGTGTTTCCTAACTGCTCTATGAAAAGAAAGGTTAAACTCTGTGAGTTGAACGCACACATCACAAAGGAGTTTCTGAGAATCATTCTGTCTAGTTTTTATAGGAAGATATTTCCTTTTCTACCTTTGACTTCAAAGCGGCTGAAATCTCCACTTGCAAATTCCACAAAAAGAGTGTTACAAGTCTGCTCTGTGTAAAGGATCGTTCAACTCTGTGAGTTGAATACACACAACACAAGGAAGTTACTGAGAATTCTTCTGTCTAGCATAGTATGAAGAAATCCCGTTTCCAACGAAGGCCTCCAAGAGGTCTGAATATCCACTTGCAGAGTTTACAAACAGAGTGTTTCCTAACTGCTCTATGAAAAGAAAGGTTAAACTCTGTGAGTTGAACGCACACATCACAAAGAAGTTTCTGAGAATCATTCTGTCTAGTTTTGAAACGAAGATATTTCCTTTTCTGCCATTGACCTTAAAGCGCTTGAAATCTCCACTTGCCAATTGCACAAAAAGAGTGTTTCAAATCTGCTCTGTCTAAGGGAACGTTCAACTCTGTGAGTTGAATGTACACAACGCAAGGAAGTTACTGGGAATTCTTCTGTCTCCCCTTACATGAAAGAAACCCGTTTTCAACGAAGGCCTCTAAGTGGTCAAAATATCCACGTGCAGACTTTACAAACAGATTGTTTCCAAACTGCTGAATGAAAACAAAAGTTAAACTCTGAGAGTTGAACGCACACATCACAGAGCAGTTTCTGAGAATGATTCTGTCTAGTTTTGAAACGAAGATATTTCCTTTTCTGCCTTTGGCCTCAAAGCGCTTGAAATCTCCATTTGCAAATTCCACAAAAAGAGTGTTTGAAATCTGCTCTGTGTAAATGAAAGTTCAACTCTGTGAGTTGAACACACACAACACAAGGAAGTTACTGGGAATTCTCTTTCTAGCAGAATATGAAGAAATCCCGTTTCCAACGAAAGCCTCAAGGATGTCTGAATATCCACTTGCAGACTTTACAAACAGAGTGTTTCCTAACTGCTCTATGAAAAGAAAGGTTAAACTCTGTGAGTTGAACGCACACATCACAAAGGAGTTTCTGAGAATCATTTCTGTCTAGTTTCTATAGGAAGATATTTCCTATTCTACCATTGACCTCAAAGCGGCTGAAATCTCCACTTGCAAATTCCACAAAAAGAGTGTTTCAAGTCTGCTCTGTGTAAAGCATCGTTCAACTCTGTGAGTTGAATACACACAACACAAGGCAGTTACTGAGAATTCTTCTGTCTAGCAGAATATGAAGAAATCCCGCTTCCAACGAAGGCCTCAAAGAAGTCTGAATATCCACTTGCAGACTTTACAAACAGAGTGTTTCCCAACTGCTCTATGAAAAGAAAGGTTGAACTCTGTGACTTGAACGCACACATCACAAAGGAGTTTCTGAGAATCATTCTGTCTAGTTTTGAAACGAAGATATTTCCTTTTCTGCCGTTGACCTTAAAGCGCTTGAAATCTCCACTTGCAAATTCCACAAAAACAGTGTTTCAAATCTGCTCTCTCTAAATGAAAGTTCAACTCTGTCAGTTGAATACACACAACACAAGGAAGTTACTGAGAATTCTTCTGTCTAGCCTTACATGAAAAAAACCCGTTTCCAACGAAGGCCTCTAAGTGGTCAAATTATCCACGTGCAGACTTTACAAACAGAGTGTTTCCAAACTGCTGAATGAAAAGAAAAGTTAAACTCTGAGAGTTGAACGCACACATCGCAGAGCAGTTTCTGAGAATGATTCTGTCTAGTTTTTATACGAAGATATTTCCTTTTCTGCCTTTGGCCTCAAAGCGCTTGAAATCTCCATTAGCAAATTCCACAAAAAGAGTGTCTCAAAACTGCTCTGTGTAAATGAAAGTTCAACTCTGTGAGTTGAACACACACAACACAAGGAAGTTACTGGGAATTCTTCTGTCTAGCATAATATGAAGAAATCCCGTTTCCAACGAAGGCCTCAAAGGGGTCTGAATATCCACTTGCAGACTTTATAAACAGAGTGTTTACTAACTGCTCTATGAAAAGAAAGGTTAAACTCTGTGGGTTGAACACACACATCACAAAGGAGTTTCTGAGAATCATTCTGTCTATTTTCTATAGGAAGATATTTCCTATTGTACCATTGACCTCAAAGCGGCTGAAATCTCCACTTGCAAATTCCACAAAAAGAGTGTTTCAAGTCTGCTCTCTGTAAAGGATCGTTCAACTCTGTGAGTTGAATACACACAACACAAGGAAGTTACTGAGAATTATTCTGTCTAGCATAATATGAAGAAATCCCGTTTCCAACGAAGGCCTCAAAGAGGTCTGAATATCCACTTGCAGACTTTACACACAGAGTGTTTCCTAACTGCTCTATGAAAAGAAAGGTTAAACTCTGTGAGTTGAACGCACACATCACAAAGGACTTTCTGAGAATCATTCTGTCTAGTTTCTATAGGAAGATATTTCCTATTCTAGCATTGACCTCAAAGCGGCTGAAATCTCCACTTGCAAATTCCACAAAAAGAGTGTTTCAAGTCTGCTCTGTGTAAAGGATCGTTCAACTCTGTGAGTTGAATACACACAACACAAGGAAGTTACTGAGAATTCTTGTGTCTAGCCTTACATGAAAAAAACCCGTTTCCAACGAAGGCCTCTAAGTGGTCAAATTATCCACGTGCAGACTTTACAAACAGATTGTTTCCAAACTGCTGAATGAAAAGAAAAGTTAAACTCTGAGAGTTGAACGCACACATCGCAGAGCATTTTCTGAGAATGATTCTGTCTAGTTTTTATACGAAGATATATCCTTTTCTGCCTTTGGTCTCAAAGCGCTTGAAATCTCCACTTGCAAATTCCACAAAAAGAGTGTTTCAAATCTGCTCTGTGTAAATGAAAGTTCAACTCTGTGAGTTGAACACACACAACACAAGGAAGTTACTAGGAATTCTTCTGTCTAGCATAATATGAAGAAATCCCTTTTCCAGCGAAGGCCTCAAGGATGTCTGAATATCCACTTGCAGACTTTACAAACAGAGTGTTTCCTAACTGCTCTATGAAAAGAAAGGTTAAACTCTGTGAGTTGAACGCACACATCACAAAGGAGTTTCTGAGAATCATTCTGTCTAGTTTCTATAGGAAGATATTTCCTATTCTACCATTGACCTCAAAGCGGCTGAAATCTCCACTTACAAATTCCACAAAAAGAGTGTTTCAAGTCTGCTCTGTGTAAAGGATCGTTCAACTCTGTGAGTTGAATACACACAACACAAGGAAGTTACTGAGAATTATTCTGTCTAGCAGAATATGAAGAAATCCCGTTTCCAACGAAGACCTCAAAGAGGTCTGAATATCCACTGGCAAACTTTACAACCAGAGTGTTTCCTAACTGCTCTATGAACAGAAAGGTTAAACTCTGTGAGTTGAACGAACACATCACAACGCAGTTTGTGGGAATGATTCTGTCTAGTTTTGAAACGAAGATATTTCCTTTTTGTCATTGACCTTAATGCGCTTGAAATCTACACTTGTAAATTACACAAATAGAGTGTTTCAAATCTGCTCTGTCTAAGGGAACGTTCAACTCTGTGAGTTGAATGCACACAACACAAGGAAGTTACTGGGAATTCTTCTGTCTAGCCTTACATGAAAAAAACCCGTTTCCAACGAAGGCCTCTAAGTGGTCAAAATTTCCACGTGCAGACTTTACAAACAGAGTGTTTCCAAACCGCTGAATGAAAAGAAAAGTTAAATTCTGAGAGTTGAACGCACACATCAAGCAGCAGTTTCTGAGAATGATTCTGTCTAGTTTCTATAGGAAGATATTTCCTATTCTACCATTGACCTCAAAGTGGCTGAAATCTCCACTTGCAAATTCCACAAAAAGAGTGTTTCAAGTCTGCTCTGTGTAAAGGATTGTTCAACTCTGTGAGTTGAATACACACAACACAAGGGAAGTTACTGAGAATTCTTCTTTCTAGCAGAATATGAAGAAATCCCGTTTCCAACGAAAGCCTCAAGGATGTCTGAATATCCACTTGCAGACTTTACAAACAGAGTGTTTCCTAACTGCTCTATGAAAAGAAAGGTTAAACTCTGTGAGTTGAATGCACACATCACAAAGGAGTTTCTGAGAATCATTCTGTCTAGTTTCTATAGGAAGATATTTCCTATTCTACCATTGACCTCAAAGCGGCTGAAATCTCCACTTGCAAATTCCACAAAAAGAATGTTTCAAGTCTGCTCTGTGTAAAGGATCGTTCAACTCTGTGAGTTGAATACACACAACACAAGGAAGTTACTGAGAATTCTTCTGTCTAGCAGAATATGAAGAAATCCCGTTTCCAAGGAAGGCCTCAAAGAGGTCTGAATATCCACTTGCAGACTTTACAAACAGAGTGTTTCCTAACTGCTCTATGAAAAGAAAAGTTAAACTCTGTGAGTTGAACGCACACATCACAAAGGAGTTTATGAGAATCATTCTGTCTAGTTTTGAAACGAAGATATTTCCTTTTCTGCCATTGACCTTAAAGCGCTTGAAATCTACACTTGCAAATTGCACAAATAGAGTGTTTCAAATCTGCTCTGTCTAAGGGAACGTTCAGCTCTGTGAGGTGAATGCACACAACACAAGGAAGTTACTGGGAATTCTTCTGTCTAGCCTTACATGAAAAAAACCCGTTTCCAACGAAGGCCTCTAAGTGGTCAAAATATCCACGTGCAGACTTTACAAACAGAGTGTTTCCAAACTGCTGAATGAAAAGAAAAGTTAAACTCTGAGAGTTGAACGCACACATCACAGAGCGGTTTCTGAGAATGATTCTGTCTAGTTTCTATAGGAAGATATTTCCTATTCTACCATTGACCTCAAAGCGGCTGAAATCTCCACTTGCAAATTCCACAAAAGTAGTGTTTCAAGTCTGCTCTGTGTAAAGGATCGTTCAACTCTGTGAGTTGAAAACACACAACACAAGGAAGTTTCTGAGAATTCTTCTGTCTAGCAGAACATGAAGAAATCCCGCTTCCAACGAAGGCCTCAAAGAAGTCTGAATATCCACTTGCAGACTTTACAAACAGAGTGTTTCCCAACTGCTCTATGAAAAGAAAGGTTGAACTCTGTGAGTTGAACGCACACATCACAAAGGAGTTTCTGAGAATCATTCTGTCTAGTTTTTATACGAAGATATTTCCTTTTCTACCATGGACCTCAAAGCGGCTGAAATCTCCACTAGCAAATTCCACAAAAAGAGTGTTTCAAGTCTGCTCTGTGTAAAGGATCGTTCAACTCTGTGAGTTGAATACACACAACACAAGGAAGATTCTGAGAATTCTTCTGTCTAGCAGAATATGAAGAAATCCCGTTTCCAACGAAGGCCACAAGATGTCAGAATATCCACTTACAGACTTTACAAACAGAGTGTTTCCTAACTGCTCTATGAACAGAAAGGTTAAACTCTGTGAGTTGAACGAACACATCACAACGCAGTTTGTGGGAATAATTCTGTCTAGTTTTGAAACGAAGATATTTCCTTTTCTGCCGTTGACCTTAAAGCGCTTGAAATCTACACTTGCAAATTGCACAAATAGAGTGTTTCAAATCTGCTCTGTCTAAGGGAACGTTCAACTCTGTGAGTTGAATGCACACAACACAAGGAAGTTACTGGGAATTCTTCTGTCTAGCCTTACATGAAAAAAACCCGTTTCCAACGAAGGCCTCTAAGTGGTCAAAATATCCACGTGCAGACTTTACAAACAGAGTGTTTCCAAACCGCTGAATGAAAAGAAAAGTTAAACTCTGAGAGTTGAACGCACACATCACACAGCAGTTTCTGAGAATGATTCTGTCTCGTTTTTATACGAAGATATTTCCTTTTCTGCCTTTGGCCCCAAAGCGCTTGAAATCTCCACTTGCAAATTCCACAAAAACAGTGTTTCAAATCTGCTCTCTCCAAATGAAAGTTCAACTCTGTCAGTTGAATACACACAACACAAGGAAGTTACTGAGAATTCTTCTGTCTAGCAGAATATGAAGAAATCCCGTTTCCAACGAAGGCCTCAAGGAGGACTGAATATCCACTTGCAGACTTTACAAACAGAGTGTTTCCTAACTGCTCTATGAAAAGAAATGTTAAACTCTGTGAGTTGAACGTACACATCACAAAGGAGTTTATGAGAATCATTCTGTCTAGTTTCTATAGGAAGATATTTCCTATTCTACCATTGACCTCAAAGCGGCTGAAATCTCCACTTGCAGATTCCACAAGAAGAGTGTTTCAAGTATGCTCTGTGTAAAGGATCGATCAACTCTGTGAGTTGAATACACACAACACAAGGAAGTTACTGAGAATTTTTTCTGTCTAGCAGAATATGAAGAAATCCCGTTTCCAACGAAGGCCACAAGATGTCAGAATATCCACTTACAGAATTTACAAACAGACTGTTTCCTAACTGCTCTATGAAAAGAAAGGTTAAACTCTGTGAGTTGAACGAACACATCACAACGCAGTTTGTGGGAATGATTCTGTCTAGTTTTGAAACGAAGATATTTCCTTTTCTGCCATTGACCTTAAAGCGCTTGAAATCTCCATTTGCCAATTGCACAAAAAGAGTGTTTCAAATCTGCTCTGTCTAAGGGAACGTTCAACTCTGTGAGTTGAATGTACACAACACAAGGAAGTTACTGGGAATTCTTCTGTCTAGCCTTACAGGAAAAAATCCCGTTTCCAACGAAGGCCTCTAAGTGGTCAAAATATCCACGTGCAGACTTTACAAACAGAGTGTTTCCAAACTGTTGAATGAAAAGAAAAGTTAAACTCTGAGAGTTGAACGCACACATCGCAGAGCAGTTTCTGAGAATGATTCTGTCTAGTTTTGAAACGAAGATATTTCCTTTTCTGCCTTTGGCCTCAAAGCGCTTGAAATCTCCACTTGCAAATTCCACAAAAAGAGTGTTTCAAATCTGCTCTGGGTAAATGAAAGTTCAACTCTGTGAGTTGAACACACACAACACAAGGAAGTTACTGGGAATTCTTCTGTCTAGCACAGTATGAAGAAACCCGTTTCCAACGAAGGCCTCAAAGAGGTCTGAATATCCACTTGCAGAGTTTGAAAACACAGTGTTTCCTAACTACTCTATGAAAAGAAAGGTTAAACTCTGTGAGTTGAACACACACATCACAAAGAAGTTTCTGAGAATCATTCTGTCTAGTTTCTATAGGAAGATATTTCCTATTCTACCATTGACCTCAAAGCGGCTGAAATCTCCACTTGCAAATTCCACAAAAAGAGTGTTTCAAGTCTGCTCTGTGTAAAGGATCGTTCAACTCTGTGAGTTGAATACACACAACACAAGGAAGTTACTGAGAATTATTCTGTCTAGCAGAATATGAAGAAATCCCGTTTCCAACGAAGGCCACAAGATGTCAGAATATCCACTTACAGACTTTACAAACAGAGTGTTTCCTAACTGCTCTATGAACAGAAAGGTTAAATTCTGTGAGTTGAACGAACACATCACAACGCAGTTTGTGGGAATGATTCTGTCTAGTTTTGAAACGAAGATATTTCCTTTTCTGCCATTGACCTTAAAGCGCTTGAAATCTACACTTGCAAATTGCACAAATAGAGTGTTTCAAATCTGCTCTGTCTAAGGGAACGTTCAACTCTGTGAGTTGAATGCACAAAACACAAGGAAGTTACTGGGAATTCTTCTGTCTAGCATAATATGAAGAAATCCCGTTTCCTACGAA
Source organism: Homo sapiens (assembly GCF_000001405.40). Classification (NCBI taxonomy): domain Eukaryota; kingdom Metazoa; phylum Chordata; class Mammalia; order Primates; family Hominidae; genus Homo; species Homo sapiens. The sequence goes on along the minus strand of NC_000001.11, from coordinate 124,729,661 downwards.
GGCCTCAAAGAGGTCTGAATATCCACTTGCAGACTTTACAAACAGAGTGTTTCCTAACTGCTCTATGAAAAGAAAAGTTAAACTTTGTGAGTTGAACGCACACATTAGAAAGGAGTTTATGAGAATCATTCTGTCTAGTTTCTATAGGAAGATATTTCCTATTCTACCATTGACCTCAAAGCGGCTGAAATCTCCAATTGCAAATTCCACAAAAGGAGTGTTTCAAGTCTGCTCTGTGTAAAGGATCGTTCAACTCTGTGAGTTGAATACACACAACACAAGGAAGTTACTGAGAATTCTTCTGTCTAGCATAATATGAAGAAATCCCGTTTCCAACGAAGGCCTCAAGGAGGTCTGAATATCCACTTGCAGACTTTACAAACAGAGTGTTTCCTAACTGCTCTATGAAAAGAAAGGTTAAACTGTGTGAGTTGAACGCTCACATCACAAAGGAGTTTCTCAGAATCATTCTGTCTAGTTTTTATACGAAGATATTTCCTTTTCTACCATTGACCTCAACGCGGCTGAAATCTCCACTTGCAAATTCCACAAAAAGAGTGTTTCAAATCTGCTGTGTGTAAATGAAAGTTCAACTCTGTGAGTTGAACACACACAACACAAGGAAGTTACTGGGAATTCTTCTGTCTAGCAGAATATGAAGAAATCCCGTTTCCAACGAAGGCCACAAGATGTCAGAATATCCACTTACAGAATTGACAAACAGACTGTTTCCTAACTCCTCTATGAAAAGAAAGGTTAAACTCTGTGAGTTGAACGAACACATCACAACGCAGTTTGTGGGAATGATTCTGTCTAGTTTTGAAACGAAGATATTTCCTTTTCTGCCATTGACCTTAAAGCGCTTGAAATCTCCATTTGCCAATTGCACAAAAAGAGTGTTTCAAATCTGCTCTGTCTAAGGGAACGTTCAACTCTGTGAGTTGAATGTACACAACACAAGGAAGTTACTGGGAATTCTTCTGTCTAGCCTTACATGAAAAAAACCCGTTTCCAACGAAGGCCTCTAAGTGGTCAAGTTATCCACGTGCAGACTTTACAAACAGAGTGTTTCCAAACTGCTGAATGAAAAGAAAAGTTAAACTCTGAGAGTTGAACGCACACATCGCAGAGCAGTTTCTGAGAATGATGCTGTCTAGTTTTTATACGAAGATATTTCCTTTTCTGCCTTTGGCCTCAAAGGGCTTGAAATCTCCACTTGCAAATTCCACAAAAAGAGTGTTTCAAATCTGCTCTGTGTAAATGAAAGTTCAACTCTGTGAGTTGAACACACACAACACAAGGAAGTTACTGGGAATTCTTCTGTCTAGCATAATATGAAGAAATCCCGTTTCCAACGAAGGCCTCAAAGGGGTCTGAATATCCACTTGCAGACTTTATAAACAGAGTGTTTACTAACTGCTCTATGAAAAGAAAGGTTAAACTCTGTGAGTTGAACACACACATCACAAAGGAGTTTCTGAGAATGATTCTGTCTAGTTTTTATACGAAGATATTTCCTTTTCTACCATTGACCTCAACGCGGCTGAAATCTCCACTTGCAAATTCCACAAAAAGAGTGTTTCAAGTCTGCTCTGTGTAAAGGATCGTTCAACTCTGTGAGTTGAATACACACAACACAAGGAAGTTACTGAGAATTCTTCTGTGTAGCACAGTATGAAGAAATCCCGTTTCCAACGAAGGCCTCAAAGAGGTCTGAATATCCACTTGCAGAGTTTACAAACAGACTGTTTCCTAACTGCTCTATGAAAAGAAAGGTTAAACTCTGTGAGTTGAACGCACACATCACCAAGAAGTTTCTGAGAATCATTCTGTCTAGTTTTTATAGGAATATATTTCCTTTTCTACCTTTGACTTCAAAGCGGCTGAAATCTCCACTTGCAAATTCCACAAAAAGAGTGTTACAAGTCTGCTCTGTGTAAAGGATCGTTCAACTCTGTGAGTTGAATACACACAACACAAGGAAGTTACTGAGAATTCTTCTGTCTAGCCTTACATGAAAAAAACCCGTTTCCAACGAAGGACTCTAAGTGGTCAAATTATCCACGTGCAGACTTTACAAACAGAGTGTTTCCAAACTGCTGAATGAAAAGAAAAGTTAAACTCTGAGAGTTGAACGCACACATCGCAGAGCAGTTTCTGAGAATGATTCTGTCTAGTTTTTATACGAAGATATTTCCTTTTCTGCCTTTGGCCTGAAAGCGCTTGAAATCTCCACTTGCAAATTCCACAAAAAGAGTGTTTCAAATCTGCTCTGTGTAAATGAAAGTTCAACTCTGTGAGTTGAACACACACAACACAAGGAAGTTACTGGGAATTCTTCTGTCTAGCCTTATATGAAAAAAACCCGTTTCCAACGAAGGCCTCAAAGAGGTCTGAATATCCACTTGCAGACTTTACAAACAGAGTGTTTCCTAACTGCTGTATGTAAAGAAAGTTTAAACTCTGTGAGTTGAACGCACACATCACAAAGGAGTTTCTGAGAATCATTCTGTCTAGTTTTTGTACGAAGATATTTCCTTTTCTAACACGGACCTCAAAGCGGCTGAAATCTCCACTTGCAAATTCCACAAAAAGAGTGTTTCAAGTCTGCTCTGTGTAAAGGATCGTTCAACTCTGTGAGTTGAATACACACAACACAAGGAAGATTCTGAGAATTCTTCTGTCTAGCCTTACATGAAAAAAACCCGTTTCCAACGAAGGTCTCTAAGTGGTCAAATTATCCACGTGCAGACTTTACAAACAGATTGTTTCCAAACTGCTGAATGAAAAGAAAAGTTAAACTCTGAGAGTTGAACGCACACATCGCAGAGCAGTTTCTGAGAATGATTCTGTCTAGTTTTGAAACGAAGATATTTCCTTTTCTGCCATTGACCTTAAAGCGCTTGAAATCTCCACTTGCCAAGTGCACAAAAAGAGTGTTTCAAATCTGCTCTGTGTAAGGGAACGTTCAACTCTGTGAGTTGAATGTACACAACACAAGGAAGTTACTGGGAATTCTTCTGTCTAGCCTTACAGGAAAAAAACCCGTTTCCAACGAAGGCCTCTAAGTGGTCAAAATATCCACGTGCAGACTTTACAAACAGAGTGTTTCCAAACTGCTGAATGAAAAGAAAAGTTAAACTCTGAGAGTTGAACGCGCACATTGCAGAGCAGTTTCTGAGAATGATTCTGACAAGTTTTTATACGAAGATATTTCCTTTTCTGCCTTTGGCCTCAAAGCGCTTGAAATCTCCACTTGCAAATTCCACAAAAAGAGTGTTTCAAATCTGCTCTGTGTAAATCAAAGTTCAACTCTGTGAGTTGAACACACACAACACAAGGAAGTTACTGGGAATTCTTCTGTTTAGCCTTATATGTAAAAAACCCGTTTCCAACGAAGGCCTCAAAGAGGTCTGAATATCCACTTGCAGACTTTACAAACAGAGTGTTTCCTAACTGCTCTATGAAAAGAAAGGTTAAACTCTGTGAGTTGAACGCACACATCACAAAGGAGATTCTGAGAATCATTCTGTCTAGTTTTTATACGAAGATATTTCCTTTACTACCATTGACCTCAAAGCGGCTGAAATCTCCCCTTGCAAATTCCACAAAAAGAGTGTTTCAAGTCTGCACTGTGTAACGGATCGTTCAACTCTGTGAGTTGAATGCACACAACACAAGGAAGTTTCTGAGAATTCTTCTGTCTAGCAGAATATGAAGAAATCCCGTTTCCAACGAAGGCCTCAAAGAGGTCTGAATATCCACTTGCAGACTTTACAAACAGAGTGTTTCCTAACTGCTCTACGAAAAGAAAGGTTAAACTCTGTGAGTTGAACGCACACATCACAAAGGAGTTTCTGAGAATCATTCTGTCTAGTTTTGAAACGAAGATATTTCCTTTTCTGCCATTGAACTTAAAGCGCTTGAAATCTCCATTTGCCAATTGCACAAAAAGAGTGTTTCAAATCTGCTCTGTCTAAGGGAACGTTCAACTCTGTGAGTTGAATGTACACAACACAAGGAAGTTACTGGGAATTCTTCTGTCTAGCCTTACATGAAAAAAAACCGTTTCCAACGAAGGCCTCTAAGTGGTCAAAATTTCCACGTGCAGACTTTACAAACAGAGTGTTTCCAAACCGCTGAATGAAAAGAAAAGTTAAACTCTGAGAGTTGAACGCACACATCACGCAGCAGTTTCTGAGAATGATTCTGTCTAGTTTCTATAGGAAGATAATTCCTATTCTACCATTGACCTCAAAGCGGCTGAAATCTCCACTTGCAAATTCCACAAAAGGAGTGTTTCAAGTCTGCTCTGAGTAAAGGATCATTCAACTCTGTGAGTTCAATACACACAACACAAGGAAGTTTCTGAGAATTCTTCTGTCTAGCATAATATGAAGAAATCCCGTTTCCAACGAAGGCCTCAAGGAGGTCTGAATATCCACTTGCAGACTTTACAAACAGAGTGTTTCCTAACTGCTCTATGAAAAGAAAGGTTAAACTCTGTGAGTTGAACGCACACATCACAAAGGAGTTTCTGAGAATCATTCTGTCTAGTTTTTATACGAAGATATTTCCTTTTCTACCATTGACCTCAAAGCGGCTGAAATCTCCTCTTGCAAATTACACAAAAAGATTGTTTCAAGTCTACTCTGTGTAAAGCATCGTTCAACTCTGTGAGTTGAAAACACACAACACAAGGAAGTTTCTGAGAATTCTTCTCTCTAGCAGAACATGAAGAAATCCCGCTTCCAACGAAGGCCTCAAAGAAGTCTGAATATCCACTTGCAGACTTTTCAAACAGAGTGTTTCCCAACTGCTCTATGAAAAGAAAGGTTGAACTCTGTGAGTTGAACGCACACATCACAAAGGAGTTTCTGAGAATAATTCTGTCTAGTTTTAAAACGAAGAAATTTCCTTTTCTGCCATTGACCTTAAAGCGCTTGAAATCTACACTTGCAAATTGCACAAATAGAGTGTTTCAAATCTGCTCTGTCTAAGGGAACGTTCAACTCTGTGAGTTGAATGCACACAACAACAAGGAAGTTACTGGGAATTCTTCTGTCTAGCCTTACATGAAAAAAACCCGTTTCCAACGAAGGCCTCTAAGTGGTCAAATTATCCACGTGCAGACTTTACAAACAGAGTGTTTCCAAACTGCTGAATGAAAAGAAAAGTTATACTCTGAGAGTTGAACGCACACATCGCAGAGCAGTTTCTGAGAATGATTCTGTCTAGTTTTTATACGAAGATATTTCCTTTTCTGCCTTTGGTCCCAAAGCGCTTGAAATCTCCACTTGCAAATTCCACAAAAACAGTGTTTCAAATCTGCTCTCTCTAAATGAAAGTTCAACTCTGTCAGTTGAATACACACAACACAAGGGAAGTTACTGAGAATTCTTCTGTATAGCAGAACATGAAGAAATCCCGTTTCCAACGAAGGCCTCAAGGAGGTCTGAATATCCACTTGCAGACTTTACAAACAGAGTGTTTCCTAACTGCTCTATGAAAAGAAAGGTTAAACTCTGTGAGTTGAACGCACACATCACAAAGGAGTTTCTGAGAATCATTTTGTCTAGTTTTTCTACGAAGATATTTCCTTTTCGACTATTGACCTCAAAGCGGCTGAAATCTCCACTTGCAAATTCCACAAAAAGAGTGTTTCAAGTCTGCTCTGTGTAAAGGATCGTTCAACTCTGTGAGTTGAATACACACAACACAAGGGAAGTTACTGAGAATTCTTCTGTCTAGCCTTACATGAAAAAAACCCGTTTCCAACGAAGGCCTCTAAGTGGTCAAATTATCCACGTGCAGACTTTACAAACAGAGTGTTTCCAAACTGCTGAATGAGAAGAAAAGTTAAACTCTGTGAGTTGAACGAACACATCACAACGCAGTTTGTGGGAATGATTCTGTCTAGTTTTGAAACGAAGATATTTCCTTTTCTGCCATTGACCTTAAAGCGCTTGAAATCTCCACTTGCCAATTGCACAAAAAGAGTGTTTCAAATCTGCTCTGTCTAAGGGAACGTTCAACTCTGTGAGTTGAATGTACACAACACAAGGAAGTTACTGGGAATTCTTCTGTCTAGCCTTACATGAAAAAAACCCGTTTCCAACGAAGGCCTCTAAGTGGTCAAAATTTCCACGTGCAGACTTTACAAACAGAGTGTTTCCAAACCGCTGAATGAAAAGAAAAGTTAAACTCTGAGAGTTGAACGCACACATCACACAGCAGTTTCTGAGAATGATTATGTCTAGTCTTTATACGAAGATATTTACTTTTCTACCATTGACCTCAAAGCGGCTGAAATCTCCACTTGCAATTTCCACAAAAAGAGTGTTTCAAGTCTGCTCTGTGTAAAGGATCATTCAACTCTGTGAGTTGAATAAACACAACAGAAGGAAGTTACTGAGAATTCTTCTGTCTAGCATAATATGAAGAAATCCCGTTTCCAACGAAGGCCTCAAGGAGGTCTGAATATCCACTTGCAGACTTTACAAACAGAGTGTTTCCTAACTGCTCTATGAAAAGAAAGGTTAAACTCTGTGAGTTGAACGCACGCATCACAAAGGAGTTTCTGAGAATCATTCTGTCTAGTCTTTATACGAAGATATTTCCTTTTCTACCATTGACCTCAAAACGGCTGAAATCTCCACTTGCAAATTCCACGAAAAGAGTGTTTCAAGTCTGCTCTGTGTAAAGGATCGTTCAACTCTGTGAGTTGAATACACACAACACAAGGAAGTTACTGAGAATTCTTCTGTCTAGCAGAATATGAAGAAATCCCGTTTCCAACGAAGGCCACAAGATGTCAGAATATCCACTTACAGACTTTACAAACAGAGTGTTTCCTAACTGCTCTATGAACAGAAAGGTTAAACTCTGTGAGTTGAACGAACACATCACAACGCAGTTTGTGGGAATGATTCTGTCTTGTTTTGAAAGGAAGATATTTCCTTTTCTGCCGTTGACCTTAAAGCGCTTGAAATCTACACTTGCAAATTGCACAAATAGGCTGTTTCAAATCTGCTCTGTCTAAGGGAACGTTCAACTCTGTGAGTTGAATGCACACAACACAAGGAAGTTACTGGGAATTCTTCTGTCTAGCCTTACATGCAAAAAACCAGTTTCCAACGAAGGCCTCTAAGTGGTCAAAATATCCACGTGCAGACTTTACAAACAGAGTGTTTCCAAACCGCTGAATGAAAAGAAAAGTTAAACTCTGAGAGTTGAACGCACACATCACGCAGCAGTTTCTGAGAATGATTCTGTCTAGTTTTTATACGAAGACATTTCCTTTTCTGCCTTTGGCCCCAAAGCGCTTGAAATCTCCATTTGCAAATTCCACAAAAACAGTGTTTCAAATCTGCTCTCTCTAAATGAAAGTTCAACTCTGTCAGTTGAATACACACAACACAAGGAAGTTACTGAGAATTCTTCTGTCTAGCATAATATGAAGAAATCCCGTTTCCAACGAAGGCCTCAAAGGGGTCTGAATATCCACTTGCAGACTTTATAAACAGAGTGTTTCCTAACTGCTCCATGAAAAGAAAGGTTAAACTCTGTGAGTTCAACGCACACATCACAAAGGAGTTTATGAGAATCATTCTGTCTAGTTTCTATAGGAAGATATTTCCTATTCTACCATTGACCTCAAAGCGGCTGAAATCTCCACTTGCAAATTCCACAAAAAGAATGTTTCAAGTCTGCTCTGTGTAAAGCATCGTTCAACTCTGTGAGTTGAATACACACAACACAAGGAAGTTACTGAGAATTCTTCTGTCTAGCATAATATGAAGAAATCCCGTTTCCAACGAAGGCCTCAAAGAGGTCTGAATATCCACTTGCAGACTTTACAAACCGAGTGTTTCCTAACTGCTCTATGAAAAGAAAAGTTAAACTCTGTGAGTTGAACGCACACATCACAAAGGAGTTTCTGAGAATCATTCTGTCTAGTTTTGAAACGAAGATATTTCCTTTTCTGCCATTGACCTTAAAGCGCTTGAAATCTCCATTTGCCAATTGCACAAAAAGAGTGTTTCAAATCTGCTCTGTCTAAGGGAACGTTCAACTCTGTGAGTTGAATGTACACAACACAAGGAAGTTACTGGGAATTCTTCTGTCTAGCCTTACAGGAAAAAAACCCGTTTCCAACGAAGGCCTCTAAGTGGTCAAAATATCCACGTGCAGACTTTACAACCAGAGTGTTTCCAAACTGCTGAATGAAAAGAAAAGTTAAACTCTGAGAGTTGAACGCACACATCGCAGAGCAGTTTCTGAGAATGATTCTGTCTAGTTTTGAAACGAAGACATTTCCTTTTCTGCCTTTGGCCTCAAAGCGCTTGAAATCTCCACTTGCAAATTCCACAAAAAGAGTGTTTCAAATCTGCTCTGTGTAAATGAAAGTTCAACTCTGTGAGTTGAATACACACAACACAAGGAAGTTACTGAGAATTCTTCTGTCTAGCATAATATGAAGAAATCCCGTTTCCAACGAAGGCCTCAAAGAGGTCTGAATATCCACTTGCAGACTTTACAAACAGAGTGTTTCCTAACTGCTCTATGAAAAGAAAAGTTAAACTCTGTGAGTTGAACGCACACATCAGAAAGGAGTTTCTGAGAATCATTCTGTCTAGTTTTTATAGGAAGATATTTCCTTTTCTACCATTGACCTCAAAGCGGCTGAAATCTCCACTTGCAAATTCCACAAAAACAGTGTTTCAAGTCTGCTCTGTGTAAAGGATCGTTGAACTCTGTGAGTTGAATACACACAACACAAGGAAGTTACTGAGAATTATTCTGTCTAGCAGAATATGAAGAAATCCCGTTTCCAACGAAGGCCTCAAGGAGGTCGGATATCCACTTGCAGACTTTACAAACAGAGTGTTTCCTAACTGCTCTATGAACAGAAAGGTTAAACTCTGTGAGTTGAAGGCACACATCACAAAGGAGTTTCTGAGAATCATTCTGTCTAGTTTTGAAACGAAGATATTTCCTTTTCTGCCATTGACCTTAAAGCGCTTGAAATCTACACTTGCAAATTGCACAAATAGAGTGTTTCAAATCTGCTCTGTCTAAGGGAACGTTCAACTCTGTGAGTTGAATGCACACAACACAAGGAAGTTACTGGGAATTCTTCTGTCTAGCCTTACATGAAAAAAACCCGTTTCCAACGAAGGCCTCTAAGTGGTCAAAATATCCACGTGCAGTCTTTACAAACAGAGTGTTTCCAAACCGCTGAATGAAAAGAAAAGTTAAACTCTGAGAGTTGAACGCACACATCACGCAGCAGTTTTCTGAGAATGATTTCTGTCTAGTTTTCATACGAAGATGTTTCCTTTTCTGCCTTTGGCCCCAAAGCGCTTGAAATCTCCACTTGCAAATTCCACAAAAACAGTGTTTCAAAACTGCTCTCTCTAAATGAAAGTTCAACTCTGTCAGTGTGAATACACACAACACAAGGAAGTTACTGAGAATTCTTCTGTCTAGCCTTACATGAAAAAAACCCGTTTCCAACGAAGGCCTCAAAGAGGTCTGAATATCCACTTGCAGACTTTACAAACAGAGTGTTTCCTAACTGCTCTATGAAAAGAAAGGTTAAACTCTGTGAGTTGAACGCACACATCACAATGAAGTTTCTGAGAATCATTTTGTCTAGTTTCTATAAGAAGATATTTCCTATTCTACCATTGACCTCAAAGCGGCTGAAATCTCCACTTGCAAATTCGACAAAAAGAGTGTTTCAAGCCTGCTCTCTGTAAAGGATCCTTCAACTCTGTGAGTTGAATACACACAACACAAGGAAGTTACTGAGAATTATTCTGTCTAGCATAATATGAAGAAATCCCGTATCCAACGAAGGCCTCAAACAGGTCTGAATATCCACTTGCAGACTTTACAAACAGAGTGTTTCCTAACTGCTCTATGAGAAGAAAAGTTAAACTCTGTGAGTTGAACGCACACATCACAAAAGATTTTCTGAGAATCATTCTGTCTAGTTTTGAAACGAAGATAATTCCTTTTCTGCCATTGACCTCAAAGCGCTTCAAATCTCCACTTGCCAATTGCACAAAAAGAGTGTTTCAAATCTGCTCTGTCTAAGGGAACGTTCAACTCTGTGAGTTGAATGTACACAACGCAAGGAAGTTACTGGGAATTCTTCTGTCTAGCATAGTATGAAGAAATCCCGTTTCCAACGAAGGCCTCAAAGAGGTCTGAATATCCACTTGCAGAGTTTACAAACTGAGTGTTTCCAAACTGCTGAATGAAAAGAAAAGTTAAACTCTGAGAGTTGAACGCACACATCGCAGAGCAGTTTCTGAGAATGATTCTGTCTAGTTTTTATACGAAGATATTTCCTTTTCTGCCTTTGGTCTCAAAGCGCTTGAAATCTCCACCTGCAAATTCCACAAAAAGAGTGTTTCAAATCTGCTCTGTGTAAATGAAAGTTCAACTCTGTGAGTTGAACACACACAACACAAGGAAGTTACTGGGAATTCTTCTGTCTAGCATAATATGAAGAAATCCCGTTTCCAACGAAGGCCTCAAGGAGGTCTGAATATCCACTTGCAGACTTTACAAACAGAGTGTTTCCTATCTGCTCTATGAAAAGAAAGGTTAAACTCTGTGAGTTAAACGCACACATCACAAAGGAGTTTCTGAGAATCACTCTGTCTAGTTTTTATAGGAAGATATTTCCTTTTCTACCTTTGACTTCAAAGCGGCTGAAATCTCCACTTGCAAATTCCACAAAAAGAGTGTTACAAGTCTGCTGTGTGTAAAGGATCGTTCAACTCTGTGAGTTGAATACACACAACACAAGGAAGGTACTGAGAATTCTTCTGTCTAGCAGAATATGAAGAAATCCCGTTTCCAACGAAGGCCTCTAGGAGGTCTCAATATCTACTTGCAGACTTTACAAACAGAGTGTTTCCTAACTGCTCTATGAACAGAAAGGTTAAACTCTGTGAGTTGAACGAACACATCACAACGCAGTTTGTGGGAATGATTCTGTCTAGTTTTGAAACGAAGATATTTCCTTTTCTGCCGTTGACCTTAAAGCGCTTGAAATCTACACTTGCAAATTGCACAAATAGAGTGTTTCAAATCTGCTCTGTCTAAGGGAACGTTCAACTCTGTGAGTTGAATGCACACAACACAAGGAAGTTACTGGGAATTCTTCTGTCTACCCTTACATGAAAAAAACCCGTTTCCAACGAAGGCCTCTAAGTGGTCAAAATATCCACGTGCAGACTTTACAAACAGAGTGTTTCCAAACTGCTGAATGAAAAGAAAAGTTAAACTCTGAGAGTTGAACGCACACATCACAGAGCATTTTCTGAGAATGATTCTGTCTAGTTTTTATACGAAGATATTTCCTTTTCTACCATTGACCTCAAAGCGGCTGAAATCTCCACTTGCAAACTCCACAAAAAGAGTGTTTCAAGTCTGCTCTGTGTAAAGGATCGTTCAACTCTGTGAGTTGAATACACACAACACAAGGAAGTTACTGAGAATTCTTCTGTCTAGCCTTATATGAAAAAAACCCGTTTCCAACGAAGGCCTCAAAGAGGTCTGAATATCCACTTGCAGACTTTACAGAGTGTTTCCTAACTGCTCTATGAAAAGAAAGGTTAAACTCTGTGAGGTGAACGCACACATCACAAGGAAGTTTCTGAGAATCATTCTGTCTAGTTTTTATAGGAAGATATTTCCTTTTCTACCTTTGACGTCAAAGCGGCTGAAATCTCCACTTGCAAATTCCACAAAAAGAGTGTTACAAGTCTGCTCTGTGTAAAGGATCGTTCAACTCTGTGAGTTGAATACACACAACAACAAGGAAGTTACTGAGAATTCTTCTGTCTAGCAGAATATGAAGAAATCCCGTTTCCAGCGAAGGCCACAAGATGTCAGAATATCCACTTACAGACTTTACAGAGTGTTTCCTAACTGCTCTATGAACAGAAAGGTAAAACTCTGTGAGTTGAACGAACACATCACAACGCAGTTTGTGGGAATGATTCTGTCTAGTTTTTATACGAAGATATTCCCTTTTCTACCATTGACCTCAAAGCAGCTGAAATCACCACTTGCCAATTGCACAAAAAGAGTGTTTCAAATCTGCTCTGTCTAAGGGAACGTTCAACTCTGTGAGTTGAATGTACACAACACAAGGAAGTTACTGGGAATTCTTCTGTCTAGCCTTACAAGAAAAAAACCCGTTTCCAACGAAGGCCTCTAAATGGTCAAAATATCCACGTGCAGACTTTACAAACAGAGTGTTTCCAAACTGCTGAATGAAAAGAAAAGTTAAACTCTGAGAGTTGAACGCACACATCACAGAGCAGTTTCTGAGAATGATTCTCTCTAGTTTTTATACGAAGATATTTCCTTTTCTACCATTGACCTCAAAGCGGCAGAAATCTCCACTTGCAAATTCCACAAAAAGAGTGTTTCAAGTCTGCTCTGTGTAAAGGATAGTCCAACTCTGTGAGTTGAATACACACAACACAAGGAAGTTACTGAGAATTCTTCTGTCTAGCATAATATGAAGAAATCCCGTTTCCAACGAAGGCCTCAAAGAGGTCTGAATATCCAATTGCAGACTTTACAAACAGAGTGTTTCCTAACTGCTCTATGAAAAGAAAGGTTAAACTCTGTGAGTTGAACGCACACATCACAAAGGAGTTTCTGAGAATCATTCTGTCTAGTTTCTATAGGAAGATATTTCCTATTCTACCATTGACCTCAAAGCGGCTGAAATCTCAACTTGCAAATTCCACAGAAGGAGTGTTTCAAGTCTTCTCTGAGTAAAGGATCGTTCAACTCTGTGAGTTGAATACACACAACACAAGGAAATTTCTGAGAAATCTTCTGTCTAGCAGAATATGAAGAAATCCCGTTTCCAACGAAGGTCACAAGATGTCAGAATATCCACTTACAGAATTTACAAACAGACTGTTTCCTAACTGCTCTATGAAAAGAAAGGTTAAACTCTGTGAGTTGAACGAACACATCACAACGCAGTTTGTGGCAATGATTCTGTCTAGTTTTGAAACGAAGATATTTCCTTTTCTGCCATTGAACTTAAAGCGCTTGAAATCTCCATTTGCCAATTGCACAAAAAGAGTGTTTCAAATCTGCTCTGTCTAACGGAACGTTCAACTCTGTGAGTTGAATGTACACAACACAAGGAAGTTACTGGGAATTCTTCTGTCTAGCCTTACATGAAAAAACCCGTTTCCAACGAAGGCCTCTAAGTTGTCAAATTATCCACGTGCAGACTTTACAAACAGAGTGTTTCCAAACTGCTGAATGAAAAGAAAAGTTAAAGTCTGAGAGTTGAACGCACACATCGCAGAGCAGTTTCTGAGAATGATTCTGTCTAGTTTTTTTACGAAGATATTTCCTTTTCTGCCTTTGGCCTCAAAGCGCTTGACATCTCCACTTGCAAATTCCACAAAAAGAGTGTTTCAAATCTGCTCTGTGTAAATGAAAGTTCAACTCTGTGAGTTGAACACACACAACACAAGGAAGTTACTGGGAATTCTTCTGTCTAGCATAATATGAGGAAATCCCGTTTCCAACGAAGGCCTCAAAGGGGTCTGATTATCCACTTGCAGACTTTATAAACAGAGTGTTTACTAACTGCTCTATGAAAAGAAAGGTTAAACTCTGTGATTTGAACACACACATCACAAAGGACTTTCTGAGAATCATTCTGTCTAGTTTCTATAGGAAGATATTTCCTATTCTACCATTGACCTCAAAGCGGCTGAAATCTCCACTTGCAAATTCCACAAAAAGAGTGTTTCAAGTGTGCTCTCTGTAAAGGATCGTTCAACTCTGTGAGTTGAATACACACAACACAAGGAAGTTACTGACAATTATTCTGTCTAGCAGAATATGAGGAAATCCCGTTTCCAACGAAGGCCTCAAGGAGGTCTGAATATCCACTTGCAGACTTTACAAACAGAGTGTTTCCTAACTGCTCTATGAACAGAAAGGTTAAACTCTGTGAGTTGAACGAACACATCACAACGCAGTTTGTGGGAATGATTCTGTCTAGTTTTGAAACGAAGATATTTCCTTTTCTGCCGTTGACCTTAAAGCGCTTGAAATCTACACTTGCAAATTGCACAAATAGAGTGTTTCAAATCTGCTCTGTCTAAGGGAACGTTCAACTCTGTGAGTTGAATGCACACAACACAAGGAAGTTACTGGGAATTCTTCTGTCTAGCCTTACAAGAAAAAAACCCGTTTCCAACGAAGGCCTCTAAATGGTCAAAATATCCACGTGCAGACTTTACAAACAGAGTGTTTCCAAACTGCTGAATGAAAAGAAAAGTTAAACTCTGAGAGTTGAACGCACACATCGCAGAGCAGTTTCTGAGAATGATTCTGTCTAGTTTCTATAGGAAGATATTTCCTATTCTACCATTGACCTCAAAGAGGCTGAAATCTCCACTTGCAAATTCCACAAAAAGAGTGTTTCAAGTCTGCTCTGTGTAAAGGATCGTTCAACTCTGTGAGTTGAAAACACACAACACAAGGAAGTTTCTGAGAATTCTTCTCTCTAGCAGAACATGAAGAAATCCCGCTTCCAACGAAGGCCTCAAAGAAGTCTGAATATCCACTTGCAGACTTTACAAACAGAGTGTTTCCCAACTGCTCTATGAAAAGAAAGGTTGAACTCTGTGAGTTGAACGCACACATCACAAAGGAGTTTCTGAGAATCATTCTGTCTAGTTTCTATAGGAAGATATTTCCTATTCTACCATTGAACTCAAAGCGGCTGAAATCTCCACTTGCAAATTACACAAAAAGAGTGTTTCAAGTCTGCTCTGTGTAAAGGATCGTTCAACTCTGTGAGTTGAATACACACAACACAAGGAAGTTACTGAGAATTCTTCTTTCTAGCAGAATATGAAGAAATCCCGTTTCCAACGAAAGCCTCAAGGATGTCTGAATATCCACTTGCAGACTTTACAAACAGAGTGTTTCCTAACTGCTCTATGAAAAGAAAGGTTAAACTCTGTGAGTTGAACGCGCACATCCCAAAGGAGTTTCTGAGAATCATTCTGTCTAGTTTTGAAACGATGATATTTCCTTTTCTGCCATTGACCTTAAAGCGCTTGAAATCTCCATTTGCCAATTGCACAAAAAGAGTGTTTCAAATCTGCTCTGTCTAAGGGAACGTTCAACTCTGTGAGTTGAATGTACACAACACAAGGAAGTTACTGGGAATTCTTCTGTCTAGCCTTACAGGAAAAAGCCCGTTTCCAACGAAGGCCTCTAAGTGGTCAAAATATCCACGTGCAGACTTTACAAACAGAGTGTTTCCAAACTGCTGAATGAAAAGAAAAGTTAAACTCTGAGAGTTGAACGCACACATCGCAGAGCAGTTTCTGAGAATGATTCTGTCTAGTTTTTATACGAAGATATTTCCTTTTCTGCCTTTGGCCCCAAACCTCTTGAAATCTCCACTTGCAAATTCCACAAAAACAGTGTTTCAAATCTGCTCTCTCTAAATGAATGTTCAACTCTGTCAGGTGAATACACACAACACAAGGTAGTTACTGAGAATTCTTCTGTCTAGCAGAATATGAAGAAATCCCGTTTCCAACGAAGGCCTCAAAGAGGTCTGAATATCCACTTGCAGACTTTACAAACAGAGTGTTTCCTAACTGCTCTATGAAAAGAAAGGTTAAACTCTGTGAGTTGAACGCACACATCACAAAAGAGTTTCTGAGAATCATTCTGTCTAGTCTTTATACGAAGATATTTCCTTTTCTACCATTGACATCAAAGCGGCTGAAATCTCCACTTGCAAATTCCACAAAAAGAGTGTTTCAAGTCTGCTCTGTGTAAAGGATCGTTCAACTCTGTGAGTTGAATACACACAACACAAGGAAGTTACTGAGAATTCTTCTGTCTAGCAGAATATGAAGAAATCCCGTTTCCAACGAAGGCCACAAGATGTCAGAATATGCACTTACAGACTTTACAAACAGAGTGTTTCCTAACTGCTCTATGAACAGAAAGGTTAAACTGCTGTGAGTTGAACGAACACATCACAACGCAGTTTGTGGGAATGATTCTGTCTAGTTTTGAAACGAAGATATTTCCTTTTCTGCCATTGACCTTAAAGCGCTTGAAATCTCCATTTGCCAATTGCACAAAAAGAGTGTTTCAAATCTGCTCTGTCTAAGGGAACGTTCAACTCTGTGAGTTGAATGTACACAACACAAGGAAGTTACTGGGAATTCTTCTGTCTAGCCTTACAGGAAAAAAACCCGTTTCCAACGTAGGCCTCTAAGTGGTCAAAATATCCACGTGCAGACTTTACAAACAGAGTGTTTCCAAACTGCTAAATGAAAAGAAAAGTTAAACTCTGAGAGTTGAACGCACACATCGCAGAGCAGTTTCTGAGAATGATTCTGTCTAGTTTTTATACGAAGATATTTCCTTTTCTGCCTTTGGCCTCAAAGCGCTTGAAATCTCCATTTGCAAATTCCACAAAAAGAGTGTTTCAAATCTGCTCTGTGTAAATGAAAGTTCAACTCTGTGAGTTGAACACACACAACACAAGGAAGTTACTGGGAATTCTTCTGTATAGCAGAATATGAAGAAATCCCGTTTCCAACGAAGGCCTCAAGGAGGTCTGAATATCCACTTGCACACTTTACAAACAGAGTGTTTCCTAACTGCTCTATGAAAAGAAAGGTTAAACTCTGTGAGTTAAACGCAGACATCACAAAGGAGTTTCTGAGAATCACTCTGTCTAGTTTTTATACGAAGATATTTCCTTTTCTACCATTGACCTCAAAGCGGCTGAAATCTCCACCCTGCCAATTCCACAAAAAGAGTGTTTCAAATCTACTCTGTGTAAAGGATCGTTGAACTCTGTGAGTTGAAAACACACAACACAACGAAGTTTCTGAGAATTCTTCTGTCTAACAGAATATGAAGAAATCCCGTTTCCAACGAAAGCCTCAAAGATGTCTGAATATCCACTTGCAGACTTTACAAACAGAGTGTTTCCTAACTGCTCTATGAAAAGAAAGGTTAAACTCTGTGAGTTGAACGCACACATCACAAAGGAGTTTCTGAGAATCATTCTGTCTAGTTTTGAAACGAAGATATTTCCTTTTCTGCCATTGACCTCAAAGCGCTTGAAATCTCCACTTGCCAATTGCACAAAAAGAGTGTTTCAAATCTGCTCTGTCTAAGGGAACGGTTCAACTCTGTGAGTTGAATGTACACAACACAAGGAAGTTACTGGGAATTCTTCTGTCTAGCCTTACAGGAAAAAAACCCGTTTCCAACGAAGGCCTCTAAGTGGTCAAAATATCCACGTGCAGACTTTACAAACAGAGTGTTTCCAAACTGCTGAATGAAAAGAAAAGTTAAACTCTGAGAGTTGAACGCACACATCGCAGAGCAGTTTCTGAGAATGATTCTGTCTAGTTTTTATACGAAGATATTTCCTTTTCTGCCTTTGGGCCCAAAGCGCTTGAAATCTCCACTTGCAAATTCCACAAAAACAGTGTTTCAAATCTGCTCTCTCTAAATGAAAGTTCAACTCTGTCAGTTGAATACACACAACACAAGGAAGTTACTGAGAATTCTTCTGTCTAGCAGAATATGAAGAAATCCCGTTTCCAACGAAGGCCTCAAGGAGGATCTGAATATCCACTTGCAGACTTTACAAACAGAGTGTTTCCTAACTGCTCTATGAACAGAAAGGTTAAACTCTGTGAGTTGAACGCACACATCACAAAGGAGTTTCTGAGAATCATTCTGTCTAGTTTTTATACGAAGATATTTCCTTTTCTACCATTGACCTCAACGCGGCTGAAATCTCCACTTGCAAATTCCACAAAAAGAGTGTTCCAAGTCTGCTCTGTGTAAAGGATCGTTCAACTCTGTGAGTTGAATACACACAACACAAGGAAGTTACTGAGAATTCTTCTGTCTAGCACAGTATGAAGAAATCCCGTTTCCAACGAAGACCTCGAAGAGGTCTGAATATCCACTTGCAGAGTTTACAAACAGAGTGTTTCCTAACTGCTCTATGAAAAGAAATGTTAAACTCTCTGAGTTGAACGCACACATCACAAAGAAGTTTCTGAGAATCATTCTGTCTAGTTTTGAAACGAAGATATTTCCTTTTCTGCCTTTGACCTTAAAGCGCTTGAAATCTACACTTGCAAATTGCACAAATAGAGTGTTTCAAATCTACTCTGTCTAAGGGAACGTTCAACTCTGTGATTTGATTGCACACAACACAAGGAAGTTACTGGGAATTCTTCTGTCTAGCCTTACAAGAAAAAAACCCGTTTCCAACGAAAGCCTCTAAATGGTCAAAATATCCACGTGCAGACTTTACAAACAGAGTGTTTCCAAACTGCTGAATGAAAAGAAAAGTTAAACTCTGAGAGTTGAACGCACACATCAGCAGAGCAGTTTCTGAGAATGATTCTGTCTAGTTTTTATACGAAGATATTTCCTTTTCTGCCTTTGGCCCCAAAGCGCTTGAAATCTCCACTTGCAAATTCCACAAAAACAGTGTTTCAAATCTGCTCTCTCTAAATGAAAGTTCAACTCTGTCAGCTGAATACACACAACACAAGGAAGTTACTGAGAATTCTTCTGTCTAGCCTTATATGAAAAAAACCCGTTTCCAACGAAGGCCTCAAAGAGGTCTGAATATCCACTTGCAGACTTTTACAAACAGAGTGTTTCCTAACTGCTCTATGAAAAGAAAGGTTAAACTCTGTGAGTTGAACGCACACATCACAAAGGAGTTTCTGAGAATCATCTGTCTAGTCTTTATACGAAGTTATTTCCTTTTCTACCATTGACATCAAAGCGGCTGAAATCTCCACTTGCAAATTCCACAAAAAGAGTGTTTCAAGTATGCTCTGTGTAAAGGATCGTTCAACACTGTGAGTTGAATACACACAACACAAGGAAGTTACTGAGAATTCTTTCTGTCTAGCAGAATATGAAGAAATCCCGTTTCCAACGAAGGCCACAAGATGTCAGAATATCCACTTACAGACTTTACAAACAGAGTGTTTCCTAACTGCTCTATGAACAGAAAGGTTAAACTCTGTGAGTTGAACGAACACATCACAACGCAGTTTGTGGGAATGATTCTGTCTAGTTTTGAAACGAAGATATTTCCTTTTCTGCCATTGACCTTAAACGCTTGAAATCTACAGTTGCCAATTGCACAAATAGAGTGTTTCAAATCTGCTCTGTCTAAGGGAACGTTCAACTCTGTGAGTTGAATGCACACAACACAAGGAAGTTACTGGGAATTCTTCTGTCTAGCCTTACAGGAAAAAAACCCGTTTCCAACGAAGGCCTCTAAGTGGTCAAAATATCCAAGTGCAGACTTTACAAACAGAGTGTTTCCAAACTGCTGAATGAAAAGAAAAGTTAAACTCTGAGAGTTGAACGCACACATCGCAGAGCAGTTTCTGAGAATGATTCTGTCTAGTTTTTATACGAAGATATTTCCTTTTCTGCCTTTGGCCCAAAAGCGCTTGAAATCTCCACTTGCAAATTCCACAAAAACAGTGTTTCAAATCTGCTCTCTCCAAATGAAAGTTCAACTCTGTCAGTTGAATACACACAACACAAGGAAGTTACTGAGAATTCTTCTGTCTAGCAGAATATGAAGAAATCCCGTTTCCAACGAAGGCCTCAAAGAGGTCTGAATATCCACTTGCAGACTTTACAAACAGAGTGTTTCCTAACTGCTCTATGAAAAGAAAGGATAAACTCTGTGAGTTGAACTCACACATCACAAAGGAGTTCCTGAGAATCATTCTGTCTAGTCTTTATATGAAGATAGTTTCCTTTTCTACCATTGACCTCAAAGCGGCTGAAATCTCCACTTGCAAAATTCCACAAAAAGAGTGTTTCAAGTCTGCTCTGTGTAAAGGATCGTTCAACTCTGTGAGTTGAATACACACAACACAAGGTAAGTTACTGAGAATTCTTCTGTCTAGCAGAATATGAAGAAATCCCGTTTCCAAAGAAGGCCACAAGATGTCAGAATATCTACTTACAGACTTTACAAACAGAGTTTTTCCTAACTGCTCTATGAACAGAAAGGTTAAACTCTGTGAGTTGAACGAACACATCACAACGCAGTTTGTGGGAATGATTCTGTCTAGTTTTAATACGAAGATATTTCCCTTTCTACCATTGACCTCAAAGCGGTTGAAATCACCACTTGCCAATTGCACAAAAAGAGTGTTTCAAATCTGCTCTGTCTAAGGGAACGTTCAACTCTGTGAGTAGAATGTACACAACACAATGAAGTTACTGGGAATTCTTCTGTCTAGCCTTACATGAAAAAAACCCGTTTCCAACGAAGGCCTCTAAGTGGTCAAATTATCCACGTGCAGACTTTACAAACAGAGTGTTTCCAAACTGCTGAATGAAAAGAAAAGTTAAACTCTGAGAGTTGAACGCACACATCGCAGAGCAGTTTCTGAGAATGATTCTGTCTAGTCTTTATACGAAGATATTTACTTTTCTACCATTGACCTCAAAGCGGCTGAAATCTCCACTTGCAAATTCCACAAAAAGAGTGTTTCAAGTCTGCTCTCTGTAAAGGATCATTCAACTCTGTGAGTTGAATAAACACAACACAAGGAAGTTACTGAGAATTATTCTGTCTAGCCTTATATGAACAAAACCCGTTTCCAACGAAGGCCTCAAAGAGGTCTGAATATCCACTTGCAGAGTTTACAAACAGAGTGTTTCCTAACTGCTCTATGAAAAGAAAGGTTAAACTCTGTCAGTTGAACACACACATCACAAAGAAGTTTCTGAGAATCATTCTGTCTAGTTTTTATACGAAGATATTTCCTTTTCTACCATGGGACCTCAAAGCGGCTGAAATCTCCACTTGCAAATTCCACAAAAAGAGTGTTTCAAGTCTGCTCTGTGTAAAGGATCGTTCAACTCTGTGAGTTGAATACACACAACACAAGGAAGATTCTGAGAATTCTTCTGTCTAGCAGAATATGAAGAAATCCCGTTTCCAACGAGGGCCACAAGATGTCAGAATATCCACTTACAGACTTTACAAACAGTGTGTTTCCTAACTGCTCTATGAACGGAAAGGTTAAACTCTGTGAGTTGAACGAACCCATCACAACGCAGTTTGTGGGAATGATTCTGTCTGGTTTTGAAACGAAGATATTTCCTTTTCTGCCGTTGACCTTAAAGCGCTTGAAATCTACACTTGCAAATTGCACAAATAGAGTGTTTCAAATCTTCTCTGTCTAAGGGAACGTTCAACTCTGTGAGTTGAATGCACACAACACAAGGAAGTTACTGGGAATTCTTCTGTCTAGCAGAATATGAAGAAATCCCGTTTCCAACGAAGGCCTCAAAGAGGTCTGAATATCCACTTGCAGACTTTACAAACAGAGTGTTTCCTTACTGCTCTATGAAAAGAAAAGTTAAACTCTGTGAGTTGAACGCACACATCACAAAGGAGTTTCTGAGAATCATTCTGTCTAGTTTCTATTGGAAGATATTTCCTATTCTACCATTGACCAGAAAAGCGGCTGAAATCTCCACTTGCAAATTCCACAAAAAGAGTGTTTCAAGTCTGCTCTCTGTAAAGGATCGTTCAACTCTGTGAGTTGAATACACACAACACAAGGAAGTTACTGAGAATTCTTCTTTCTAGCAGAATATGAAGAAATCCCGTTTCCAACGAAAGCCTCAAGGATGTCTGAATATCCACTTGCAGACTTTACAAACAGTGTGTTTCCCAACTGCGCTATGAAAAGAAAGGTTAAACTCTGTGAGTTGAACGCACACATCACAAAGGAGTTTCTGAGAATCATTCTGTCTAGTTTTTATAGGAAGATATTTCCTTTTCTACCATTGACCTCAAAGCGGCTGAAATCTCCACTTGCAAATTCCACAAAAAGAGTGTTTCAAGTCTACTCTGTGTAAAGGATCGTTCAGCTCTGTGAGTTGAATACACACAACACGCGGAAGTTACTGAGAATTCTTCTGTCTAGCAGAATATGAAGAAATCCCGTTTCCAACGAAGGCCACAAGATGTCAGAATATCCACTTACAGACTTTACAAACAGAGTGTTTCCTAACTGCTCTATGAACAGAAAGGTTAAACTCTGTGAGTTGAACGAACACATCAGAACGCAGTTTGTGGGAATGATTTTGTCTAGTTTTGAAACGAAGATATTTCCTTTTCTGCCATTGACCTCAAAGCGCTTGAAATCTCCACTTGCCAATTGCACAAAAAGAGTGTTTCAAATCTGCTCTGTCTAAGGAAACGTTCAACTCTGTGAGTTGAATGTACACAACACAAGGAAGTTACTGGGAATTCTTCTGTCTAGCCTTACAGGAAAAAAACCCGTTTCCAACGAAGGCCTCTAAGTGGTCAAAATATCCACGTGCAGACTTTACAAACAGAGTGTTTCCAAACTGCTGAATGAAAAGAAAAGTTAAACTCTGAGAGTTGAACGCACACATCGCAGAGCAGTTTCTGAGAATGATTCTGTCTAGTTTTTATACGAAGATATTTCCTTTTCTGCCTTTGGCCTCAAAGCGCTTGAAATCTCCACCTGCAAATTCCACAAAAAGAGTGTTTCAAATCTGCTCTGTGTAAATGAAAGTTCAACTCTGTGAGATGAACACACACAACACAAGGAAGTTACTGGGAATTCTTCTGTCTAGCATAATATGAAGAAATCCCGTTTCCAACGAAGGCCTCAAGGAGGTCTGAATATCCACTTGCAGACTTTACAAACAGAGTGTTTCCTAACTGCTCTATGAAAAGAAAGGTTAAACTCTGTGAGTTGAACGCACACATCAGAAAGGAGTTTCTCAGAATCATTCTGTCTAGTCTTTATACGAAGATATTTCCTTTTCTACCATTGACCTCAAAGCGGCTGAAATCTCCACTTGCAAATTCCACAAAAAGAGTGTTTCAAGTCTGCTCTGTGTAAAGGATCGTTCAACTCTGTGAGTTGAATACACACAACACAAGGAAGTTACTGAGAATTCTTCTGTCTAGCAGAATATGAAGAAATCCCGTTTCCAACGAAGGCCAAAAGATATCAGAATATCCACTTACAGAATTTACAAACAGACTGTTTCCTAACTGTTCTATGAAAAGAAAGGTTAAACTCTGTGAGTTGAACGAACACATCACAACGCAGTTTGTGGGAATGATTCTGTCTAGTTTTGAAACGAAGATATTTCCTTTTCTGCCATTGACCTTAAAGCGCTTGAAATCTCCATTTGCCAATTGCACAAAAAGAGTGTTTCAAATCTGCTCTGTCTAAGGGAACGTTCAACTCCGTGAGTTGAATGTACACAACACAAGGAAGTTACTGGGAATTCTTCTGTCTAGCATAATATGAAGAAATCCCGTTTCCAACGAAGGCCTCAAGGAGGTCTGAATATCCACTTCCAGACTTTACAAAGAGAGTGTTTCCTAACTGCTCTATGAAAAGAAAGGTTAAACCCTGTGAGTTCAACGCACACATCACAAAGGAGTTTCTGAGAATCATTCTGTCTAGTTTCTATAGGAAGATATTTCCTATTCTACCATTGACCTCAAAGCGGCTGAAATCTCCACTTGCAAATTCCACAACAAGAGTGTTTCAAGTATGCTCTGTGTAAAGGATCGTTCAACTCTGTGAGTTGAATACACACAACACAAGGAAGGTACTGAGAATTCTTCTGTCTAGCATAATATGAAGAAATCCCGTTTCCAACGAAGGCCTCAAGGAGGTCTGAATATCCACTTGCAGACTTTACAAACAGAGTGTTTCCTAACTGCTCTATGAAAAGAAAGGTTAAACTCTGTGAGTTGAACGCACACATCACAAGGGAGTTTCTGAGAATCATTCTGTCTAGTTTTTCTACGAAGATATTTCCTATTCTACCATTGACCTCAAAGCGGCTGAAATCTCCACTTGCAAATTCCACAAAAAGAGTGTTTCAAGTCTGCTCTCTGTAAAGGATCGTTCAACTCTGTGAGTTGAATACACACAACACAAGGAAGTTACTGAGAATTCTTCTGTCTAGCAGAATACGAAGAAATCCCGTTTCCAACGAAGGCCTCAAAGAGGTCTGAATATCCACTTACAGACTTTACAAACAGAGTGTTTCCTAACTGCTCTATGAAAAGAAATGTTAAATTCTGTGAGTTGAACGCACACATCACAAAGGAGTTTCTGAGAATCATTCTGTCTAGTTTCTATAGGAAGATATTTCCTATTCTACCATTGACCTCAAAGTGGCTGAAATCTCCACTTGCAAATTCCACAAAAAGAGTGTTTCAAGTCTGCTCTGTGTAAAGGATCGTGCAACTCTGTGAGTTGAATACACACAACACAAGGAAGTTACTGAGAATTCTTCTGTCTAGCCTTACATGAAAAAAAACCCGTTTCCAACGAAGGCCTCTAAGTGGTCAAAATATCCACGTGCAGACTTTACAAACAGAGTGTTTCCAAACCGCTGAATGAAAAGAAAAGTTAAACTCTGAGAGTTGAACGCACACATCACGCAGCAGTTTCTGAGAATGATTCTGTCTAGGTTTTATACGAAGATATTTCCTTCTCTGCCTTTGGCCTCAAAGCGCTTGAAATCTCCACCTGCAAATTCCACAAAAAGAGTGTTTCAAATCTGCTCTGTGTAAATGAAAGTTCAACTCTGTGAGTTGAACACACACAACACAAGGAAGTTACTGGGAATTCTTCTGTCTAGCCTTATATGAATAAAACCCGTTTCCAACGAAGGCCTCAAAGAGGTCTGAATATCCACTTGCAGACTTTACAAACAGAGTGTTTCCTAACTGCTCTATGAAAAGAAAGGTTAAACTCTGTGAGTTGAACGCACACATCACAAAGGAGTTTCTGAGAATCATTCTGTCTAGTTTTTATACGAAGATATTTCCTTTTCTACCATTGACCTCAAAGCGGCTGAAATCACCACTTGCCAATTGCACAAAAAGAGTGTTTCAAATCTGCTCTGTGTAAATGAAAGTTCAACTCTGTGAGTTGAACACACACAACACAAGGAAGTTACTGGGAATTCTTCTGTCTAGCAGAATATGAAGAAATCCCGTTTCCAACGAAGGCCACAAGATGTCAGAATATCCACTTACAGACTTTACAGAGTGTTTCCTAACTGCTCTATGAACAGAAAGGTAAAACTCTGTGAGTTGAACGAACACATCACAACGCAGTTTGTGGGAATGATTCTGTCTAATTTTGAAACGAAGATATTTCCTTTTCTGCCATTGACCTTAATGCGCTTGAAATCTACACTTGCAAATTGCACAAATAGAGTGTTTCAAATCTGCTCTGTCTAAGGGAACGTTCAACTCTGTGAGTTGAATGCACACAACACAAGGAAGTTACTGGGAATTCTTCTGTCTAGCCTTACAGGAAAAAAACCCGTTTCCAACGAAGGCCTCTAAGTGGTCAAAATATCCACGTGCAGACTTTACAAACAGAGTGTTTCCAAACTGCTGAATGAAAAGAAAAGTTAAACTCTGAGAGTTGAACGCACACATCGCAGAGCAGTTTCTGAGAATGATTCTGTCTAGTTTTCAAAAGAAGATATTTCCTTTTCTGCCTTTGGCCTCAAAGCGCTTGAAATCTCCACTTGCAAATTCCACAAAAAGAGTGTTTCAAATCTGCTCTGTGTAAATGAAAGTTCAACTCTGTGAGTTGAACACACACAACACAAGGAAGTTACTGGGAATTCTTCTGTCTAGCCTTATATGAAAAAAACCCGTTTCCCACGAAGGCCTCAAAGAGGTCTGAATATCCACTTGCAGACTTTACAAACAGAGTGTTTCCTAACTGCTCTATGAAAAGAAAGGTTAAACTCTGTGAGTTGAACGCACACATCACACAGGAGTTTCTGAGAATCATTCTGTCTAGTTTTTTAT
The DNA here is from genome assembly GCF_000001405.40 of Homo sapiens. Taxonomy (NCBI): domain Eukaryota; kingdom Metazoa; phylum Chordata; class Mammalia; order Primates; family Hominidae; genus Homo; species Homo sapiens. The sequence continues at coordinate 124,703,683 of NC_000001.11, read as the reverse complement.
ACGAAGATATTTCCTTTTCTACCATTGACCTCAAAGCGGCTGAAATCTCCACTTGCAAATTCCACAGAAAGAGTGTTTCAAATCTGCTCTGTGTAAACAATCGTTCAACTGTGTGAGTTGAATACACACAACACAAGGAAGATTCTGAGAATTCTTCTGTCTAGCAGAATATGAAGAAATCCCGTTTCCAACGAAGGCCACAAGATGTCAGAATATCCACTTACAGAATTTACAAACAGACTGTTTCCTAACTGCTCTACGAAAAGAAAGGTTAAACTCTGTGAGATGAACGAACACATCACAACGCAGTTTGTGGGAATGATTTCTGTCTAGTTTTGAAACGAAGATATTTCCTTTTCTGCCATTGACCTTAAAGCGCTTGAAATCTCCACTTGCCAATTGCACAAAAAGAGTGTTTCAAATCTGCTCTGTCTAAGGGAACGTTCAACTCTGTGAGTTGAATGTACACAACGCAAGGAAGTTACTGGGAATTCTTCTGTCTAGCCTTACAGGAAAAAAACCCGTTTCCAACGAAGGCCTCTAAGTGGTCAAAATATCCACGTGCAGACTTTACAAACAGAGTGTTTCCAAACTGCTGAATGAAAAGAAAAGTTAAACTCTGAGAGTTGAACGCACACATCGCAGAGCAGTTTCTGAGAATGATTCTGTCTAGTTTCTATAGGAAGATATTTCCTATTCTACCATTGACCTCAAAGCGGCTGAAATCTCCACTTGCAAATTCCACAAAAAGAATGGTTCAAGTCTGCTCTGTGTAAAGGATCGTTCAACTCTGTGAGTTGAATACACACAACACAAGGAAGTTACTGAGAATTCTTCTGTCTAGCACAGTATGAAGAAATCCCGTTTCCAACGAAGGCCTCAGAGAGGTCTGAATATCCACTTGCAGACTTTACAAACAGAGTGTTTCCTAACTGCTCTATGAAAAGAAAGGTTAAACTCTGTGAGTTGAACGCACACGTCACAATGAAGTTTCTGAGAATCATTCTGTCTAGTCTTTATACGAAGATATTTCCTTTTCTACCATTGACCTCAAAGCGGCTGAAATCTCCACTTGCAAATTCAAGAAAAAGAGTGTTTCAAGTCTGCTCTGTGTAAAGGATCGTTCAACTCTGTGAGTTGAATAAACACAACACAAGGAAGTTACTGAGAATTCTTCTGTCTAGCAGAATATGAAGAAATCCCGTTTCCAACGAAGGCCACAAGATGTCAGAATATCCACTTACAGAATTTACAAACAGACTGTTTCCTAACTGCTCTATGAAAAGAAAGGTTAAACTCTGTGAGTTGAACGAACACATCACAACGCAGTTTGTGGGAATGATTCTGTCTAGTTTTGAAACGAAGATATTTCCTTTTCTGCCATTGACCTTAAAGCGCTTGAAATCTCCACTTGCCAATTGCACAAAAAGAGTGTTTCAAATCTGCTCTGTCTATGGGAACGTTCAACTCTGTGAGTTGAATGTACACAACACAAGGAAGTTACTGGGAATTCTTCTGTCTAGCCTTACATGAAAAAAACCCGTTTCCAACGAAGGCCTCTAAGTGGTCAAGTTATCCACGTGCAGACTTTACAAACAGAGTGTTTCCAAACTGCTGAATGAAAAGAAAAGTTAAACTCTGAGAGTTGAACGCACACATCACAGAGCAGTTTCTGAGAATGATTCTGTCTTGTTTTTATACGAGGATATTTCCTTTTCAGCCTTTGGCCGCAAAGCGCTTGAAATCTCCACTTGCAAATTCCACAAAAACAGTGTTTCAAATCTGCTCTCTCCAAATGAAAGTTCAACTCTGTCAGTTGAATACACACAACACAAGGGAAGTTACTGAGAATTCTTCTGTCTAGCCTTATATGAAAAAAACCCGTTTCCAACGAAGGCCTCAAAGAGGCCTGAATATCCACTTGCAGTCTTTACAAACAGAGTGTTTCCTAACTGCTCTATGAAAAGAAAGGTTAAACTCTGTGAGTTGAACACACACATCACAAAGGAGTTTCTGAGAATCATTCTGTCTAGTTTCTATAGGAAGATATTTCCTATTCTACCATTGACCTCAAAGCGGCTGAAATCTCCACTTGCAAATTCCACAAAAAGAGTGTTTCAAGTCTGCTCTGTGTAAAGGATCGTTCAACTCTGTGAGTTGAATACACACAACACAAGGAAGTCACTGAGAATTCTTCTGTCTAGCAGAATATGAAGAAATCCAGTTTCCAACGAAGGCCTCAAGGAGGTCTGAATATCCACTTGCAGACTTTACAAACAGAGTGTTTCCTAACTGCTCTATGAACAGAAAGGTTAAACTCTGTGAGTTGAACGAACACATCACAACGCAGTTTGTGGGAATGATTCTGTCTAGCTTTGAAACGAAGATATTTCCTTTTCTGCCATTGACCTTAAAGCGCTTGAAATCTACACTTGCAAATTGCACAAATAGAGTGTTTCAAATCTCCTCTGTCTAAGGGAACGTTCAACTCTGTGAGTTGAATGCACACAACACAAGGAAGTTACTGGGAATTCTTCTGTCTAGCAGAATATGAATAAATCCCGTTTCCAACGAAGGCCTCAAAGAGGTCTGAATATCCACTTGCAGACTTTACAAACAGAGTGTTTCCTAACTGCTCTATGAAAAGAAAAGTTAAACTCTGTGAGTTGAACGCACACATCACAAAGGAGTTTCTGAGAATCATTCTGTCTAGTTTTTATAGGAAGATATTTCCTTTTCTATCTTTGACTTCAAAGCGGCTGAAATCTCAACTTGCAAATTCCACAAAAAGAGTGTTACAAGTCTGCTCTGTGTAAAGGATCGTTCAACTCTGTGAGTTGAATACACACAACACAAGGTAAGTTACTGAGAATTCTTCTGTCTAGCACAGTATGAAGAAACCCGTTTCCAACGAAGGCCTCAAAGAGGTCTGAATATCCACTTGCAGAGTTTAAAAACACAGTGTTTCCTAACTGCTCTATGAAAAGAAAGGTTAAACACTGTGAGTTGAACACACACATCACAAAGAAGTTTCTGAGAATCATTCTGTCTAGTTTCTATAGGAAGATATTTCCTATTCTACCATTGACCTCAAAGCGGCAGAAATCTCCACTTGCAAATTCCACAAAAAGAGTGTTTCAAGTCTGCTCTGTGTAAAGGATCGTTCAACTCTGTGAGTTGAATACACACAACACAAGGAAGTTACTGAGAATTCTTCTGTCTAGCAGAATATGAAGAAATCCCGTTTCCAACGAAGGCCTCAAAGAGGTCTGAATATCCACTTGCAGACTTTACAAACAGAGTGTTTCCTAACTGCTCTATGAAAAGAAAGGTTAAACTCTGTGAGTTGAACGCACACATCACGAAGGAGTTTCTGAGAATCATTCTGTCTAGTTTTGAAACGAAGATATTTCCTTTTCTGCCATTGACCTTAAAGCGCTTGAAATCTACACTTGCAAATTGCACAAATAGAGTGTTTCAAATCTGCTCTGTCTAAGGGAACGTTCAACTCTGTGAGTTGAATGCACACAACACAAGGAAGTTACTGGGAATTCTTCTGTCTAGCCTTACATGAAAAAAACCCGTTTCCAACGAAGGCCTCTATGTGGTCAAAATTTCCACGTGCAGACTTTACAAACAGAGTGTTTCCAAACCGCTGAATGAAAAGAAAAGTTAAACTCTGAGAGTTGAACGCACACATCACGCAGCAGTTTCTGAGAATGATTCTGTCTAGTTTTTATACGAAGATATTTCCTTTTCTGCCTTTGGCCTCAAAGCGCTTGAAATCTCCATTTGCAAATTCCACAAAAAGAGAGTTTCAAATCTGCTCTGTGTAAATGAGAGTTCATCTCTGTGAGTTGAACACACACAACACAAGGAAGTTACTGGGAATTCTTCTGTCTAGCATAATATGAAGAAATCCCGTTTTCAACGAAAGCCTCAAAGATGTCTGAATATCCACTTGCAGACTTTACAAACAGAGTGTTTCCTAACTGCTCTATGAAAAGAAAGGTTAAACTCTGTGAGTTGAACGCACACATCACAAAGGAGTTTCTGAGAATAATTCTGTCTCGTCTTTATACGAAGATATTTACTTTTCTACCATTGACCTCAAAGCGGCTGAAATCTCCACTTGCAAATTCGAGAAGAAGAGTGTTTCAAGCCTGCTCTCTGTAAAGGATCCTTCAAATCTGTGAGTTGAATACACACAACACAAGGAAGTTACTGAGAATTATTCTGTCTAGCAGAATATGAAGAAATCCCGTTACCAACGAAGGCCACAAGATGTCAGAATATCCACTTACAGAATTTACAAACAGACTGTTTCCTAACTGCTCTATGAAAAGAAAGGTTAAACTCTGTGAGTTGAACGAACACATGACAACGCAGTTTGTGGGAATGATTCTGTCTAGTTTTGAAACGAAGATATTTCCTTTCCTGCCATTGACCTTAAAGCGCTTGAAATCTCCATTTGCCAATTGCACAAAAAGAGTGTTTCAAATCTGCTCTGTCTAAGGGAACGTTCAACTCTGTGAGTTGAATGTACACAACACAAGGAAGTTACTGGGAATTCTTCTGTCTAGCATAATATGAAGAAATCCCGTTTCCAACGAAGGCCTCAAGGAGGTCTGAATATCCACTTGCAGACTTTACAAACTGAGTGTTTCCTAACTGCTCTATGAAAAGAAAGGTTAAACTCTGTGAGTTGAACGCGCACATCACAAGGGAGTTTCTGAGAATCATTCTGTCTAGTTTTTATACGAAGATATTTCCTTTTCTACAATTGACCTCAAAGCGGCTGAAATCTCCAATTGCAAATTCCACAAAAAGAGTGTTTCAAGTTTGCTCTGTGTAAAGGATCGTCCAACTCTGTGAGTTGAATACACACAAAACAAGGAATTTACTGAGAATTCTTCTGTCTAGCATAATATGAAGAAATCCCGTTTCCAACGAAGGCCTCAAAGAGGTCTGAATATCCAGTTGCAGACTTTACAAACAGAGTGTTTCCTAACTGCTCTATGAAAAGAAAGGTTAAACTCTGTGAGTTGAATGCACACATCACAAAGGAGTTTCTGAGAATCATTCTGTCTAGTTTTTCTACGAAGATATTTCCTTTTCTACTATTGACCTCAAAGCGGCTGAAATCTCCACTTGCAAATTCTACAAATAGAGTGTTTCAAGTCTGCTCTGTGTAAAGGATCGTTCAACTCTGTGAGTTGAATACACACAACACAAGGAAGTTACTGAGAATTATTCTGTCTAGCATAATATGAAGAAATCCCGTTTAAAACGAAGGCCTCAAAGAGGTCTGAATATCCACTTGCAGACTTTACAAACAGAGTGTTTCCTAACTGCTCTATGAACAGAAAGGTTAAACTCTGTGAGTTGAACGCACACATCACAAAGGAGTTTCTGAGAATCATTCTGTCTAGTTTTGAAACGAAGATATTTCCTTTTCTGCCATTGACCTTAAATCGCTTGAAATCTCCACTTGCCAATTGCACAAAAAGAGTGTTTCAAATCTGCTCTTTCTAAGGGAACGTTCAACTCTGTGAGTTGAATGTACACAACACAAGGAAGTTACTGGGAATTCTTCTGTCTAGCCTTACAGGAAAAAACCCGTTTCCAACGAAGGCCTCTAAGTGGTCAAAATATCCACGTGCAGACTTTACAAACAGAGTGTTTCCAAACTGCTGAATGAAAAGAAAAGTTAAACTCTGAGAGTTGAACGCACACATCGCAGAGCAGTTTCTGAGAATGATTCTGTCTAGTTTTGAAACGAAGATATTTCCTTTTCTGCCTTTGGCCTCAAAGCGCTTGAAATCTCCATTTGCAAATTCCACAAAAAGAGTGTTTCAAATCTGCTCTGTGTAAATGAAAGTTCAACTCTGTGAGTTGAACACACACAACACAAGGGAAGTTACTGGGAATTCTTCTGTCTAGCCTTATATGAAAAAAACCCGTTTCCAACGAAGGCCTCAAAGAGGTGTGAATATCCACTTGCAGACTTTACAAACAGAGTGTTTCCTATCTGCTCTATGAAAAGAAAGGTGAAACTCTGTGAGTTGAACACACACATCACAAAGGAGTTTCTGAGAATCATTCTGTCTAGTTTTTATACGAAGATATTTCCTTTTCTACCATTGACCTCAACGCGGCTGAAATCTCCACTTGCAAATTCCACAAAATGAGTGTTTCAAGTCCGCTCTGTGTAAAGGATCGTTCAACTCTGTGAGTTGAATACACACAACACAAGGAAGTTAGTGAGAATTCTTCTGTCTAGCAGAATATGAAGAAATCCCGTTTCCAACGAAGGCCACAAGATGTCAGAATATCCACTTACAGAATTTTCAAATAGACTGTTTCCTAACTGCTCTATGAAAAGAAAGGTTAAACTCTGTGAGTTGAACGAACACATCACAACGCAGTTTGTGGGAATGATTCTGTCTAGTTTTTATACGAAGATATTTCCTTTTCTACCATTGACCTCAAAGCGGCTGAAATCACCACTTGCCAATTGCACAAAAAGAGTGTTTCAAATCTGCTCTGTCTAAGGGAACGTTCAACTCTGTGAGCTGAATGTACACAACACAAGGAAGTTACTGAGAATTCTTCTGTCTAGCCTTACAGGAAAAAAACCCGTTTCCAACGAAGGCCTCTAAGTGGTCAAAATATCCACGTGCAGACTTTACAAACAGAGTGTTTCCAAACTGCTGAATGAAAAGAAAAGTTAAACTCTGAGAGTTGAACGCACACATCGCAGAGCAGTTTCTGAGAATGATTCTGTCTAGTTTCTATAGGAAGATATTTCCTATTCTACCATTGACCTCAAAGCGGCTGAAATCTCCACTTGCAAATTCCACAAAAAGAGTGTTTCAAGTCTGCTCTGTGTACAGGATCGTTCAACTCTGTGAGTTGAAAACACACAACACAAGGAAGTTTCTGAGAATTCTTCTGTCTAGCATAATATGAAGAAATCCCTTTTCCAACGAAGGCCTCAAGGAGGTCTGAATATCCACTTGCAGACATTACAAACAGAGTGTTTCCTAACTGCTCTATGAAAAGCAAGGTTAAACTCTGTGAGTTCAACGCACACATCACAAAGGAGTTTCTGAGAATCATTCTGTCTAGTTTCTATAGGAAGATAATTCCTATTCTACCATTGACCTCAAAGCGGCTGAAATCTCCACTTGCAAATTCCACAAAAAGAGTGTTTCAAGTCTGCTCTCTGTAAAGGATCGTTCAACTCTGTGAGTTGAATACACACAACACAAGGAAGTTACTGAGAATTCTTCTGTCTAGCAGAATATGAAAAAATCCCGTTTCCAACGAAGGCCACAAGATGTCAGAATATCCACTTACAGAATTGACAAACAGACTGTTTCCTAACTGCTCTATGAAAAGAAAGGTTAAACTCTGTGAGTTGAACGAACACATCACAACGCAGTTTGTGGGAATGATTCTGTCTAGTTTTGAAACGAAGATATTTCCTTTTCTGCCATTGACCTTCAGCGCTTGATATCTCCACTTGCCAATTTCACAAAAAGAGTGTTTCAAATCTGCTCTGTATAAGGGAACGTTCAACTCTGTGAGTTGAATGTACACAACACAAGGAAGTTACTGGGAATTCTTCTGTCTAGCCTTACATGACAAAATCCCGTTTCCAACGAAGGCCTCTAAGTGGTCAAAATATCCACGTGCAGACTTTACAAACAGAGTGTTTCCAAACTGCTGAATGAAAAGAAAAGTTAAACTCTGAGATCTGAACGCACACATCGCAGAGCAGTTTCTGAGAATGATTCTGTCTAGTTTTTATACGAAGATATTTCCTTTTCTGCCTTTGGCCTCAAAGCGCTTGAAATCTCCACTTGCAAATTCCAAAAAAAGAGTGTTTCAAATCTGCTCTCTCTAAATGAAAGTTCAACTCTGTCAGTTGAATACACACAACACAAGGAAGTTACTGAGAATTCTTCTGTCTAGCCTTACATGAAAAAAACCCGTTTCCAACGAAGGCCTCAAAGAGGTAAAAATATCCACTTGCAGACTTTACAAACAGAGTGTTTCCTAACTGCTCTATGAAAAGAAAGGTTACACTCTGTGAGTTGAACACCCAAATCACAAAGGAGTTTCTGAGAATCATTCTGGCTAGTTTCTATAGGAAGATATTTCCTATTCTACCATTGACCTCAAAGCGGCTGAAATCTCCACTTGCAAATTCCACAAAAAGAGTGTTTCAAGTCTGCTCTGTGTAAAGGATCGTTCAACTCTGTGAGTTGAATACACACAACACAAGGAAGTTACTGAGAATTCTTCTGTCTAGCAGAATATGAAGAAATCCCGCTTCCAACGAAGGCCTCAAAGAAGTCTGAATATCCACTTGCAGACTTTACAAAGAGAGTGTTTCCCAACTGCTCTATGAAAAGAAAGGTTGAACTCTGTGAGTTGAACGCACACATCACAAAGGAGTTTCTGAGAATCATTCTGTCTAATTTTGAAACGAAGATATTTCCTTTTCTGCCATTGACCTTAAAGCGCTTGAAATCTCCACTTGCCAATTGCACAAAAAGAGTGTTTCAAATCTGCTCTGTCTAAGGGAACGTTCAACTCTGTGAGTTGAATGTACACAACACAAGGAAGTTACTGGGAATTCTTCTGTCTAGCCTTACATGCAAAAAACCCGTTTCCAACGAAGGCCTCTAAGTGGTCAAAATATCCACGTGCAGACTTTACAAACAGAGTGTTTCCAAACCGCTGAATGAAAAGAAAAGTTAAACTCTGAGAGTTGAACGCACACATCACCCAGCAGTTTCTGAGAATGATTCTGTCTAGTTTTTATACGAAGATATTTCCTTTTCTGCCTTTGGCCCCAAAGCGCTTGAAATCTCCACTTGCAAATTCCACAAAAACAGAGTTTCAAATCTGCTCTCTCTAAATAAAAGTTCAACTCTGTCAGTTGAATACACACAACACAAGGAAGTTACTGAGAATTCTTCTGTCTAGCATAATATGAAGAAATCCCGTTTCCAACGAAGACCTCAAAGAGGTCTGAATATCCACTTGCAGACTTTACAAACAGAGTGTTTCCTAACTGCTCTATGAGAAGAAAAGTTAAACTCTGTGAGTTGAACGCACACATCACAAAAGATTTTCTGAGAATCATTCTGTCTAGTTTTTATAGGAAGATATTTCCTATTCTACCATTGACCTCAAAGCGGCTGAAATCTCCACTTGCAAATTCCACAAAAAGAGTGTTTCAAGTCTGCTCTGTGTAAAGGATCGTTCAACTCTGTGAGTTGAATACACACAACACAAGGAAGTTACTGAGAATTCTTCTGTCTAGCATAATATGAAGAAAACCCGTTTCCAACGAAGGCCTCAAAGAGGTCTGAAGATCCACTTGCAGACATTACAAACAGAGTGTTTCCTAACTGCTCTATGAAAAGAAAGGTTGAACTCTGTGAGTTGAACGCACACATCACAAAGGAGTTTCTGAGAATCATTCTGTCTAGTTTTGAAACGAAGATATTTCCTTTTCTGCCATTGACCTTAAAGCGCTTGAAATCTACACTTGCAAATTGCACAAATAGAGTGTTTCAAATCTGCACTGTCTAAGGGAACGTTCAACTCTGTGAGTTGAATGCACACAACACAAGGAAGTTACTGGGAATTCTTCTGTCTAGCCTTACATGAAAAAAACCCGTTTCCAACGAAGGCCTCTAAGTGGTCAAATTATCCACGTGCAGACTTTACAAACAGAGTGTTTCCAAACTGCTGAATGAAAAGAAAAGTTAAACTCTGAGAGTTGAACGCACACATCGCAGAGCAGTTTCTGAGAATGGTTCTGTCTAGTTTTTATACAAAGAATATTTCCTTTTCTGCCTTTGGCCTCAAAGCGCTTGAAATCTCCATTTGCAAATTCCACAAAAAGAGTGTTTCAAATCTGCTCTGTGTAAATGAAAGTTCAACTCTGTGAGTTGAACACACACAACACAAGGAAGTTACTGGGAATTCTTCTGTCTAGCAGAATATGAGGAAATCCCGTTTCCAACGAAAGCCTCAAAGAGGTCTGAATATCCACTTGCAGACTTTACAAACAGAGTGTTTCCTAACTGCTCTATGAAAAGAAAGGTTAAACTCTGTGAGTTCAACGCCCACATCACAAAGGAGTTTCTGAGAATCATTCTGTCTAGTTTTTCTACGAAGATATTTCCTTTTCTACTACTGACCTCAAAGCGGCTGAAATCTCCACTTGCAAATTCCACAAAAAGAGTGTTTCAAGTCTGCTCTGTGTAAAGGATCGTTCAACTCTGTGAGTTGAATACACACAACACAAGGAAGTTACTGAGAATTCTTCTGTCTAGCAGAATATGAAGAAATCCCGTTTCCAACGAAGGCCTCAAAGAGGTCTGAATATCCACTTGCAGACTTTACAAACAGAGTGTTTCCTAACTGCTCTATGAAAAGAAAGGTTAAACTCTGTGAGTTGAAGGCACACATCACAAAGGAGTTTCTGAGATCATTCTGTCTAGTTTCTATAAGAAGATATTTCCTATTCTACCATTGACCTCAAAGCGGCTGAAATCTCCACTTGCAAATTCCACAAAAAGTGTGTTTCAAGTCTGCTCTGTGTAAAGGATCGTTCAACTCTGTGAGTTGAATACACACAACACAAGGAAGTTACTGAGAATTCTTCTGTCTAGCCTTACATGAAAAAAACCCGTTTCCAACGAAGGCCTCTAAGTGGTCAAAATTTCCACGTGCAGACTTTACAAACAGAGTGTTTCCAAACCGCTGAATGAAAAGAAAAGTTAAACTCTGAGAGTTGAAGGCACACATCACGCAGCAGTTTCTGAGAATGATTCTGTCTAGTTTTTATACGAAGATATTTCCTTTTCTGCCTTTGGCCTCAAAGCGCTTGAAATCTCCACTTGAAAATTCCACAAAAAGAGTGTTTCAAATCTGCTCTGTGTAAATCAAAGTTCAACTCTGTGAGTTGAACACACACAACACAAGGAAGTTACTGGGAATTCTTCTGTCTAGCCTTATATGAAAAAAACCCGTTTCCAACGAAGGCCTCAAAGAGGTCTGAATATCCTCTTGCAGACTTTACAAACAGAGTGTTTCCTAACAGCTCTATGAAAAGAAAGGTTAAACTCTGTGAGTTGGGCACACACATCCCAAAGGAGTTTCTGAGAATCATTCTGTCTAGTTTTTCTACGAAAGATATTTCCTTTTCTACTATTGACCTCAAAGCGGCTGAAATCTCCACTTGCAAATTCCACAAAAAGAGAGTTTCAAGTCTGCTCTGTGTAAAGGATCGTTCAACTCTGTGAGTTGAATACACACAACACAAGGAAGTTACTGAGAATTCTTCTGTCTAGCATAATATGAAGAAATCCCGTTTCCAACGAAGGCCTCAAAGAGGTCTGAATATCCACCTGCAGACTTAACAAACAGAGTGTTTCCTAACTGCTCTATGAAAAGAAAGGTTAAACTCTGTGAGTTGAACGCACACAGCACAAAGGAGTTTCTGAGAATCATTCTGTCTAGTTTTTATGTGAAGATATTTCCTTTTCTACCATTGACCTCAAAGCGGCTGAAATCTCCACTTACAAATTCCAAAAAAGAGTGTCTCAAGTCTGCTCTGTGTAAACGATCGTTCAACTCTGTGAGTTGAATACACACAACACAAGGAAGTTTCTGAGAATTCTTCTGTATAGCAGAATATGAAGAAATCCCGCTTCCAACGAAGGCCTCAAGGAGGTCTGAATATCCACTTGCAGACTTTTCAAACAGAGTGTTTCCTAACTGCTCTATGAAAAGAAAGGTTAAACTCTGTGAGTTGAACGCAGACATCACAAAGGAGTTTCTGAGAATCACTCTGTCTAGTTTTTCTACGAAGATATTTCCTTTTCTACTATTGACCTCAAAGCGGCTGAAATCTCCACTTGCAAATTCCACAAAAAGAGTGTTTCAAGTCTGCTCTCTGTAAAGGATCGTTCAACTCTGTGAGTTGAATACACACAACACAAGGAAGTTACTGAGAATTATTCTGTCTAGCAGAATATGAAGAAATCCCGTTTCCAACGAAGGCCTCAAAGAGGTCTGAATATCCACTTGCAGACTTTACAAACAGAGTGTTTCCTAACTGCTCTATGAAAAGAAAGGTTAAACTCTATGAGTTGAACGCACACATCACAAAGGAGTTTCTGAGAATCATTCTGCCTAGTTTTTCTACGAAGATATTTCCTTTTCTACTATTGACCTCAAAGCGGCTGAAATCTCCACTTGCAAATTCCACAAAAAGAGTGTTTCAAGACTGCTCTGTGTAAAGGATCGTTCAACTCTGTGAGTTGAATACACACAACACAAGGAAGTTACTGAGAATTCTTCTGTCTAGCAGAATATGAAGAAAACCCGTTTCCAACGAAGGCCTCAAAGAGGTCTGAATATCCACTTGCAGACTTTACAAACAGAGTGTTTCCTAACTGCTCTATGAAAAGAAAGGTTAAACTCTGTGAGTTGAACGCACACATCACAAAGGAGTTTCTGAGAATCATTTCTGTCTAGTTTTTATACGAAGATATTTCCTTTTCTGCCTTTGGCCTCAAAGCGCTTGAAATCTCCATTTGCAAATTCCACAAAAAGAGTGTTTCAAATCTGCTCTGTCTAAGGGATCGTTCAACTCTGTGAGTTGAATGTACACAACACAAGGAAGTTACTGGGAATTCTTCTGTCTAGCATAATATGAAGAAATCCCGTTTCCAACGAATGCCTCAAGGAGGTCTGAATATCCACTTGCAGACTTTACAAACAGAGTGTTTCCTAACTGCTCTATGAAAAGAAAGGTTAAACTGTGTGAGTGGAACGCACACATCACAAAGGAGTTTCTGAGAATCATTCTGTCTAGTTTCTATATGAAGATATTTCCTATTCTACCATTGACCTGAAAGCGGCTGAAATCTCCACTTGCAAATTCCACAAAAAGAGTGTTTCAAGTCTGCTCTGTGTAAAGGATCGTTCAACTCTGTGAGTTGAATACACACAACACAAGGAAGTTACTGAGAATTCTTCTGTCTAGCAGAATAGGAAGAAATCCCGTTTCCAACGAAGGCCTCAAAGAGGTCTGAATATCCACTTGCAGACTTTACAAACAGAGTGTTTCCTAACTGCTCTATGAAAAGAAAAGTTAAACTCTGTGAGTTGAACGCACACATCACAAAGGAGTTTCTGAGAATCATTCTGTCTAGTTTTTATACGAAGATATTTCCTTTTCTACCATTGACCTCAAAGCGGCTGAATTCTCCACTTACAAATTCCACCAAAAGAGTGTCTCAAATCTGCTCTGTGTAAAGAATCATTCAACTCTGTGAGTTGAATGCACACAACACAAGGAAGTTACTGGGAATTCCTCTGTCTAGCAGAATATGAAGAAATCCCGTTTCCAACGAAGGCCACAAGATGTCTGAATATCCACTTACAGACTTTACAAACAGAGTGTTTCCTAACTGCTCTATGAACAGAAAGGTTAAACTCTGTGAGTTGAACGAACACAGCACAACGCAGTTTGTGGGAATGATTCTGTCTAGTTTTGAAACCAAGATATTTCCTTTTCTGCCGTTGACCTTAAAGAGCTTGAAAACTACACTTGCAAATTGCACAAATAGAGTGTTTCAAATCTGCTCTGTCTAAGGGAACGTTCAACTCTGTGAGTTGAATGCACACAACACAAGGAAGTTACTGGGAATTCTTCTGTCTAGCCTTATATGAAAAAAACCCGTTTCCAACGAAGGCCTCTAAGTGGTCAAATTATCCACGCGCAGACTTTACAAACAGAGTGTTTCCAAACTGCTGAATGAAAAGAAAAGTTAAACTCTGAGAGTTGAACGCACACATCGCAGAGCAGTTTCTGAGAATGATTCTGTCTAGTTTTCATACGAAGATATTTCCTTTTCTGCCTTTGGCCTCAAAGCGCTTGAAATCTCCACTTGCAAATTCCACAAAAAGAGTGTTTCAAATCTGCTCTGTGTAAATGAAAGTTCAACTCTGTGAGTTGAACACACACAACACAAGGAAGTTACTGGGAATTCTTCTGTCTAGCATAATATGAAGAAATCCCGTTTCCAACGAAGGCCTCAAAGAGGTCTGAATATCCACTTGCAGAGTTTACAAACAGAGTGTTTCCTAACTGCTCTATGAAAAGAAAGGTTAAACTCTGTGAGTTGAACGCACACATCACAAGGGAGTTTCTGAGAATCATTCTGTCTAGTTTCTATAAGAAGATATTTCCTATTCTACCATTGACCTCAAAGCGGCTGAAATCTCCACTTGCAAATTCGACAAAAAGAGTGTTTCAAGCCTGCTCTCTGTAAAGGATCCTTCAACTCTGTGAGTTGAATACACACAACACAAGGAAGTTACTGAGAATTATTCTGTCTAGCAGAATATGAAGAAAGCCCGTTTCCAACGAAGGCCGCAAGATTTCAGAATATCCACTTACAGAATTTACAAACAGAGTGTTTCCTAACTGCTCTATGAAAAGAAAGGTTAAACTCTGTGAGTTGAACGAACACATCAATACGCAGTTTGTGGGAATGATTCTGTCTAGTTTTGAAACGAAGATATTTCCTTTTCTGCCATTGAACTTAAAGCGCTTGAAATCTCCATTTGCGAATTGCACAAAAAGAGTGTTTCAAATCTGCTCTGTCTAAGGGAACGTTCAACTCTGTGAGTTGAATGTACACAACACAAGGAAAGTTACTGGGAATTCTTCTGTCTAGCCTTACAGGAAAAAAACCCGTTTCCAACGAAGGCCTCTAAGTGGTCAAAATATCCACGTGCAGACTTTACAAACAGAGTGTTTCCAAACTGCTGAATGAAAAGAAAAGTTAAACTCTGAGAGTTGAACGCACACATCGCAGAGCAGTTTCTGAGAATGATTCTGTCTAGTTTTTATACGAAGATATTTCCTTTTCTGCCTTTGGCCTCAAAGCGCTTGAAATCTCCACTTGCAAATTCCACAAAAAGAGTGTTTCAAATCTGGTCTGTGTAAATGAAAGTTCAACTCTGTGAGTTGAACACACACAACACAAGGAAGTTACTGGGAATTCTTCTGTCTAGCCTTACATGAAAAAAACCCGTTTCCAACGAAGGCCTCAAAGAGGTCTGAATATCCACTTGCAGACTTTACAAACAGAGTGTTTCCTAACTGCTCTATGAAAAGAAAGGTTAAACTCTGTGAGTTGAACGCAGACATCACAAAGGAGTTTCTGAGAATCGTTCTGTCTTGTTTTTATACGAAGATATTTCCTTTTCTACCATTGACCTCAAAGCGGCTGAAATCTCCACTTGCAAATTACACAAAAAGAGTGTTTCAAGTCTACTCTGTGTAAAGCATCGTTCAACTCTGTGAGTTGAAAACACACAACAGAAGGAAGTTTCTGAGAATTCTTCTGTCTAGCAGAATATGAAGAAATCGCGTTTCCAACGAAGGCCACAAGATGTCAGAATATCCACTTACAGACTTTAGAAACAGAGAGTTTCCTAACTGCTCTATGAACAGAAAGGTTAAACTCTGTGAGTTGAACGAACACATCACAACGCAGTTTGTGGGAATGATTCTGTCTAGTTTTTATAGGAAGATATTTCCTTTTCTACCTTTGACTTCAAAGCGGCTGAAATCTCCACTTGCAAATTCCACAAAAAGAGTGTTACAAGTCTGCTCTGTGTAAAGGATCGTTCAGCTGTGTGAGTTGAATACACACAACACAAGGAAGTTACTGAGAATTCTTCTGTCTAGCCTTACATGAAAAAAACCCGTTTCCAACGAAGGCCTCTAAGTGGTCAAATTATCCACGTGCAGACTTTACAAACAGAGTGTTTCCAAACTGCTGAATGAAAAGAAAAGTTAAACTCTGAGAGTTGAACGCACACATCGCAGAGCAGTTTCTGAGAATGATTCTGTCTAGTTTTGAAACGAAGATATTACCTTTTCTGCCTTTGGCCCCAAAGCGCTTGAAATCTCCATTTGCAAATTCCACAAAAAGAGTGTTTCAAATCTGCTCTGTGTTAATGAACGTTCAACTCTGTGAGTTGAACACACACAACACAAGGAAGTTACTGGGAATTCTTCTGTCTAGCATAATATGAAGAAATCCCGTTTCCAACGAAGGCCTCAAGGAGGTCTGAATATCCACTTGCAGACTTTACAAACAGAGTGTTTCCTAACTGCTCTATGAAAAGAAAGGTTAAACTCTGTGAGTTGAACGCACACATCACAAAGGAATTTCTGAGAATCATTCTGTCTAGTTTCTATAGGAAAATATTTCCTATTCTACCATTGAACTCAAAGCGGCTGAAATCTCCACTTGCAAATTCCACAAAAAGAGTGTTTCAAGTCTGCTCTGTGTAAAGGATCGTTCAACTCTGTGAGTTGAATACACACAACACAAGGAAGTTACTGAGAATTCTTCTGTCTAGCAGAATATGAAGAAATCCCGTTTCCAATGAAGGCCTCAAGGAGGTCTGAATATCCACTTGCAGACATTTACAAACAGAGTGTTTCCTAACTGCTCTATGAAAAGAAAGGTTAAACTCTGTGAGTTGAACGAACACATCACAACGCAGTTTGTGGGAATGATTCTGTCTAGTTTTGAAACGAAGATATTTCCTTTTCTGCCATTGACCTTAAAGCGCTTGAAATCTCCACTTGCCAATTGCACAAAAAGAGTGTTTCAAATCTGCTCTGTCTAAGGGAACGTTCAACTCTGTGAGTTGAATGTACACAACACAAGGAAGTTACTGGGAATTCTTCTGTCTAGCATAATATGAAGAAATCCCGTTTCCAACGAAGGCCTCAAAGGGGTCTGAATATCCACTTGCAGACTTTACAAACAGAGTGTTTCCTAACTGCTCTATGAACAGAAAGGTTAAACTCTGTGAGTTGAACGCACACATCACTAAGGAGTTTCTGAGAATCATTCTGTCTAGTCTTTATACGAAGATATTTACTTTTCTACCATTGACCTCAAAGCGGCTGAAATCTCCACTTGCAAATTCCACAAAAAGAGTGTTTCAAGTCTGCTCTGTGTAAACGATCATTCAACTCTGTGAGTTGAATAAACACAACACAAGGAAGTTACTGAGAATTCTTCTGTCTAGCAGAATATGAAGAAATCCCGTTTCCAACGAAGGCCTCAAGGAGGTCTGAATATCCACTTGCAGACTTTACAAACAGAGTGTTTCCTAACTGCTCTATGAAAAGAAAGGTTAAACTCTGTGAGTTGAACGCACACATCACAAAGGAGTTTATGAGAATCATTCTGTCTAGTTTCTATAGGAAGATATTTCCTATTCTACCATTGACCTCAAAGCGGCTGAAATCTCCACTTGCAAATTCCAGAAAAAGAATGTTTCAAGTCTGCTCTGTGTAAAGGATCGTTCAACTCTGTGAGTTGAATACACACAACTCCACAAGGAAGTTACTGAGAATTCTTCTGTCTAGCAGAATATGAAGAAATCCCGTTTCCAACGAAGGCCACAAGATGTCAGAATATCCACTTACAGAATTTACAAACAGACTGTTTCCTAACTGCTCTATGAAAAGAAAGGTTAAACTCTGTGAGTTGAACGAACACATCACAACGCAGTTTGTGGGAATGATTCTGTCTAGTTTTGAAACGAAGATATTTCCTTTTCTGCCATTGACCTTAAAGCCCTTGAAATCTCCACTTGCCAATTGCACAAAAAGAGTGTTTCAAATCTGCTCTGTCTAAGGGAACGTTCAACTCTGTGAGTTCAATGTACACAACACAAGGAAGTTACTGGGAATTCTTCTGTCTAGCCTTACAGGAAAAAAACCCGTTTCCAACGAAGGCCTCTAAGTGGTCAAAATATCCACGTGCAGACTTTACAAACAGAGTGTTTCCAAACTGCTGAATGAAAAGAAAAGTTAAACTCTGAGAGTTGAACGCACACATTGCAGAGCAGCTTCTGAGAATGATTCTGTCTAGTTTTTATACGAAGATATTTCCTTTTCTGCCTTTGGCCTCAAAGCGCTTGAAATCTCCACTTGCAAATTCCACAAAAAGAGTGTTTCAAATCTGCTCTGTGTAAATCAAAGTTCAACTCTGTGAGTTGAACACACACAACACAAGGAAGTTACTGGGAATTCTTCTGTCTAGCACAGTATGGAGAAATCCCCTTTCCAACGAAGGCCTCAAAGAGGTCTGAATATCCACTTGCAGAGTTTACAAACAGAGTGTTTCCTAACTGCTCTATGAAAAGAAAGGTTAAACTCTGTGAGTTGAACGCACACATCACAATGAAGTTTCTGAGAATCATTCTGTCTAGTTTCTATAAGAAGATATTTCCTATTCTACCATTGACCTCAAAGCGGCTGAAATCTCCACTTGCAAATTCCAGAAAAAGAGTGTTTCAAGTCTGCTCTGTGTAAAGGATCGTTCAACTCTGTGAGTTGAATACACACAACACAAGGAAGTTACTGAGAATTCTTCTGTCTAGCAGAATATGAAGAAATCCCGTTTCCAACGAAGGCCACAAGATGTCAGAATATCCACTTACAGAATTTACAAACAGAGTGTTTCCTAACTGCTCTATGAAAAGAAAGGTTAAACTCTGTGAGATGAACGAACACATCACAACGCAGTTTGTGGGAATGATTCTGTCTAGTTTTGAAACGAAGATATTTCCTTTTCTGCCATTGACCTCAAAGCGCTTGAAATCTCCACTTGCCAAATGCACAAAAAGAGTGTTTCAAATCTGCTCTGTCTAAGGGAACGTTCAACTCTGTGAGTTGAATGTACACAACACAAGGAAGTTACTGGGAATTCTTCTGTCTAGCCTTACAGGAGAAAAACCCGTTTCCAACGAAGGCCTCTAAGTGGTCAAAATATCCACGTGCAGACTTTACAAACAGAGTGTTTCCAAACTGCTGAATGAAACGAAAAGTTAAACTCTGAGAGTTGAACGCACACATCGCAGAGCAGTTTCTGAGAATGATTCTGTCTAGTTTTTCTACGAAGATATTTCCTTTTCTACTATTGACCTGAAAGCGGCTGAAATCTCCACTTGCAAATTCCACAAAAAGAGTGTTTCAAGTCTTCTCTGTGTAAAGGATCGTTCAACTCTGTGAGTTGAATACACACAACACAAGGGAAGTTACTGAGAATTCTTCTCTCTAGCAGAATATGAAGAAATCCCCTTTCCAACGAAGGCCTCAAAGAGGTCTGAATATCAACTTGCAGACTTTACAAACAGAGTGTTTCCTAACTGCTCTATGAAAAGAAAGGTTAAACTCTGTGAGTTGAACGCACACATCACAAAGGAGTTTCTGAGAATCATTCTGTCTAGTCTTTATACGAAGATATATCCTTTTCTACCATTGACCTCAAAGCGGCTGAAATCTCCACTTGCGAATTCCACAAAAAGAGTGTTTCAAGTCTGCTCTCTGTAAAGGATCGTTCAACTCTGTGAGTTGAATACACACAACATAAGGAAGTTACTGAGAATTATTCTGTCTAGCATAATATGAAGAAATCCCGTTTCCAACGAAGGCCTCAAAGAGGTCTGAATATGCACTTGCAGACTTTACAGAGAGTTTCCTAACTGCTCTATGAAAAGAAAAGTTAAACTCTGTGAGTTGAACGCACACATCACAAAGGAGTTTCTGAGAATCATTCTGTCTAGTTTTGAAACGAAGATATTTCCTTTTCTGCCATTGACCTTAAAGCGCTTGAAATCTACACTTGCAAATTGCACAAATAGAGTGTTTCAAATCTGCTCTGTCTAAGGGAACGTTCAACTCTGTGAGTTGAATGCACACAACACAAGGAAGTTACTGGGAATTCTTCTGTCTAGCCTTACATGAAAAAAACCCGTTTCCAACGAAGGCCTCTAAGTGGTCAAAATATCCACGTGCAGACTTTACAAACAGAGTGTTTCCAAACCGCTGAATGAAAAGAAAAGTTAAACTCCGAGAGTTGAACGCACACATCACGCAGCAGTTTCTGAGAATGATTCTGTCTAGTTTTTATACGAAGATATTTCCTTTTCTGCCTTTGGCCTCAAAGCGCTTGAAATCTCCACTTGCAAATTCCACAAAAAGAGTGTTTCAAATCTGCTCTGTGTAAATGAAAGTTCAACTCTATGAGTTGAACACACACAACACAAGGAAGTTACTGGGAATTCTTCTGTCTAGCATAATAGGAAGAAATCCCGTTTCCAACGAAGGCCTCAAGGAGGTCTGAATATCCACTTGCAGACTTTACAAACAGAGTGTTTCCTAACTGCTCTATGAAAAGAAAGGTTAAACTCTGTGAGTTGAACGCACACATCACAAAGGAGTTTCTGAGAATCATTCTGTCTAGTTTCTATACGAAGACATTTCATTTTCTACCATTAACCTCAAAGCGGCTGAAATCTCCACTTGCAAATTCCACATAAAGAGTGTTTCAAGTCTGCTTTGTGTAAATGATCGTTCAACTCTGTGAGTTGAATACACACAACACAAGGAAGTTACTGAGAATTCTTCTGTCTAGCAGAATATGAAGAAATCCCGTTTCCAACGAAGGCCACAAGACGTCAGAATATCCACTTACAGACTTTACAAACAGAGTGTTTCCTAACTGCTCTATGAACAGAAAGGTTAAACTCTGTGAGTTGAACGAACACATCACAACGCAGTTTCTGGGAATGATTCTGTCTAGTTTTGAAACGAAGATATTTCCTTTTCTGCCATTGACCTTAAAGCGCTTGAAATCTACACTTGCAAATTGCACAAATAGAGTGTTTCAAATCTGCTCTGTCTAAGGGAACGTTCAACTCTGTGAGTTGAATGCACACAACACAAGGAAGTTACTGGGAATTCTTCTGTCTAGCCTTACATGAAAAAATCCCGTTTCCAACGAAGGCCTCTAAGTGGTCAAAATATCCACGTGCAGACTTTACAAACAGAGTGTTTCCAAACCGCTGAATGAAAAGAAAAGTTAAACTCTGAGAGTTGAAGGCACACGTCACGCAGCAGTTTCTGAGAATGATTCTGTCTAGTTTTTATACGAAGATATTTCCTTTTCTGCCTTTCGCCTCAAAGCGCTTGAAATCTCCACTTGCAAATTCCACAAAAAGAGTGTTTCAAATCTGCTCTGTGTAAATGAAAGTTCAACTCTGTGAGTTGAACACACACAACACAAGGAAGTTACTGGGAATTCTTCTGTCTAGCAGAATATGAAGAAATCCCATTTCCAACGAAGGCCTCAAGGAGGTCTGAATATCCACTTGCAGACTTTACAAACAGAGTGTTTCCTAACTGCTCTACGGAAAGAAAGGTTAAACTCTGTGAGTTGAACACACACATCACAAAGGAGTTTCTGAGAATCATTCTGTCTAGTTTTTATATGAAGATATTTCCTTTTCTACCATTGACCTCAAAGCGGCTGAAATCTCCACTTACAAATTCCACAAAAAGAGTGTCTCAAGTCTGCTCTGTGTAAACGATCGTTCAACTCTGTGAGTTGAATACACACAACACAAGGAAGTTTCTGAGAATTCTTCTGTCTAGCAGAATATGAAGAAAACCCGTTTCCATCGAAGGCCACAAGATGTCAGAATATCCACTTACAGAATTGACAAACAGACTGTTTCCTAACTGCTCTATGAAAAGAAAGGTTAAACTCTGTGAGTTGAACGAACACATCACAACGCAGTTTGTGGGAATGATTCTGTCTAGTTTTGAAACGAAGATATTTCCTTTTCTGCCATTGACCTTAAAGCGCTTGAAATCTCCACTTGCCAATTGCACAAAAAGAGTGTTTCAAATCTGCTCTGTCTAAGGGAACGTTCAACTCTGTGAGTTGAATGTACACAACACAAGGAAGTTACTGGGAATTCTTCTGTCTAGCCTTACAGGAAAAAAACCCGTTTCCAACGAAGGCCTCTAAGTGGTCAAAATATCCACGTGCAGACTTTACAAACAGAGTGTTTCCAAACTGCTGAATGAAAAGAAAAGTTAAACTCTGAGAGTTGAACGCACACATCGCAGAGCAGTTTCTGAGAATGATTCTGTCTAGTTTTTATACGAAGATATTTCCTTTTCTGCCTTTGGACTCAAAGCGCTTGAAATCTCCATTTGCAAATTCCACAAAAAGAGTGTTTCAAATCTGCTCTGTGTAAATGAAAGTTCAACTCTGTGAGTCGAACACACACAACACAAGGAAGTTACTGGGAATTCTTCTGTCTAGCACAGTATGGAGAAATCCCGTTTCCAACGAAGGCCTCAAAGAGGTCTGAATATCCACTTGCAGAGTTTACAAACAGAGTGTTTCCTAACTGCTCTATGAACAGAAAGGTTAAACTCTGTGAGTTGAACGCACACATCACAAAGAAGTTTCTGAGAATCATTCTGTCTAGTTTCTATAGGAAGATATTTCCTATTTTACCATTGACCTCAAAGCGGCTGAAATCTCCACTTGCAAATTCCACAAAAAGAGTGTTTCAAGTCTGCTCTGTGTAAAGGATCGTTCAACTCTGTGAGTTGAAAACACACAACACAAGGAAGTTTCTGAGAATTCTTCTGTCTAGCAGAATATGAAGAAATCCCGTTTCCAACGAAGGCCTCAAGGAGGTCTGAATATCCACTTGCAGACTTTACAAACAGAGTGTTTCCTAACTGCTCTATGAACAGAAAGGTTAAAGTCTGTGAGTTGAACGAACACATCACAACGCAGTTTGTGGGAATGATTCTGTCTAGTTTTGAAACGAAGATATTTCCTTTTCTGCCATTGACCTTAAAGCGCTTGAAATCTACACTTGCAAATTGCACAAATAGAGTGTTTCAAATCCTGCTCTGTCTAAGGGAACGTTCAACTCTGTGAGTTGAATGCACACAACACAAGGAAGTTACTGGGAATTCTTCTGTCTAGCCTTACATGAAAAAAACCCGTTTCCAACGAAGGCCTCTAAGTGGTCAAGTTATCCACGTGCAGACTTTACAAACAGAGTGTTTCCAAACTGCTGAATGAAAAGAAATGTTAAACTCTGAGAGTTGAACGCACACATCGCAGAGCAGTTTCTGAGAATGATTCTGTCTAGTTTTTATACGAAGATATTTCCTTTTCTACCATTGACCTCAAAGCGCCTGAAATCTCCACTTGCAAATTCCAGAAAAAGAGTGTTTCAAGTCTACTCTGTGTAAAGCATCGTTCAACTCTGTGAGTTGAATACACACAACACAAGGAAGTTTCTGAGAATTCTTCTGTCTAGCCTTATATGAAAAAAACCCGTTTCCAACAAAGGCCTCAAAGAGGTCTGAATATCCTCTTGCAGACTTTACAAACAGAGTGATTCCTAACTGCTCTATGAAAAGAAAGGTTAAACTCTGTGAGTTGAACACACACATCTCAAAGGAGTTTCTGAGAATCATTCTGTCTAGTCTTTATACGAAGATATTTCCTTTTCTACCATTGACCTCAAAGCGGCTGAAATCTCCACTTGCAAATTCCACAAAAAGAGTGCTTAAAGTCTGCTCTCTGTAAAGGATCGTTCAACTCTGTGAGTTGAATACACACAACACAAGGAAGTTACTGAGAATTCTTCTGTCTAGCAGAATATGAAGAAATCCCGTTTCCAACGAAGGCCACAAGATGTCAGAATATCCACTTACAGAATTTACAAACAGACTGTTTCCTAACTGCTCTACGAAAAGAAAGGTTAAACTCTGTGAGATGAACGAACACATCACAACGCAGTTTGTGGGAATGATTCTGTCTAGTTTTGAAAGGAAGATATTTCCTTTTCTGCCATTGACCTTAAAGCGCTTGAAATCTCCACTTGCCAATTGCACAAAAAGAGTGTTTCAAATCTGCTCTGTCTAAGGGAACGTTCAACTCTGTGAGTTGAATGTACACAACACAAGGAAGTTACTGTGAATTCTTCTTTTTAGCCTTACAGGAAAAAAACCCGTTTCCAACGAAGGCCTCTAAGTGGTCAAAATATCCACGTGCAGACTTTACAAACAGAGTGTTTCCAAACTGCTGAATGAAAAGAAAAGTTAAACTCTGAGAGTTGAACGCACACATCGCAGAGCAGTTTCTGAGAATGATTCTGTCTAGTCTTTATACGAAGATATTTACTTTTCTATCATTGACCTCAAAGCGGCTGAAATCGCCACTTGCAAATTCCACAAAAAGAGTGTTTCAAGTCTGCTCTGTGTAAAGGATCATTCAACTCTGTGAGTTGAATAAACACAACACAAGGAAGTTACTGAGAATTCTTCTGTCTAGCAGAATATGAAGAAATCCCGTTTCCAACGAAGGCCTCAAGGAGGTCTGAATATCCACTTGCAGACTTTTCAAACAGAGTGTTTCCTAACTGCTCTATGAAAAGAAAGGTTAAACTCTGTGAGTTGAACGCACACATCACAAAGGAGTTTATGAGAATCATTCTGTCTAGTTTCTATAGGAAGATATTTTCTATTCTACCATTGAACTCAAAGCGGCTGAAATCTCCACATGCAAATTCCACAAAAAGAGTGTTTCAAGTCTGCTCTGTGTAAAGGATCGTTCAACTCTGTGAGTTGAATACACACAACACAAGGAAGTTACTGAGAATTCTTCTGTCTAGCAGAATATGAAGAAATCCCGTTTCCAACGAAGGCCACAAGATGTCAGAATATCCACTTTCAGACTTTACAAACAGAGTGTTTCCTAACTGCTCTATGAACAGAAAGGTTAAACTCTGTGAGTTGAACGAACACATCACAACGCAGTTTGTGGGAATGATTCTGTCTAGTTTTGAAACGAAGATATTTCCTTTTCTGCCATTGACCTTAAAGCGCTTGAAATCTCCATTTGCCAATTGCACAAAAAGAGTGTTTCAAATCTGCTCTGTCTAAGGGAACGTTCAACTCTGTGAGTTGAATGTACACAACACAAGGAAGTTACTGGGAATTCTTCTGTCTAGCCTTACATGAAAAAATCCCGTTTCCAACGAAGGCCTCTAAGTGGTCAAAATTTCCACGTGCAGACTTTACAAACAGAGTGTTTCCAAACCGCTGAATGAAAAGAAAAGTTAAACTCTGAGAGTTGAACGCACACATCACGCAGCAGTTTCTGAGAATGATTCTGTCTAGTTTTTATACGAAGATATTTCCTTTTCTGCCTTTGGCCCCGAAGCGCTTGAAATCTCCACTTGCAAATTCCACAAAAAGAGTGTTTCAAGTCTGCTCTGTGTAAAGGATCGTTCAACTCTGTCAGTTGAATACACACAACACAAGGAAGTTACTGAGAATTCTTGTGTCTAGCAGAACATGAAGAAATCCCGTTTCCAACGAAGGCCTCAAAGGTGTCTGAATATCCACTTGCAGACTTTACAAACAGAGTGTTTCCTAACTGCTCTATGAAAAGAAAGGTTAAGCTCTGTGAGTTGAACGCACACATCACAAAGGATTTTCTGAGAATCATTCTGTCTAGTCTTTATACGAAAATATTTCCTTTTCTACCATTGACCTCAAAGCGGCTGAAATCTCCACTTGCAAATTCCACAAAAAGAGTGTTTCAAGTCGGCTCTCTGTAAAGGATCGTTCAACTCTGTGAGTTGAATACACACAACACAAGGAAGTTACTGAGAAGTATTCTGTCTAGCATAATATGAAGAAATCCCTTTTCCAACGAAGAGTTCAAAGAGGTCTGAATATCCACTTGCAGACTTTACAAACAGAGTGTTTCCTAACTGCTCTATGAAAAGAAAAGTTAAACTCTGTGAGTTGAACGCACACATCACAAAGGAGTTTCTGAGAATCATTCTGTCTAGTTTTGAAACGAAGATATTTCCTTTTCTGCCGTTGACCTTAAAGCGCTTGAAATCTACACTTGCAAATTGCACAAATAGAGTGTTTCAAATCTGCTCTGTCTAAGGGAACGTTCAACTCTGTGAGTTGAATGCACACAACACAAGGAAGTTACTGGGAATTCTTCTGTCTATCCTTACATGAAAAAAACCCGTTTCCAACGAAGGCCTCTAAGTGGTCAAAATTTCCACGTGCAGACTTTACAAACAGAGTGTTTCCAAACCGCTGAATGAAAAGAAAAGTTAAACTCTGAGAGTTGAACGCACACATCACGCAGCAGTTTCTGAGAATGATTCTGTCTAGTTTTGAAACGAAGATATTTCCTTTTCTGCCTTTGGCCTCAAAGCGCTTGAAATATCCACTTGCAAATTCCACAAAAAGAGTGTTTCAAATCTGCTCTGTGTAAATGAAAGTTCAACTCTGTGAGTTGAACACACACAACACAAGGAAGTTACTGGGAATTCTTCTGTCTAGCCTTATATGAAAAAAACCCAGTTTCCAACGAAGGCCTCAAAGAGGTCTGAATATCCACTTGCAGACTTTACAAACAGAGTGTTTCCTAACTGCTCTATGAAAAGAAAGGTTAAACTCTGTGAGTTGAACGCACACATCACAAAGGAGTTTCTGAGAATCATTCTGTCTACTTTCTATAGGAAGATATTTCCTATTCTACCATTGACCTCAAAGCGGCTGAAATCTCCACTTGCAAATTCCACAAAAGGAGTGTTTCAAGTCTGCTCTGTGTAAAGGATCGTTCAACTCTGTGAGTTGAATACACACAACACAAGGAAGTTACTGAGAATTCTTCTGTCTAGCATAATATGAAGAAATCCCGTTTCCAATGAAGGCCTCAAGGAGGTCTGAATATCCACTTGCAGACTTTACAAACAGAGTGTTTCCTAACTGCTCTATGAAAAGAAAGGTTAAACTGTGTGAGTTGAACGCACACATCACAAAGGAGTTTCTGAGAATCATTCTGTCTAGTTTTGAAAGGAAGATATTTCCTTTTCAGCCGTTGACCTTAAAGCGCTTGAAATCTACACTTGCAAATTGCAAAAATAGGCTGTTTCAAATCTGCTCTGTCTAAGGGAACGTTCAACTCTGTGAGTTGAATGCACACAACACAAGGAAGTTACTGAGAATTCTTCTGTCTAGCCTTACATGCAAAAAACCCGTTTCCAACGAAGGCCTCTAAGTGGTCAAAATATCCACGTGCAGACATTACAAACAGAGTGTTTCCAAACCGCTGAATGAAAAGAAAAGTTAAACTCTGA
This sequence comes from Homo sapiens, assembly GCF_000001405.40. Lineage (NCBI taxonomy): Eukaryota > Metazoa > Chordata > Mammalia > Primates > Hominidae > Homo > Homo sapiens. The sequence continues at coordinate 124,676,548 of NC_000001.11, read as the reverse complement.
GAGTTGAACGCACACATCACGCAGCAGTTTCTAAGAATGATTCTGTCTAGTTTTTATACGAAGATATTTCGTTTTCTGCCTTTGGCCCGAAAGCGCTTGAAATCTCCACTTGCAAATTCCACAAAAACAGTGTTTCAAATCTGCTCTCTCTAAATGAAAGTTCAACTCTGTCAGTTGAATACACACAACACAAGGAAGTTACTGAGAATTCTTCTGTCTAGCATAATATGAAGAAATCCCGTTTCCAACGAAGGCCTCAAAGAGGTCTTAATATCCACTTGCAGACTTTACAAACAGAGTGTTTCCTAACTGCTCTATGAGAAGAAAAGTTAAACTCTGTGAGTTGAACGCACACATCACAAAAGATTTTCTGAGAATCATTCTGTGTAGTTTTTCTACGAAGATATTTCCTTTTCTACTATTGACCTCAAAGCGGCTGAAATCTCCACTTGCAAATTCCACAAAAAGAGTGTTTCAAGTCTGCTCTGTGTAAAGGATCGTGCAACTCTGTGAGTTGAATACACACAACACAAGGAAGTTACTGAGAATTCTTCTGTCTAGCAGAATATGAAGAAATCCCGTTTCCAACGAATGCCACAAGATGTCAGAATATCCACTTACAGAATTTACAAACAGACTGTTTCCTAACTGCTCTATGAAAAGAAAGGTTAAACTCTGTGAGTTGAACGAACACATCACAACGCAGTTTGTGGGAATGATTCTGTCTAGTTTTGAAACGAAGATATTTCCTTTTCTGCCATTGACCTTAAAGCGCTTGAAATCTCCACTTGCCAATTGCACAAAAAGAGTGTTTCAAATCTGCTCTGTCTAAAGGAACGTTCAACTCTGTGAGTTGAATGTACACAACACAAGGAAGTTACTGGGAATTCTTCTGTCTAGCCTTACATGAAAAAATTCCGTTTCCAACGAAGGCCTCTAAGTGGTCAAAATATCCACGTGCAGACTTTACAAACAGAGTGTTTCCAAACCGCTGAATGAAAAGAAAAGTTAAACTCTGAGAGTTGAACGCACACATCACGCAGCAGTTTCTGAGAATGATTCTGTCTAGTTTTGAAACGAAGACATTTCCTTTTCTGCCTTTGGCCTCAAAGCCCTTGAAATCTCCACTTGCAAATTCCACAAAAAGAGGGTTTCAAATCTGCTCTGTGTAAATGAAAGTTCAACTCTGTGAGTTGAACACACACAACACAAGGAAGTTACTGGGAATTCTTCTGTCTAGCATAATATGAAGAAATCCCGTTTCCAACGAAGGCCTCAAAGGGGTCTGAATATCCACTTGCAGACTTTATAAACAGAGTATTTACTAACTGCTCTATGAAAAGAAAGGTTAAACTTCGTGAGTTGAACACACACATCACAAAGGAGTTTCTGAGAATCATTCTGTCTAGTTTTTCTACGAAGATATTTCCTTTTCTACTATTGACCTCAAAGCGGCTGAAATCTCCACTTGCAAATTCCACAAAAAGAGTGTTTCAAGTCTGCTCTGTGTAAAGGATCGTTCAACTCTGCGAGTTCAATACACACAACACAAGGTAAGTTACTGAGAATTCTTCTGTCTAGCAGAATATGAAGAAATCCCGTTTCCAACGAAGGCCACAAGATGTCAGAATATCCACTTACAGAATTGACAAACAGACTGTTTCCTAACTGCTCTATGAAAAGAAAGGTTAAACTCTGTGAGATGAACGAACACATCACAACGCAGTTTGTGGGAATGATTCTGTCTAGTTTTGAAACGAAGATATTTCCTTTTCTGCCATTGAACTTAAAGCGCTTGAAATCTCCACTTGCCAATTGCACAAAAAGAGTGTTTCAAATCTGCTCTGTCTAAGGGAACGTTCAACTCTGTGAGTTGAACGTACACAACACAAGGAAAGTTACTGGGAATTCTTCTGTCTAGCCTTACATGAAAAAAACCCGTTTCCAACGAAAGCCTCAAAGAAGTCCAAATATCCACATGCAGACTTTACAAACAGAGTGTTTCCCAACTGCTCTATGAAAAGAAAGGTTAAACACTGTGAGTTGAACGCCCACATCACAAAGGAGTTTCTGAGAATCATTCTGTCTAGTCTTTATAGGAAGATATTTACTTTTCTACCATTGACCTCAAAGCGGCTGAAATCTCCACTTGCAAATTCCACAAAAAGAGTGTTTCAAGTCTGCTCTCTGTAAAGGATCATTCAACTCTGTGAGTTGAATAAACACAACACAAGGAAGTTACTGAGAATTCTTCTGTCTGGCAGAATATGAAGAAATCCCGTTTCCAACGAAGACCTCAAGGAGGTCTGAATATCCACTTGCAGACTTTAGAGAGTGTTTCCTAACTGCTCTATGAAAAGAAAGGTTAAACTCTGTGAGTTGAACGCACACATCACAAAGGAGTTTCTGAGAATCATTCTGTCTAGTCTTTATATGAAGATAGTTTCCTTTTCTACCATTGACCTCAAAGCGGCTGAAATCTCCACTTGCAAATTCCACAAAAAGAGTGTTTCAAGTCTGCTCTGTGTAAAGGATCATTCAACTCTGTGAGTTGAATACACACAACACAAGGAAGTTACTGAGAATTCTTCTGTCTAGCAAAATATGAAGAAATCCCGTTTCCAACGAAGGCCACAAGATGTCAGAATATCCACTTACAGAATTTACAAACAGACTGTTTCCTAACTGCTCTATGAAAAGAAAGTTTAAACTCTGTGAGTTGAACGAACACATCACAACGCAGTTTGTGGGAATGATTCTGTCTAGTTTTGAAACGAAGATATTTCCTTTTCTGCCATTGACCTTAAAGTGCTTGAAATCTCCACTTGCCAATTGCACAAAAAGAGTGTTTCAAATCTGCTCTGTCTAAGGGAACGTTCAACTCTGTGAGTTGAATGTACACAACACAAGGAAGTTACTGGGAATTCTTCTGTCTAGCCTTACATGAAAAAAACCCGTTTCCAACGAAGGCCTCTAAGTGGTCAAAATTTCCACGTGCAGACTTTACAAACAGAGTGTTTCCAAACCGCTGAATGAAAAGAAAAGTTAAACTCTGAGAGTTGAACGCACACATCACGCAGCAGTTTCTGAGAATGATTCTGTCTACTTTCTATAGGAAGATATTTCCTATTCTACCATTGACCTCAAAGAGGCTGAAATCTCCACTTGCAAATTCCACAAAAAGAGTGTTTCAAGTCTGCTCTGTGTAAAGGATCGTTCAACTCTGTGAGTTGAATACACACAACACAAGGAAGTTACTGAGAATTCTTCTTTCTAGCAGAATATGAAGAAATCCCGTTTCCAACGAAAGCCTCAAGGATGTCTGAATATCCACTTGCAGACTTTACAAACAGAGTGTTTCCTAACTGCTCTATGAAAAGAAAGGTTAAACTCTGTGAGTTGAACGCACACATCACAAAGGAGTTTCTGAGAATCATTCTGTCTAGTTTCTATAGGAAGATATTTCCTATTCTACCATTGAACTCAAAGCGGCTGAAATCTCCACTTGCAAATTCCACAAAAGGAGTGTTTCAAGTCTGCTCTGTGTAAAGGATCGTTCAACTCTGTGAGTTGAAAACACACAACACAAGGAAGTTTCTGAGAATTCTTCTGTCTAGCAGAATATGAAGAAATCCCGTTTCCAACGAAGGCCTCAAGGAGGTCTGAATATCCACTTGCAGACTTTACAAACAGAGTGTTTCCTAACTGCTGTATGAACAGAAAGGTTAAACTCTGTGAGTTGAACGCACACATCACAAAGGAGTTTCTGAGAATCATTCTGTCTAGTTTTGAAACGAAGATATTTCCTTTTCTGCCATTGACCTTAAAGCGCTTGAAATCTACAGTTGCAAATTCCACAAAAAGAGTGTTTCAAGTCTGCTCTGTGTAAAGGATCGTTCAACTCTGTGAGTTGAATACACACAACACAAGGAAGTTACTGAGAATTCTTCTGTCTAGCCTTACATGAAAAAAACCCGTTTCCAACGAAGGCCTCTAAGTGGTCAAAATATCCACGTGCAGGCTTTACAAACGAGAGTGTTTCCAAACCGCTGAATGAAAAGAAAAGTTAAACTCTGAGAGTTGAACGCACACATCACGCAGCAGTTTCTGAGAATGATTCTGTCTAGTTTCTATAGGAAGATATTTCCTATTCTACCATTGACCTCAAAGCGGCTGAAATCTCCACTTGCAAATTCCACAAAAAGAATGTTTCAAGTCTGCTCTGTGTAAAGGATCGTTCAACTCTGTGAGTTCAATACACACAACACAAGGAAGTTACTGAGAATTCTTCTGTCTAGCATAATATGAAGAAATCCCGTTTCCAACGAAGGCCTCAAAGAGGTCTGAATATCCACTTGCAGACTTTACAAACAGAGTGTTTCCTAACGGCTCTATGAAAAGAAAAGTTAAACTCTGTGAGTTGAACGCACACATCACAAAGGAGTTTCTGAGAATCATTCTGTCTAGTTTTTCTACGAAGATATTTCCTTTTCTACTATTGACCTGAAAGCGGCTGAAATCTCCACTTGCAAATTCCACAAAAAGAGTGTTTCAAGTCTGCTCTGTGTAAAGGATCGTTCAACTCTGTGAGTTGAATACACACAACACAAGGAAGTTACTGAGAATTCTTCTGTCTAGCAGAATATTGAAGAAATCCCGTTTCCAACGAAGGCCTCAAGGAGGTCTGAATATCCACTTGCAGACTATACAAACAGAGTGTTTCCTAACTGCTCTATGAACAGAAAGGTTAAACTCTGTGAGTTGAACGCACACATCACAAAGGAGTTTCTGAGAATCATTCTGTCTAGTCTTTATACGAAGATATTTACTTTTCTACCATTGACCTCAAAGCGGCTGAAATCTCCACTTGCAAATTCCACAAAAAGAGTGTTTCAAGTCTGCTCTGTGTAAAGGATCATTCAACTCTGTGAGTTGCATACACACAACACAAGGAAGTTACTGAGAATTCTTCTTTCTAGCAGAATATGAAGAAATCCCGTTTCCAACGAAAGCCTCAAGGATGTCTGAATATCCACTTGCAGACTTTACAAACAGAGTGTTTCCCAACTGCTCTATGAAAAGAAAGGTTAAACTCTGTGAGTTGAACGCACACATCACAAAGGAGTTTCTTAGAATCATTCTGTCTAGTTTTTATACGAAGATATTTCCTTTTCTACCTTTGACCTCAAAGCGGCTGAAATCTCCACCCTGCCAATTCCACAAAAAGAGTGTTTCAAGTCTACTCTGTGTAAATGATCGTTGAACTCTGTGAGTTGAAAACACACAACACATCGAAGTTTCTGAGAATTCTTCTGCCTAGCAGAATATGAAGAAATCCCGTTTCCAACGAAAGCCTCAAAGATGTCTGAATATCCACTTGCAGACTTTACAAACAGAGTGTTTCCTAACTGCTCTATGAAAAGAAAGGTTAAACTCTGTGAGTTGAACGCACACATCACAAAGGAGTTTCTGAGAATCATTCTGTCTAGTTTCTATAGGAAGATATTCCCTATTCTACCATTGACCTCAAAGCGGATGAAATCTCCACTTGCAAATTCCACAAAAAGAGTGTTTCAAGACTGTTCTGTGTAAAGGATCATTCAACTCTGTGAGTTGAATACACACAACACAAGGAAGTTACTGAGAATTCTTCTGTCTAGCAGAATATGAAGAAATCCCGTTTCCAACGAAGGCCACAAGATGTCAGAATATCCACTTACAGACTTTACAAACAGAGTGTTTCCTAACTGCTCTATGAACAGAAAGGTTAAACTCTGTGAGTTGAACGAACACATCACAACGCAGTTTTGTGGGAATGATTCTGTCTAGTTTTGAAACGAAGATATTTCCTTTTCTGCCATTGACCTCAAAGCGCTTGAAATCTCCACTTGCCAATTGCACAAAAATAGTGTTTCAAATCTGCTCTGTCTAAGGGAACGTTCAACTCTGTGAGTTGAATGTACACAACACAAGGAAGTTACTGGGAATTCTTCTGTCTAGCCTTATATGAAAAAAACCCGTTTCCAACGAAGGCCTCTAAGTGGTCAAAATATCCACTTGCAGACTTTACAAGGAGAGTGTTTCCTAACTGCTCTATGAAAAGAAAGGTTAAACTCTGTGAGTTGAACGCACACATCACAAAGGAGTTTCTGAGAATCATTCTGTCTAGTTTTTATACGAAGATATTTCCTTTTCTGCCTTTGGCCCCAAAGCGCTTGAAATCTCCACTTGCAAATTCCACAAAAACAGTGTTTCAAATCTGCTCTCTCTAAATGAAAGTTCAACTCTGTCAGTTGAATGCACACAACACAAGGAAGTTACTGAGAATTCTTCTGTCTAGCAGAATATGAAGAAATCCCGTTTCCAAAGAAGGCCTCAAAGGGGTCTGAATATCCACTTGCAGACTTTACAAACAGAGTGTTTACTAACTGCTCTATGAAAAGAAAGGTTAAACTCTGTGAGTTGAACGCACACATCACAAAGGAGTTTCTGAGAATCATTCTGTCTAGTTTTTATATGAAGATATTTCCTTTTCTACCATTGACCTCATAGCGGCTGAAATCTCCACTTACAAATTACACAAACAGAGTGTCTCAAGTCTGCTCTGTGTAAACGATCGTTCAACTCTGTGAGTTCAATACACACAACACAAGGAAGTTTCTGAGAATTCTTCTGTCTAGCAGAATATGAAGAAATCCCGTTTCCAACGAAGGCCACAAGATGTCAGAATATCCACTTACAGACTTTACAAACAGAGTGTTTCCTAACTGCTCTATGAACAGAAAGGTTAAACTCTGTGAGTTGAACGAACACATCACAACGCAGTTTGTGGGAATGATTCTGTCTAGTTTTGAAACGAAGATATTTCCTTTTCTGCCATTGACCTTAAAGCGCTTGAAATCTACACTTGCCAATTGCACAAATAGAGTGTTTCAAATCTGCTCTGTCTAAGGGAACGTTCAACTCTGTGAGTTGAATGCACACAACACAAGGAAGTTACTGGGAATTCTTCTGTCTAGCCTTACATGAAAAAAAACCCGTTTCCAACGAAGGCCTCTAAGTGGTCAAATTATCCACGTGCAGACTTTACAAACAGAGTGTTTCCAAACTGCTGAATGAAAAGAAAAGTTAAACTCTGAGAGTTGAACGCACACATCGGAGAGCAGTTTCTGAGAATGATTCTGTCTAGTTTTTATACGAAGATATTTCCTTTTCTGCCTTTGGCACCAAAGCGCTTGAAATCTCCACTTGCAAATTCCACAAAAACAGTGTTTCAAATCTGCTCTCTCTAAATGATAGTTCAACTCTGTCAGTTGAATACACACAACACAAGGAAGTTACTGAGAATTCTTCTGTCTAGCATAATATGAAGAAATCCCGTTTCCAACGAAGGCCTCAAGGAGGTCTGAATATCCACTTGCAGACTTTACAAACAGAGTGTTTCCTAACTGCTCTATGAAAAGAAAGGTTAAACTGTGTGAGTTGAACGCACACATCACAAAGGAGTTTCTCAGAATCATTCTGTCTAGTTTTTATACGAAGATATTTCATTTTCTACCATTGACCTCAAAGCGGCTGAAATCTCCACTTGCAAATTCCACAAAAAGAGTGTTTCAAATCTGCTCTGTGTAAACCATCGTTCAACTCTGTGAGTTGAATACACACAACACAAGGAAGATTCTGAGAATTCTTCTGTCTAGCAGAATATGAAGAAATCCCGTTCCCAACGAAGGCCACAAGATGTCAGAATATCCACTTTCAGACTTTACAAACAGAGTGTTTCCTAACTGCTCTATGAACAGAAAGGTTAAACTCTGTGAGTTGAACGAACACATCACAACGCAGTTTGTGGGAATGATTCTGTCTAGTTTTGAAACGAAGATATTTCCTTTTCTGCCATTGACCTTAAAGCGCTTGAAATCTACACTTGCAAATTGCACAAATAGAGTGTTTCAAATCTGCTCTGTCTAAGGGAACGTTCAACTCTGTGAGTTGAATGCACACAACACAAGGAAGTTACTGGGAATTCTTCTGTCTAGCCTTACATGAAAAAAACCCTTTTCCAACGAAGGCTTCTAAGTGGTCAAAATATCCACGTGCAGACTTTACAAACAGAGTGTTTCCAAACCGCTGAATGAAAAGAAAAGTTAAACTCTGACAGTTGAACGCACACATCATGCAGCAGTTTCTGAGAATGATTCTGTCTAGCTTTGAAACGAAGATATTTCCTTTTCTGCCTTTGGCCTCAAAGCGCTTGAAATCTCCACTTGCAAATTCCACAAAAAGAGTGTTTCAAATCTGCTCTGTGTAAATGAAAGTTCAACTCTGTGAGTTGAACACACACAACACAAGGAAGTTACTGGGAATTCTTCTGTCTAGCCTTATATGAAAAAAACCCGTTTCCAACGAAGGCCTCAAGGAGGTCTGAATATCCACTTGCAGACTTTACAAACAGAGTGTTTCCTAACTGCTCTATGAAAAGAAAGGTTAAACTCTGTGAGTTGAACGCACACATCACAAAGGAGTTTCTGAGAATCATTCTGTCTACTTTCTATAGGAAGATATTTCCTATTCTACCATTGACCTCAAAGCGGCTGAGATCACCACTTGCAAATTCCACAAAAAGAGTGTTTCAAGTCAGCTCTCTGTAAAGGATCGTTCAACTCTCTGAGTTGAATACACACAACACAAGGAAGTTACTGAGAATTATTCTGTCTAGCAGAATATGAAGAATTCCCGTTTCCAACGAAGGCCACAAGATGTCAGAATATCCACTTACAGAATTTACAAACAGAGTGTTTCCTAACTGCACTATGAAAAGAAAGGTTAAACTCTGTGAGATGAACGAACACATCACAACGCAGTTTGTGGGAATGATTCTGTCTAGTTTTGAAACGAAGATATTTCCTTTTCTGCCATTGACCTTAAAGCGCTTGAAATCTCCACTTGCCAATTGCACAAAAAGTGTGTTTCAAATCTGCTCTGTCTAAGGGAACGTTCAACTCTGTGAGTTGAATGTACACAACACAAGGAAGTTACTGGGAATTCTACTGTCTAGCCTTACAGGAAAAAAACCCGTTTCCAACGAAGGCCTCTAAGTGGTCAAAATATCCACGTGCAGACTTTACAAACAGAGTGTTTCCAAACTGCTGAATGAAAAGAAAAGTTAAACTCTGAGAGTTGAACGCACACATCGCAGAGCAGTTTCTGAGAATGATTCTCTGTCTAGTTTTTATCCGAAGATATTTCCTTTTCTGCCTTTGGCCCCAAAGCGCTTGAAATCTCCACTTGCAAATTCCACAAAAACAGTGTTGCAAATCTGCTCTCTCTAAATGAAAGTTCAACTCTGTCAGTTGAATACACACAACACAAGGAAGTTTCTGAGAATTCTTCTGTCTAGCAGAATATGAAGAAATCCCGCTTCCAACGAAGGCCTCAAAGAAGTCTGAATATCCACTTGCAGACTTTACAAACAGAGTGTTTCCCAACTGCTCTATGAAAAGAAAGGTTCAACTCTGTGAGTTGAACGCACACATCACAAAGGAGTTTCTGAGAATCATTCTGTCTAGTCTTTATATGAAGATAGTCTCCTTTTCTACCATTGACCTCAAAGCGGATGAAATCTCCACTTGCAAATTCCACAAAAAGAGTGTTTCAAGTCTGCTCTGTGTAAAGGATCGTTCAACTCTGTGAGTTGAATACACACAACACAAGGAAGTTACTGAGAATTCTTCTGTCTAACAGAATATGAAGAAGTCCCGTTTCCACCGAAGACCTCAAGTAGGTCTGAATATCCACTTGCAGAATTTACAAACAGAGTGTTTCCTAACTGCTCTATGAACAGAAAGGGTAAACTCTGTGAGTTGAACGCACACATCACAAAGGACTTTCTGAGAATCATTCTGTCTAGTTTTGAAACGAAGATATTTCCTTTTCTGCCATTGACCTTAAAGCGCTTGAAATCTCCACTTGCCAATTGCACAAAAAGAGTGTTTCAAATCTGCTCTGTCTAAGGGAACGTTCAACTCTGTGAGTTGAATGTACACAACACAAGGAAGTTACTGGGAATTCTTCTGTCTAGCCTTACATGAAAAAAACCCATTTCCAACGAAGGCCTCTAAGTGGTCAAATTATCCACGTGCAGACTTTACAAACAGAGTGTTTCCAAACTGCTGAATGAAAAGAAAAGTTAAACTCTGAGAGTTGAACGGACATATCACAGAGCAGTTTCTGAGAATGATTCTGTCTAGTTTTTATACGAAGATATTTCCTTTTCTGCCTTTGACCCCAAAGCGCTTGAAATCTCCACTTGCAAATTCCACAAAAACAGTGTTTGAAATCTGCTCTCTCTAAATGAAAGTTCAACTCTGTCAGTTGAATACACACAACACAAGGGAAGTTACTGAGAATTCTTCTGTCTAGCAGAAGATGAAGAAATCCCGTTTCCAACGAAGGCCTCAAGGAGGTCTGAATATCCACTTGCAGACTTTACAAACAGAGTGTTTCCTAACTGCTCTATGAACAGAAAGGTTAAACTCTGTGAGTTGAACGCACACATCACAAAGGAGTTTCTGAGAATCATTCTGTCTAGTTTTTATACGAAGAGATTTCCTTTTCTACCATTGACCTCAACGCGGCTGAAATCTCCACTTGCAAATTCCACAAAAAGAGTGTTTCAAGTCCGCTCTGTGTAAAGGATCGTTCAACTCTGTGAGTTGAATACACACAACACAAGGAAGTTACTGAGAATTCTTCTGTCTAGCACAGTATGAAGAAATCCCGTTTCCAACGAAGACCTCAAAGAGGTCTTAATATCCACTTGCAGAGTTTACAAACAGAGTGTTTCCTAACTGCTCTATGAAAAGAAAGGTTAAACTCTGTGAGTTGAACGCACACATCACAAAGAAGTTTCTGAGAATCATTCTGTCTAGTTTTGAAACGAACAATTTCCTTTTCTGCCATTGACCTTAAAGCGCTTGAAATCTCCATTTGCCAATTGCACAAAAAGAGTGTTTCAAATCTGCTCTGTCTAAGGGAACGTTCAACTCTGTGAGTTGAATGTACACAACACAAGGCAAGTTACTGGGAATTCTTCTGTCTAGCCTTACATGAAAAAAACCCGTTTCCAACGAAGGCCTCTAAGTGGTCAAGTTATCCACGTGCAGACTTTACAAACAGAGTGTTTCCAAACTTCTGAATGAAAAGAAAAGTTAAACTCTGAGAGTTGAACGCACACATCGCAGAGCAGTTTCTGAGAATGATTCTGTCTAGTTTTTATACGAAGATATTTCCTTTTCTGCCTTTGGCCTTAAAGCGCTTGAAATCTCCACTTGCAAATTCCACAAAAAGAGTGTTTCAAATCTGCTCTGTGTAAATGAAAGTTCAACTCTGTGAGTTGAATACACACAACACAAGGGAAGTTACTGGGAATTCTTCTGTCTAGCCTTATATGAAAAAAACCCGTTTCCAACGAAGGCCTCAAAGAGGGCTGAATATCCACTTGCAGACTTTACAAGCAGAGTGTTTCCTAACTGCTCTATGAAAAGAAAGGTTAAACTCTGTGAGTTGAACGCACACATCACAAAGGAGTTTCTGAGAATCATTCTGTCTAGTTTCTATAGGAAGATATTTCCTATTCTACCATTGACCTCAAAGCGGCTGAAAACTACACTTGCAAATTCCACAAAAAGAGTGTTTCAAGTCTGCTCTGTGTAAAGGATCGTTCAACTCTGTGAGTTGAATACACACAACACAAGGAAGTTACTGACAATTCTTCTGTCTAGGCCCAGAATATGAAGAAATCCCGTTTCCAACGAAGGCCACAATATGTCAGAATATCCACTTACAGACTTTACAAACAGAGTGTTTCCTAACTGCTCTATGAACAGAAAGGTTAAACTCTGTGAGTTGAACGAACACATCACAACGCAGTTTGTGGGAATGATTCTGTCTAGTTTTGAAACGAAGATATTTCCTTTTCTGCCGTTGACCTTAAAGAGCTTGAAAACTACACTTGCAAATTGCACAAATAGAGTGTTTCAAATCTGCTCTGTCTAAGGGAACGTTCAACTCTGTGAGTTGAATGCACACAACACAAGGAAGTTACTGGGAATTCTTCTGTCTAGCCTTACAGGAAAAAAACCCGTTTCCAACGAAGGCCTCTGAGTGGTCAAAATATCCACGTGCAGACTTTACAAACAGAGTGTTTCCAAACTGCTGAATGAAAAGAAAAGTTAAACTCTGAGAGTTGAACGCACACATCGCAGAGCAGTTTCTGAGAATGATTCTGTCTAGTCTTTATATGAAGATAGTTTCCTTTTCTACCATTGACCTCAAAGCGGCTGAAATCTCCACTTGCAAATTCCACAAAAAGAGTGTTTCAAGTCTGCTCAGTGTAAAGGATCCTTCAACTCTGTGAGTTGAATACACACAACACAAGGAAGTTACTGAGAATTCTTCTGTCTAGCAGAATAGGAAGAAATCCCGTTTCCAACGAAGGCCTCAAAGAGGTCTGAATATCCACTTGCAGACTTTACAAACAGAGTGTTTCCTAACTGCTCTATGAAAAGAAAGGTTAAACTCTGTGAGTTGAACGCACACATCACAAAGGAGTTTCTGAGAATCGTCTGTCTAGTTTCTATAGGAAGATATTTCCTATTCTACCATTGACCTCAAAGCGGCTGAAATCTCCACTTGCAAATTCGACAAAAAGAATGTTTCAAGTCTGCTCTGTGTAAAGGATCGTTCAACTCTGTGAGTTGAATACACACAACACAAGGAAGTTACTGAGAATCTTCTCTGTCTAGCAGAATATGAAGAAATCCCGTTTCCAACGAAGGCCACAAGATGTCAGAATATCCACTTACAGAATTTACAAACAGAGTGTTTCCTAACTGCTCTATGAAAAGAAAGGTTAAACTCTGTGAGATGAACGAACACATCACAACGCAGTTTGTGGGAATGATTCCGTCTAGTTTTGAAACGAAGATATTTCCTTTTCTGCCATTGACCTTAAAGCGCTTGAAATCTCCACTTGCCAATTGCACAAAAAGAGTGTTTCAAATCTGCTCTGTCTAAGGGAACGTTCAACTCTGTGAGTTGAATGTACACAACACAAGGAAGTTACTGGGAATTCTTCTGTCTAGCCTTAAATGAAAAAAACCCGTTTCCAACGAAGGCCTCTAAGTGGTCAAGTTATCCACGTGCAGACTTTACAAACAGAGTGTTTCCAAACTGCTGAATGAAAAGAAAAGTTAAACTTTGAGAGTTGAACGCACACATCGCAGAGCAGTTTCTGAGAATGATTCTGTCTAGTTTTGAAACGAAGATATTTCCTTTTCTGCCTTTGGCCTCAAAGCGCTTGAAATCTCCACTTGCAAATTCCACAAAAAGAGTGTTTCAAATCTGTTCTGTGTAAATGAAAGTTCAACTCTGTGAGTTGAACACACACAACACAAGGAAGTTACTGGGAATTCTCTGTCTAGCATAATATGAAGAAATCCCGTTTCCAACGAAGGCCTCAAAGGGGTCTGAATATCCACTTGCAGACTTTATAAACAGAGTGTTTACTAACTGCTCTAGGAAAAGAAAGGTTAAAATCTGTGAGTTGAACACACACATCACAAAGGAGTTTCTGAGAATCATTCTGTCTAGTTTTTATACGAAGATATTTCCTTTTCTACCATTGACCTCAAAGCGGCTGAAATCTCCACTTGCAAATTCCACAAAAAGAGTGTTTCAAATCTGCTCTGTGTAAACAATCGTTCAACTGTGTGAGTTGAATACACACAACACAAGGAAGATTCTGAGAATTCTTCTGTCTAGCAGAATATGAAGAAATCCCGTTTCCAACGAAGGCCACAAGATGTCAGGATATCCACTTACAGAATTTACAAACAGACTGTTTCCTAACTGCTCTACGAAAAGAAAGGTTAAACTCTGTGAGATGAACGAACACATCACAACGCAGTTTGTGGGAATGATTCTGTCTAGTTTTGAAACGAAGATATTTCCTTTTCTGCCATTGACCTTAAAGCGCTTGAAATCTCCATTTGCCAATTGCACAAAAAGAGTGTTTCAAATCTGCTCTGTCTAAGGGAACGTTCAACTCTGTGAGTTGAATGTACACAACACAAGGAAGTTACTGGGAATTCTTCTGTCTAGCCTTACATGAAAAAAACCCGTTTCCAACGAAGGCCTCTAAGTGGTCAAATTATCCACGTGCAGACTTTACTAACAGAGTGTTTCCAAACTGCTGAATGAAAAGCAAAGTTAAACTCTGAGAGTTGAACGCACACATCGCAGAGCAGTTTCTGAGAATGATTCTCTCTAGTTTTGAAACGAAGATATTTCCTTTTCTGCCTTTGGCCTCAAAGCGCTTGAAATCTCCACTTGCAAATTCCACAAAAAGAGTGTTTCAAATCTGCTCTGTGTAAATGAAAGTTCAACTCTGTGAGTTGAACACACACAACACAAGGAAGTTACTGGGAATTCTTCTGTCTAGCCTTATATGAAAAAAACCCGTTTCCAACGAAGGCCTCAAAGAGGTCTGAATATCCACTTGCAGACTTTACAAACAGAGTGTTTCCTAACTGCTCTATGAAAAGAAAGGTTAAACTCTGAGTTGAACGCACACATCACAAAGGAGTTTCTGAGAATCATTCTGTCTAGTTTTTCTACGAAGATATTTCCTTTTCTACTATTGACCTCAAAGCGGCTGAAATCTCCACTTGCAAATTACACAAAAAGAGTGTTTCAAGACTGCTCTGTGTAAAGGATCGTTCAACTCTGTGAGTTGAATACACACAACACAAGGAAGTTACTGAGAATTCTTCTGTCTAGCAGAATATGAAGAAATCCCGTTTCCAACGAAGGCCACAAGATGTCAGAATATCCACTTACAGACTTTACAAACAGAGTGTTTCCTAACTGCTCTATGAACAGAAAGGTTAAACTCTGTGAGTTGAACGAACACATCACAACCCAGTTTGTGGGAATGATTCTGTCTAGTTTTGAAAGGAAGATATTTCCTTTTCTGCCGTTGACCTTAAAGCGCTTGAAATCTACACTTGCAAATTGCACAAATAGGCTGTTTCAAATCTGCTCTGTCTAAGGGAACGTTCAACTCTGTGAGTTGAATGCACACAACACAAGGAAGCTACTGAGAATTCTTCTGTCTAGCCTTACATGAAAAAAACCCGTTTCCAACGAAGGCCTCTAAGTGGTCAAAATATCCACGTGCAGACTTTACAAACAGAGTGTTTCCAAACCGCTGAATGAAAAGAAAAGTTAAACTCTGACAGTTGAACGCACACATCACGCAGCAGTTTCTGAGAATGATTCTGTCTAGTTTTTATACCGAAGATATTTCCTTTTCTGCCTTTGGCCTCAAAGCGCTTGAAATCTCCACTTGCAAATTCCACAAAAAGAGTGTTTCAAATCTGCTCTGTGTAAATGAAAGTTCAACTCTGTGAGTTGAACACACACAACACAAGGAAGTTACTGGGAATTCTTCTCTCTAGCAGAATATGAAGAAATCCCGTTTCCAACGAAGGCCTCAAAGAGGTCTGTATATCCACTTGCAGACTTTACAAACAGAGTGTTTCCTAACTGCTCTATGAAAAGAAAGGTTAAACTCTGTGAGTTGAACGCACACATCACAAAGGAGTTTCTGAGAATCATTCTGTCTAGTTTCTATTGGAAGATATTTCCTATTCTACCATTGAACTCAAAGCGGCTGAAATCTCCACTTGCAAATTCCACAAAAAGAGTGTTTCAAGTCTGCTCTGTGTAAAGGATCGTTCAACTCTGTGAGTTGAATACACACAACACAAGGAAAGTTACTGAGAAATCTTCTGTCTAGCATAATATGAAGAAATCCCGTTTCCAACGAAGGCCTCAAAGAGGTCTGAATATCCACTTGCAGACTTTACAAACAGAGTGTTTCCTAACTGCTCCTATGAAAAGAAAGGTTAAACTCTGTGAGTTGAACGCCCACATCACAAAGGAGTTTCTGAGTATCATTCTGTCTAGTTTTGAAACGAAGATATTTCCTTTTCTGCCATTGACCTTAAAGCGCTTGAAATCTACACTTGCAAATTGCACAAATAGAGTGTTTCAAATCTGCTCTGTCTAAAGGAAAGTTCAACTCTGTGAGTTGAATGCACACAACACAAGGAAGTTACTGGGAATTCTTCTGTCTACCCTTACATGAAAAAAACCCGTTTCCAACGAAGGCCTCTAAGTGGTCAAAATATCCACGTGCAGACTTTACAAACAGAGTGTTTCCAAACTGCTGAATGAAAAGAAAAGTTAAACTCTGAGAGTTGAACGCACACATCACAGAGGATTTTCTGAGAATGATTCTGTCTACTTTTTCTACGAAGATATTTCCTTTTCTACTATTGACCTCAAAGCGGCTGAAATCTCCACTTGCAAATTCCACAAAAAGAGTGTTTCAAGTCTGCTCTGTGTAAAGGATCGTTCAACTCTGTGAGTTGAATACACACAACACAAGGAAGTTACTGAGAATTCTTCTGTCTAGCAGAATATGAAGAAATCCCGTTTCCAACGAAGGCCTCAAAGAGGTCTGAATATCCACTTGCAGACTTTACAAACAGAGTGTTTCCTAACTGCTCTATGAAAAGAAAGGTTAAACTCTGTGAGTTGAACGCACACATCACAAAGGAGTTTCTGAGAATCGTTCTGTCTAGTTTTTCTACGAAGATATTTCCTTTCTACTATTGACCTCAAAGCGGCTTAAATCTCCACTTGCAAATTCCACAAAAAGAGTGTTTCAAGTCTGCTCTGTGTAAAGGATCGTTCAACTCTGTGAGTTGAATACACACAACACAAGGAAGTTACTGAGAATTCTTCTGTCTAGCAGAATATGAAGAAATCCCGTTTCCAACGAAGGCCACAAGATGTCAGAATATCCACTTACAGACTTTACAAACAGAGTGTTTCCTAACTGCTCTATGAACAGAAAGGTTAAACTCTGTGAGTTGAACGAACACATCACAACGCAGTTTGTGGGAATGATTCTGTCTAGTTTTGAAACGAAGATATTTCCTTTTCTGCCATTGACCTTAAAGTGCTTGAAATCTCCACTTGCCAATTGCACAAAAAGAGTGTTTCAAATCTGCTCTGTCTAAGGGAACGTTCAACTCTGTGAGTTGAATGTACACAACACAAGGAAGTTACTGGGAAATCTTCTGTCTAGCCTTACATGAAAAAATCCCGTTTCCAACGAAGGCCTCTAAGTGGTCAAAATATCCACGTGCAGACTTTACAAACAGAGTGTTTCCAAACCGCTGAATGAAAAGAAAAGTTAAACTCTGAGAGTTGAACGCACACATCACACAGCAGTTTCTGAGAATGATTCTGTCTAGTTTCTATATGAAGATATTTCCTATTCTACCATTGACCTCAAAGCGGCTGAAATCTCCTCTTGCAAATTCCACAAAAAGAGTGTTTCAAGTCTGCTCTGTGTAAAGGATCGTTCAACTCTGTGAGTTGAATACACACAACACAAGGAAGTTACTGAGAATTCTTCTGTCTAGCAGAATATGAAGAAATCCCGTTTCCAACGAAGGCCTCAAAGAGGTCTGAATATCCACTTGCAGACTTTACAAACAGTGTTTCCTAACTGCTCTATGAGAAGAAAAGTTAAACTCTGTGAGTTGAACGCACACATCACAAATGATTTTCTGAGAATCATTCTGTCTAGTTTTTATACGAAGATATTTCCTTTTCTACCATTGACCTTAAAGCGGCTGAAATCTCCACTTGCAAATTCCACAAAACGAGTGTTTCAAGTCTGCTCTGTGTAAAGGATCGCTCAACTCTGTGAGTTGAATACACACAACACAAAGAAGTTACTGAGAATTCTTCTGTCTAGCAGAATATGAAGAAATCCCGTTTCCAACGAAGGCCACAAGATGTCAGAATATCCACTTACAGACTTTACAAACAGAGTGTTTCCTAACTGCTCTATGAACAGAAAGGTTAAACTCTGTGAGTTGAACGAACACATCACAAGGCAGTTTGTGGGAATGATTCTGTCTAGTTTTTATAGGAAGATATTTCCTTTTCTACCTTTGACTTCAAAGCGGCTGAAATCTCCACTTGCGAATTCCACAAAAAGAGTGTTACAAGTCTGCTGTGTGTAAAGGATCGTTCAACTCTGTGAGTTGAATACACACAACACAAGGAAGTTACTGAGAATTCTTCTGTCTAGCCTTACATGAAAAAAACCCGTTTCCAACGAAGGCCTCTAAGTGGTCAAATTATCCACGTGCAGACTTTACAAACAGAGTGTTTCCAAACTGCTGAATGAAAAGAAAAGTTAAACTCTGAGAGTTGAACGCACACATCGCAGAGCAGTTTCTGAGAATGATTCTGTCTAGTTTTTATGCGAAGATATTTCCTTTTCTGCCTTTGGCCTCAAAGCGTTTGATATCTCCACTTGCAAATTCCACAAAAAGAGTGTTTCAAATCTGCTATGTGTAAATGAAAGTTCAACTCTGTGAGTTGAACACACACAACACAAGGAAGTTACTGGGAATTCTTCTGTCTAGCATAATATGAAGAAATCCCGTTTCCAACGAAGACCTCAAAGAGGTCTGAATATCCACTTGCAGACTTTATAAACAGAGTGTTTACTAACTGCTCTATGAAAAGAAACGTTAAACTCTGTGAGTTGAACACACACATCACAAAGGAGTTTCTGAGAATCATTCTGTCTAGTCTTTATACGAAGATATTTCCTTTTCTACCATTGACCTCAAAGCGGCTGAAATCTCCACTTGCAAATTCCACAAAAAGAGTGTTTCAAGTCTGCTCTCTGTAAAGGATCGTTCAACTCTGTGAGTTGAATACACACAACACAAGGAAGTTACTGAGAATTCTTCTGTCTAGCAGAATATGAAGAAATCCCGTTTCCAACGAAGGCCACAAGATGTCAGAATATCCACTTACATTATTTACAAACAGACTGTTTCCTAACTGCTCTATGAAAAGAAAGGTTAAAGTCTGTGAGTTGAACGAACACATCACAACGCAGTTTGTGGGAATGATTCTGTCTAGTTTTGAAACGAAGATATTTCCTTTTCTGCCATTGACCTCAAAGCGCTTGAAATCTCCACTTGCCAATTGCACAAAAAGAGTGTTTCAAATCTGCTCTGTCTAAGGGAACGTTCAACTCTGTGAGTTGAATGTACACAACGGAAGGAAGTTACTGGGAATTCTTCTGTCTAGCCTTACAGGAAAAAAACCCGTTTCCAACGAAGGCCTCTAAGTGGCCAAAATATCCACGTGCAGACTTTACAAACAGAGTGTTTCCAAACTGCTGAATGAAAAGAAAAGTTAAACTCTGAGAGTTGAACGCACACATCGCAGAGCAGTTTCTGAGAATGATTCTGCCTAGTTTTTATACGAAGATATTTCCTTTTCTGCCTTTGGCCCCAAAGCGCTTGAAATCTCCACTTGCAAATTCCACAAAAACAGTGTTTCAAATCTGCTCTCTCTAAATGAAAGTTCAACTCTGTCAGTTGAATACACACAACACAAGGGAAGTTACTGAGAATTCTTCTGTCTAGCATAATATGAAGAAATCCCGTTTCCAACGAAGGCCTCAAAGGGGTCTCAATATCCACTTGCAGACTTTATAAACAGAGTGTTTACTAACTGCTCTATGAAAAGAAAGGTTAAACTCTGTGAGTTGAACACACACATCACAAAGGAGTTTCTGAGAATCATTCTGTCTAGTTTTTCTACGAAGATATTTCCTTTTCTACTATAGACCACAAAGCGGCTGAAATCTCCACTTGCAAATTCCACAAAAAGAGTGTTTCAAGTCTGCTCTGTGTAAAGGATAGTTCAACTCCGTGAGTTGAATACACACAACACAAGGAAGTTACTGAGAATTCTTCTGTCTAGCAGAATATGAAGAATTCCCGTTTCCAACGAAGGCCACAAGATGTCAGAATATCCACTTACAGAATTTTCAAACAGACTGTTTCCTAACTGCTCTATGAAAAGAAAGGTTAAACTCTGTGAGTTGAACGAACACATCACAACGCAGTTTGTGGGAATGATTCTGTCTAGTTTTGAAACGAAGCATATTTCCTTTTCTGCCATTGACCTTAAAGCGCTTGAAATCTCCACTTGCCAATTGCACAAAAAGAGTGTTTCAAATCTGCTCTGTCTAAGGGAACGTTCAACTCTGTGAGTTGAATGTACACAACACAATGAAGTTACTGGGAATTCTTCTGTCTAGCCTTACAGGAAAAAAACCCGTTTCCAACGAAGGCCTCTAAGTGGTGAAAATATCCACGTGCAGACTTTACAAACAGAGTGTTTCCAAACTGCTGAATGAAAAGAAAAGTTAAACTCTGAGAGTTGAACGCACACATCGCAGAGCAGTTTCTGAGAATGATTCTGTCTAGTTTTGAAACGAAGATATTTCCTTTTCTGCCTTTGGCCTCAAAGCGCTTGAAATCTCCACTTGCAAATTCCACAAAAAGAGTGTTTCAAATCTGCTCTGTGTAAATGAAAGTTCAACTCTGTGAGTCGAACACACACAACACAAGGAAGTTACAGGGAATTCTTCTGTCTAGCATAATATGAAAAAATCCCGTTTCCAACGAAGGCCTCAAGGAGGTCTGAATATCCACTTGCAGACTTTACAAACAGAGGTGTTTCCTAACTGCTCTATGAAAAGAAAGGTTAAACTCTGTGAGTTGAACGCACACATCACAAAGGAGTTTCTGAGAATCATTCTGTCTAGTTTTTATACGAAGATATTTTCTTTTCTACCATTGACCTCAACGCGGCTGAAATCTCCACTTGCAAATTACACAAAAAGAGTGTTTCAAGTCCGCTCTGTGTAAAGGATCGTTCAACTCTGTGAGTTGAATACACACAACACAAGGAAGTTACTGAGAATTCTTCTGTCTAGCAGAATATGGAGAAATCCCGTTTCCAACGAAGGCCTCTAGGAGGTCTGAATATCCACTTGCAGACTTTACAAACAGAGTGTTTCCTAACTGCTCTATGAACAGAAAGGTTAAACTCTGTGAGTTGAACGAACACATCACAACGCAGTTTGTGGGAATGATTCTGTCTAGTTTTTATATGAAGATATTTCCTTTTCTACCTTTGACTTCAAAGCGGCTGAAATCTCCACTTGCAAATTCCACAAAAAGAGTGTTACAAGTCTGCTCTGTCTAAGGGAACGTTCAACTCTGTGAGTTGAATGTACACAACACAAGGAAGTTACTGGGAATTCTTCTGTCTAGCCTTACATGAAAAAAACCCGTTTCCAACGAAGGCCTCTAAGTGGTCAAAATATCCACGTGCAGACTTTACAAACAGAGTGTTTCCTAACTGCTCTATGAAAAGAAAGGTTAAACTCTGAGAGTTGAACGCACACATCACAGAGCGGTTTCTGAGAATGATTCTGTCTAGTTTTTCTACGAAGATATTTCCTTTTCTACTATTGACCTCAAAGCGGCTGAAATCTCCACTTGCAAATTCCACAAAAAGAGTGTTTCAAGTCTGCTCTGTGTAAAGGATCATTCAACTCTGTGAGTTGAATAAACACAACACAAGGAAGTTAATGAGAATTCTTCTGTCTAGCCTTACATGAAAAAAACCCGTTTCCAAAGAAGGCCTCAAAGAGGTCTGAATATCCACTTGCAAACTTTACAAACAGAGTGTTTCCTAACTGCTCTATGAAAAGAAAGGTTAAACTCTGTGAGTTGAACACACACATCACAAAGGAGTTTCTGAGAATCATTCTGTCTAGTTTTTATACGAAGATATTTCCTTTTCTACCATTGACCTCAACGCGGCTGAAATCTCCAATTGCAAATTCCACAAAAAGAGTGTTTCAAGTCCGCTCTGTGTAAAGGATCGTTCAACTCTGTGAGTTGAATACACACAACACAAGGAAGTTACTGAGAATTGTTCTGTCTAGCAGAATATGAAGAAATCCCGTTTCCAACGAAGGCCACAAGATGTCAGAATATCCACTTACAGAATTGACAAACAGACTGTTTCCTAACTGCTCTATGAAAAGAAAGGTTAAACTCTGTGAGTTGAACGAACACATCACAACGCAGTCTGTGGGAATGATTCTGTCTAGTTTTGAAACGAAGATATTTCCTTTTCTGCCATTGACCTTAAAGCGCTTGAAATCTCCATTTGCCAATTGCACAAAAAGAGTGTTTCAAATCTGCTCTGTCTAAGGGAACGTTCAACTCTGTGAGTTGAATGTACACAACACAAGGAAGTTACTGGGAATTCTTCTGTCTAGCCTTACAGGAAAAAAACCCATTTCCAACGAAGGCCTCTAAGTGGTCAAAATATCCACGTGCAGACTTTACAAACAGAGTGTTTCCAAACTGCTGAATGAAAACAAAAGTTAAACTCTGAGAGTTGAAGGCACACATCGCAGAGCAGTTTCTGAGAATGATTCTGTCTAGTTTTGGAACGAAGATATTTCCTTTTCTGCCTTTGGCCTCAAAGCGCTTGAAATCTCCACTTGCAAATTCCACAAAAAGAGTGTTTCAAATCTGCTCTGTGTAAATGAAAGTTCAACTCTGTGAGTTGAACACACACAACACAAGGAAGTTACTGGGAATTCTTCTGTCTAGCAGAATATGAAGAAATCCCGTTTCCAACGAAGGCCTCAAGGAGGTCTGAATATCCACTTGCAGACTTTACAAACAGAGTGTTTCCTAACTGCTCTATGAACAGAAAGGTTAAACTCTGTGAGTTGAACGCACACATCACAAAGGAGTTTCTGAGAATCATTCTGTCTAGTCTTTATATGAAGATAGTTTCCTTTTCTACCATTGACCTCAAAGCGGCTGAAATCTCCACTTGCAAATTCCCCAAAAAGAGTGTTTCAAGTCTGCTCTGTGTAAAGGATCGTTCAACTCTGTGAGTTGAATACACACAACACAAGGAAGTTACTGAGAATTCTTCTGTCTAGCAGAATATGAAGAAATCCCGTTTCCAACGAAGGCCTCAAAGAGGTCTGAATATCCACTTGCAGACTTTACAAACAGAGTGTTTCCTAACTGCTCTATGAAAAGAAAGGTTAAACTCTGTGAGTTGAACGCACACATCACAAAGGAGTTTCTGTGAATCGTTCTGTCTAGTTTTTATACGAAGATATTTCCTTTTCTACCATTGACCTCAAAGCGGCTGAAATCACCACTTGCCAATTGCACAAAAAGAGTGTTTCAAATCTGCTCTGTCTAAGGGAACGTTCAACTCTGTGAGTTGAATGTACACAACACAAGGAAGTTACTGGGAATTCTTCTGTCTAGCCTTACATGAAAAAAACCCGTTTCCAACGAAGGCCTCTAAGTGGTCAAAATTTCCACGTGCAGACTTTACAAACAGAGTGTTTCCAAACCGCTGAATGAAAAGAAAAGTTAAACTCTGAGAGTTGAACGCACACATCACGCATCAGTTTCTGAGAATGTTTCTGTCTAGTTTTTATACGAAGATATTTCCTTTTCTGCCTTTGGCCCCAAAGCGCTTGAAATCTCCACTTGCAAATTCCACAAAAACAGTGTTTCAAATCTGCTCTCTCTAAATGAAAGTTCAACTCTGTCAGTTGAATACACACCACACAAGGAAGTTACTGAGAATTCTTCTGTCTAGCCTTATATGAAAAAAACCCGTTTCCAACGAAGGCCTCAAACAGGTCTGAATATCCACTTGCAGACTTTACAAACAGCGTGTTTCCTAACTGCTCTATGAAAAGAAAGGTTAAACTCTGTGAGTTGAACGCACACATCACAAAGGAGTTTCTGAGAATCATTCTGTCTAGTTTTTATAGGAAGATATTTCCTTTTCTACATTTGACTTCAAAGCGGCTGGAATCTCCACTTGCAAATTCCACAAAAAGAGTGTTACAAGTCTGCTATGTGTAAAGGATCGTTCAACTGTGTGAGTTGAATACACACAACACAAGGAAGTTACTGAGAATTCTTCTGTCTAGCCTTACATGAAAAAAACCCGTTTCCAACGAAGGCCTCTAAGTGGTCAAATTATCCACGTGCAGACTATACAAACAGAGTGTTTCCAAACTGCTGAATGAAAAGAAAAGTTAAACTCTGAGAGTTGAACGCACACATCGCAGAGCAGTTTCTGAGAACGATTCTGTCTAGTTTTGAAACGAAGATATTTCCTCTTCTGCCGTTGACCTTAAAGCGCTTGAAATCTACACTTGCAAATTGCACAAATAGAGTGTTTCAAATCTGCTCTGTCTAAGGGAACGTTCAACTCTGTGAGTTGAATGCACACAACACAAGGAAGTTACTGGGAATTCTTCTGTCTAGCCTTACATGAAAAAAAACCCGTTTCCAACGAAGGCCTCTAAGTGGTCAAAATATCCACGTGCAGACTTTACAAACAGAGTGTTTCCAAACCGCTGAATGAAAAGAAAAGTTAAACTCTGAGAGTGGAACGCACACATCACGCAGCAGTTTCTGAGAATGATTCTGTCAAGTTTTTATACGAAGATATTTCCTTTTCTGCCTTTGGCCTCAAAGCGCTTGAAATCTCCACTTGCAAATTCCACAAAAAGAGTGTTTCAAATCTGCTCTGTGTAAATGAAAGTTCAACTCTGTGAGTTGAACACACACAACACAAGGAAGTTACTGGGAATTCTTCTGTCTAGCCTTACATGAAAAAAACCCGTTTCCAACGAAGGCCTCAAAGAGGTCAAAATATCCACTTGCAGACTTTACAAACAGAGTGTTTCCTAACTACTCTATGAATAGAAAAGTTAAACTCTGTGAGTTGAACATACACATCACAAAGGAGTTTATGAGAATCATTCTGTCTAGTCTTTATACGAAGATATTTCCTTTTCTACCATTGACCTCAAAGCGGCTGAAATCTCCACTTGCAAATTCCACAAAAAGAGTGTTTCAAGTCTGCTCTGTGTAAAGGATCGTTCAACTCTGTGAGTTGAATACACACAACACAAGGAAAGTTACTGAGAATTCTTCTGTCTAGCAGAATATGAAGAAATCCCGTTTCCAACGAAGGCCACAAGATGTCAGAATATCCACTTACAGAATTTACAAACAGACTGTTTCCTAACTGCTCTACGAAAAGAAAGGTTAAACTCTGTGAGATGAACGAACACATCACAACGCAGTTTGTGGGAATGATTCTGTCTAGTTTTGAAACGAAGATATTTCCTTTTCTGCCGTTGACCTTAAAGCGCTTGAAATCTACACTTGCAAATTGCACAAATAGAGTGTTTCAAATCTGCTCTGTCTAAGGGAACGTTCAACTCTGTGAGTTGAATGCACACAACACAAGGAAGTTACTGGGAATTCTTCTGTCTAGCCTTACATGAAAAAACCCGTTTCCAACGAAGGCCTCTAAGTGGTGAAAATATCCACGTGCAGACTTTACAAACAGAGTGTTTCCAAACCGCTGAATGAAAAGAAAAGTTAAACTCTGAGAGTTGAACGCACACATCACGCAGCAGTTTCTGAGAATGATTCTGTCTAGTTTTTATACGAAGGTATTTCCTTTTCTGCCTTTGGCCTCAAAGCGCTTGAAATCTCCACTTGCAAATTCCACAAAAAGAGTGTTTCAAATCTGCTCTGTGTAAATCAAAGTTCAACTCTGTGAGTTGAACACACACAACACAAGGAAGTTACTTGAATTCTTCTGTGTAGCATAATATGAAGAAATCCCGTTTCCAACGAAGGCCACAAAGAGGTCTGAATATCCACTTGCAGACTTTACAAACAGAGTGTTTCCTAACTGCTCTATGAAAAGAAAAGTTAATCTCTGTGAGTTGAACGCACACATCACAAAGGAGTTTCTGAGAATCATTCTGTCTAGTTTTTATACCGAAGATATTTCCTTTTCTACCATTGACCTCAAAGCGGCTGAAATCTCCACTTGCAAATTCCACAAAAAGAGTGTTTCAAATCTGCTCTGTGTAAACCATCGTTCAACTCTGTGAGTTGAATACACACAACACAAGGAAGATTCTGAGAATTCTTCTGTCTAGCAGAATATGAAGAAATCCCGTTTCCAACGAAGGCCACATGATGTCAGAGTATCCACTTACAGAATTTACAAACAGACTGTTTCCTAACTGCTCTATGAAAAGAAAGGTTAAACTCTGTGAGTTGAACGAACACATCACAACGCAGTTTGTGGGAATGATTCTGTCTAGTTTCTATAGGAAGATATTTCCTTTTCTACTTTGACTTCAAAGCGGCTGAAATCTCCACTTGCAAATTCCACAAAAAGAGTGTTACAAGTCTGCTCTCTGTAAAGGATCGTTCAACTGTGTGAGTTGAATACACACAACACAAGGAAGTTACTGAGAACTCTTCTGTCTAGCCTTACATGAAAAAAACCCGTTTCCAACGAAGGTCTCTAAGTGGTCAAATTATCCACGTGCAGACTTTACAAACAGAGTGTTTCCAAACTGCTGAATGAAAAGAAAAGTTAAACTCTGAGAGTTGAACGCACACATCACAGAGCAGTCTCTGAGAATGATTCTGTCTAGTTTTTATACGAAGATATTTCCTTTTCTGCCTTTGGCCTCAAAGGGCTTGAAACCTCCATTTGCAAATTCCACAAAAAGAGTGTTTCAAATCTGCTCTGTGTAAATGAAAGTTCAACTCTGTGAGTTGAACACACACAACACAAGGAAGTTACTGGGAATTCTTCTCTCAGGCATAATATGAAGAAATCCCGTTTCCAACGAAGGCCTCAAAGAGGTCTGAATATCCACTTGCAGAGTTTACAAACAGAGTGTTTCCTAACTGCTCTATGAAAAGAAAGGTTAAACTCTGTGAGTTCAACGCACACATCACAAAGAAGTTTCTGAGAATCATTCTGTCTAGTTTCTATAGGAAGATATTTCCTATTCTACCATTGACCTCAAAGCGGCTGAAATCTCCACTTGCAAATTCCACAAAAAGAGTGTTTCAAGTCTGCTCTCTGTAAAGGATCGTTCAACTCTGTGAGTTGAATACACACAACACAAGGAAGTTACTGAGAATTCTTCTGTCTAGCAGAATAGGAAGAAATCCCGTTTCCAACGAAGGCCACAAGATGTCTGAATATCCACTTACAGACTTTACAAACAGAGTGTTTCCTAACTGCTCTATGAACAGAAATGTTAAACTCTGTGAGTTGAACGAGCACATCACAACGCAGTTTGTGGGAATGATTCTGTCTAGTTTTGAAACGAAGATATTTCCTTTTCTGCCATTGACCTTAAAGCGCTTGAAATCTACACTTGCAAATTGCACAAATAGAGTGTTTCAAATCTGCTCTGTCTAAGGGAACGTTCAACTCTGTGAGTTGAATGCACACAACACAAGGAAGTTACTGGGAATTCTTCTGTCTAGCCTTATATGAAA
The DNA here is from genome assembly GCF_000001405.40 of Homo sapiens. Taxonomy (NCBI): domain Eukaryota; kingdom Metazoa; phylum Chordata; class Mammalia; order Primates; family Hominidae; genus Homo; species Homo sapiens. Next base: position 124,649,120 of record NC_000001.11, on the reverse strand, counting down.
AAAACCCGTTTCCAACGAAGGCCTCAAAGAGGTCTGAATATCCACTTGCAGACTTTACAAACAGAGTGTTTCCTAACTGCTCTATGAAAAGAAAGGTTAAACTCTGTGAGTTGAACGCACACATCACAAAGGAGTTTCTGAGAATCGTTGTGTCTAGATTCTATAGGAAGATATTTCCTATTCTACCATTGACCTCAAAGCGGCTGAAATCTCCACTTGCAAATTCCACAAAAAGAGTGTTTCAAGTCTGCTCTGTGTAAAGGATCGTTCAACTCTGTGAGTTGAATACACACAACACAAGGAAGTTACTGAGAATTCTTCTGTCTAGCATAATATGTAGAAATCCCGTTTCCAACGAAGGCCTCAAGGGGGTCTGAATATCCACTTGCAGACTTTACAAACAGAGTGTTTCCTAACTGCTCTATGAAAAGAAAGGTTAAACTCTGTGAGTTGAACGCACACATCACAAAGGATTTTCTGAGAATCATTCTGTCTAGTTTCTATAGAAAGATATTTCCTATTCTACCATTGACCTCAAAGCGGCTGAAATCTCCACTTGCAAATTCCACAAAAAGAGTGTTTCAAGTCTGCTCTGTGTAAAGGATCGTTCAACTCTGTGAGTTGAATACACACAACACAAGGAAGTTACTGAGAATTCTTCTGTCTAGCATAATATGATGAAATCCCGTTTCCAACGAAGGCCTCAAGGAGGTCTGAATATCCACTTGCAGACTTTACAAACAGTGTGTTTCCTAACTGCTCTGTGAAAAGAAAGGTTAAACTCTGTGAGTTGAATGCACACATCACAAAGGAGTTTCTGAGAATCATTCTGTCTAGTATTGAAACGAAGATATTTCCTTTTCTGCCATTGACCTTAAAGCGCTTGAAATCTACACTTGCAAATTGCACAAATGGAGTGTTTCAAATCTGCTCTGTCTAAGGGAACGTTCAACTCTGTGAGTTGAATGCACACAACACAAGGAAGTTACTGGGAATTCTTCTGTCTAGCCTTACATGAAAAAAACCCGTTTCCAACGAAGGCCTCTAAGTGGTCAAAATATCCACGTGCAGACTTTACAAACAGAGTGTTTCCAAACCGCTGAATGAAAAGAAAAGTTAAACTCTGAGAGTTGAACGCACACATCACGCAGCAGTTTCTGAGAATGATTCTGTCTAGTTTTGAAACGAAGATATTTCCTTTTCTGCCATTGACCTTAAAGCGCTTGAAATCTCCACTTGCCAATTGCACAAAAAGAGTATTTCAAATCTGCTCTCTCTAAGGGAACGTTCAACTCTGTGAGTTGAATGTACACAACACAACGAAGTTACTGGGAATTCTTCTGTCTAGCATAATATGAAGAAATCCCGTTTCCAACGAAGGCCTCAAGGAGGTCTGAATATCCACTTGCACACTTTACAAACAGAGTGTTTCCTAACTGCTCTATGAAAAGAAAGGTTAAACTCTGTGAGTTAAACGCAGACATCACAAAGGAGTTTCTGAGAATCACTCTGTCTAGTTTCTATAGGAAGATATTTCTTATTCTACCATTGACCTCAAAGCGGCTGAAATCTCCACTTGCAAATTCCACAAAAAGAGTGTTTCAAGTCTGCTCTGTGTAAAGGATCGTTCAACTCTGTGAGTTGAATACACACAAAACAAGGAAGTTACTGAGAATTCTTCTGTGTAGCAGAATATGTAAAAATCCCGCTTCCAACGAAGGTCTCAAAGAAGTCTGAATATCCACTTGCAGACTTTACAAACAGAGTGTTTCCCAACTGCTCTATGAAAAGAAAGGTTGAACTCTGTGAGTTGAACGCACACATCACAAAGGAGTTTCTGAGAATCATTCTGTCTAGTTTCTATAGGAAGATATTTCCTATTCTACCATTGAACTTAAAGCGGCTGAAATCTCCACTTGCAAATTCCACAAAAAGAGTGTTTCAAGTCTGCTCTGTGTAAAGGATCATTCAACTCTGTGAGTTGAATACACACAACACAAGGAAGTTACTGAGAATTCTTCTGTCTAGCCTTACAGGAAAAAAACCCGTTTCCAACGAAGGCCTCTAAGTGGTCAAAATATCCACGTGCAGACTTTACAAACAGAGTGTTTCCAAACTGCTGAATGAAAAGAAAAGTTAAACTCTGAGAGCTGAACGCACACATCACAGAGCAGTTTCTGAGAATGATTCTGTCTAGTCTTTATATGAAGATAGTTTTCCTTTTCTACTATTGACCTCAAAGCGGCTGAAATCTCCACTTGCAAATTCCACAAAAAGAGTGTTTCAAGTCTGCTCTGTGTAAAGGATCGTTCAACTCTGTGAGTTGAATACACACAACACAAGGAAGTTACTGAGAATTCTTCTGTCTAACAGAATATGAAGAAATCCCGTTTCCAACGAAGGCCTCAAAGAGGTCTGAATATCCACTTGCAGACTTTACAAACAGAGTGTTTCCTAACTGCTCTATGAAAAGAAAGGTTAAACTCTATGAGTTGAACGCACACATCACAAAGGAGTTTCTGAGAATCATTCTGTCTAGTTTTTATACGAAGATATTTCCTTTTCTACCATTGACCTCAATGCGGCTGAAATCTCCACTTGCAAATTCCACAAAAAGAGTGTTTCAAATCTGCTCTGTGTAAACAATCGTTCAACTGTGTGAGTTGAATACACACAACACAAGGAAGATTCTGAGAATTCTTCTGTCTAGCAGAATATGAAGAAATCCCGTTTCCAACGAAGGCCACAAGATGTCAGAATATCCACTTACAGAATTGACAAACAGACTGTTTCCTAACTGGTCTATGAAAAGAAAGGTTAAACTCTGTGAGTTGAACGAACACATCACAACGCAGTTTGTGGGAATGATTCTGTCTAGTTTTGAAACGAAGATATTTCCTTTTCTGCCATTGACCTTAAAGCGCTTGAAATCTACACTTGCAAATTGCACAAATAGAGTGTTTCAAATCTGCTCTGTCTAAGGGAACGTTCAACTCTGTGAGTTGAATGCACACAACACAAGGAAGTTACTGGGAATTCTTCTGTCTAGCCTTACATGAAAAAAACCCGTTTCCAACGAAGGCCTCTAAGTGGTCAAAATATCCACGTGCAGACTTTACAAACAGAGTGTTTCCAAACCGCTGAATGAAAACAAAAGTTAAACTCTGAGAGTTGAACGCACACATCACGCAGCAGTTTCTGAGAATGATTCTGTCTAGTTTTTATACGAAGAGATTTCCTTTTCTGCCTTTGGCCTCAAAGCGCTTGAAATCTCCATTTGCAAATTCCACAAAAAGAGTGTTTCAAATCTGCTCTGTGTAAATGAAAGTTCAACTCTGTGAGTTGAACACACACAACACAAGGAAGTTACTGAGAATTCTTCTGTCTAGCAGAATATGAAGAAATCCCGTTTCCAACGAAGGCCTCAAGGAGGTCTGAATATCCACTTGCAGACTTTACAAACAGAGTGTTTCCTAACTGCTCTATGAAAAGAAAGGTTAAACTCTGTGAGTTGAACGCACACATCACAAAGGAGTTTCTGAGAATCATCTGTCTAGTTTTTATACGAAGATATTTCCTTTTCTACCATTGACTTCAAAGCGGCTGAAATCTCCACTTGCAAATTACACAAAAAGAGTGTTTCAAGTCTACTCTGTGTAAAGCATCGTTCAACTCTGTGAGTTGAAAACACACAACACAAGGAAGTTTCTGAGAATCTTCTCTGTCTAGCAGAATATGAAGAAATCCCGTTTCCAACGAAGGCCACAAGATGTCAGAATATCCACTTACAGACTTTACAAACAGAGTGTTTCCTAACTGCTCTGTGAACAGAAAGGTTAAACTCTGTGAGTTGAACGAACACATCACAACGCAGTTTGTGGGAATGATTCTGTCTAGTTTTTATACGAAGATATTTCCTTTTCTACCATTGACCTCAAAGCGGCTGAAATCACCACTTGCCAATTGCACAAAAAGGGTGTTTCAAATCTGCTCTGTCTAAGGGAACGTTCAACTCTGTGAGTTGAATGTACACAACACAAGGAAGTTCCTGGGAATTCTTCTGTCTTGCCTTACATGAAAAAAACCCGTTTCCAACGAAGGCCTCTAAGTGGTCAAAATTTCCACGTGCAGACTTTACAAACAGAGTGTTTCCAAACCGCTGAATGAAAAGAAAAGTTAAACTCTGAGAGTTGAACGCACACATCACGCAGCAGTTTCTGAGAATGATTCTGTCTAGTTTTTAAACGAAGATATTTCCTTTTCTGCCTTTGGCCCCAAAGCGCTTGAAATCTCCACTTGCAAATTCCACAAAAACAGTGTTTCAAATCTGCTCTCTCTAAATGAAAGTTCAACTCTGTCAGTTGAATACACACAACACAAGGAAGTTACTGAGAATTCTTCTGTCTAGCATAATATGAAGAAATCCCGTTTCCAACGAAGGCCTCAAGGGGTCTGAATATCCACTTGCAGACTTTATAAACAGAGTGTTTACTAACTGCTCTATGAAAAGAAAGGTTAAACTCTGTGAGTTGAACACACACATCACAAAGGAGTTTCTGAGAATCATTCTGTCTAGTTTCTATAAGAAGATATTTCCTTTTCTGCCATTGACCTCAAAGCGGCTGAAATCTCCACTTGCAAATTCCACAAAAACATTGTTTCAAATCTGCTCTGTGTAAAGGATCGTTCAACTCTGTGAGTTGAATACACACAACACAAGGAAGTTACTGAGATTTCTTCTGTCTAGCAGAATAGGAAGAAATCCCGTTTCCAACGAAGGCCACAAGATGTCAGAATATCCACTTACAGACTTTACAAACAGAGCGTTTCCTAACTGCTCTATGAACAGAAAGGTTAAACTCTGTGAGTTGAAGAAACACATCACAACGCAGTTTGTGGGAATGATTCTGTCTAGTTTTGAAACGAAGATATTTCCTTTTCTGCCATTGACCTTAAAGCGCTTGAAATCTACACTTGCAAATTGCACAAATAGAGTGTTTCAAATCTGCTCTGTCTAAGGGAACGTTCAACTCTGTGAGTTGAATGCACACAACACAAGGAAGTTACTGGGAATTCTTCTGTCTAGCATAATATGAAGAAATCCCATTTCCAACGAAGGCCTCAAAGAGGTCTGAATATCCACTTGCAGACTTTACAAACAGAGTGTTTCCTAACTGCTCTATGAAAAGAAAAGTTAAACTCTGTGAGTTGAACGCACACATCACAAAGGAGTTTATGAGAATCATTCTGTCTAGTCTTTATACGAAGATATTGCCTTTTCTACCATTGACCTCAAAGCGGCTGAAATCTCCACTTGCAAATTCCACAAAAAGAGTGTTTCAAGTCTGCTCTCTGTAAAGGATCGTTCAACTCTGTGAGTTGAATACAGAGAACACAAGGAAGTTACTGAGAATTATTCTGTCTAGCATAATATGAAGAAATCCCGTTTCCAACGAAGGCCTCAAGAGGTCTGAATATCCACTTGCAGACTTTACAAACAGAGTGTTTCCTAACTGCTCTATGAAAAGAAAAGTTAAACTCTGTGAGTTGAACGCACACATCACAAAGGAGTTTCTGAGAATCATTCTGTCTAGTTTTTATTCGAAGATATTTCCTTTTCTGCCATTGACCTCAAAGCGGCTGAAATCTCCACTTGCAAATTCCACAAAAAGAGTGTTTCAAGTCCGCTCTGTTTAAAGGATCGTTCAACTCTGTGAGTTGAATACACACAACACAAGGAAGATTCTGAGAATTCTTCTGTCTAGCAGAATATGAAGAAATCCCGTTTCCAACGAAGGCCACAAGATGTCAGAATATCCACTTACAGAATTTACAAACAGAGTGTTTCCTAACTGCTCTATGAAAAGAAAGGTTAAACTCTGTGAGTTGAACGAACACATCACAACGCAGTTTGTGGGAATAATTCTGTCTAGTTTTGAAACGAAGATATTTCCTTTTCTGCCATTGACCTTAAAGCGCTTGAAATCTCCACTTGCCAATTGCACAAAAAGAGTGTTTGAAATCTGCTCTGTCTAAGGGAACGTTCAACTCTGTGAGTTGAATGTACACAACACAAGGAAGTTACTGGGAATTCTTCTGTCTAGGCTTACAGGAAAAAAACCCGTTTCCAACGAAGGCCTCAAAGAGGTCTGAATATCCACGTGCAGTCTTTACAAACAGAGTGTTTCCTAACTGCTCTATGAAAAGAAAGTTTTAACTCTGTGAGTTGAACGCACACATCACAAAGAAGTTTCTGAGAATCGTTCTGTCTAGTTTTTATACGAAGATATTCCCTTTTCTGCCTTTGGCCTCAAAGCGCTTGAAATCTCCACTTGCAAATTCCACAAAAAGAGTGTTTCAAATCTGCTCTGTGTAAATCAAAGTTCAACTCTGTGAGTTGAACACACACAACACAAGGAAGTTACTGGGAATTCTTCTGTCTAGCAGAATATGAAGAAATCCCGTTTCCAACGAAGGCCTAAAGGAGGTCTGAATATCCACTTGCAGACTTTACAAACAGAGTGTTTCCTAACAGCTCTATGAACAGAAAGGTTAAACTCTGTGAGTTGAACGCACACATCACAAAGGAGTTTCTAAGAATCATTCTGTCTAGTTTCTATAGGAAGATATTTCCTATTCTACCATTGACCTCAAAGCGGCTGAAATCTCCACTTGCAAATTCCACAAAAAGAGTGTTTCAAGTCTGCTCTGTGTAAAGGATCGTTCAACTCTGTGAGTTGAATACACACAACACAAGGCAGTTACTGAGAATTCTTCTGTCTAGCAGAATATGAAGAAATCCCGCTTCCAACGAAGGCCTCAAAGAAGACTGAATATCCACTTGCAGACTTTACAAACAGAGTGTTTCCCAACTGCTCTATGAAAAGAAAGGTTGAACTCTGTGAGTTGAACGCACACATCACAAAGGAGTTTCTGAGAATCATTCTGTCTAGTTTTGAAACGAAGATATTTCCTTTTCTGCCGTTGACCTTAAAGCGCTTGAAATCTACACTTGCAAATTGCACAAATAGAGTGTTTCAAATCTGCTCTGTCTAAGGGAACGTTCAACTCTGTGAGTTGAATGCACACAACACAAGGAAGTTACTGGGAATTCTTCTGTCTAGCCTTACAGGAAAAAAACCCGTTTCCAACGAAGGCCTCTAAGTGGTCAAAATATCCACGTGCAGACTTTACAAACAGAGTGTTTCCAAACTGCTGAATGAAAAGAAAAGTTAAACTCCTGAGAGTTGAACGCACACATCGCAGAGCAGTTTCTGAGAATGATTTCTGTCTAGTTTTTATACGAAGATATTTCTTTTTCTGCCTTTGGCCTCAAAGCGCTTGAAATCTCCATTTGCAAATTCCACAAAAAGAGTGTTTCAAATCTGCTCTGTGTACATGAAAGTTCAACTCTGTGAGTTGAACACACACAACACAAGGAAGTTACTGGGAATTCTTCTGTCTAGCCTTATATGAAAAAACCCATTTCCAACGAAGGCCTCAAAGAGGTCTGAATATCCACCTTCAGACTTTACAAACAGAGTGTTTCCTAACTGCTCTATGAAAAGAAAGGTTAAACTCTGTGAGTTGAGCGCACACATCTCAAAGGAGTTTCTGAGAATCATTCTGTCTAGTTTTTATAGGAAGATATTTCCTTTTCTACCTTTGACTTCAAAGCGGCTGAAATCTCCACTTGCAAATTCCACAAAAAGAGTGTTACAAGTCTGCTCTGTGTAAAGGATTGTTCAACTCTGTGAGTTGAATACACACAACACAAGGAAGTTACTGAGAATTCTTCTGTCTAGCATAGTATGAAGAAATCCCGTTTCCAAAGAAGGCCTCAAACAGGTCTGAATATCCACTTGCAGAGTTTACAAACAGAGTGTTTCCTAACTGCTCTATGAAAAGAAAGGTTAAACTCTGTGAGTTGAACGCACACATCACAAAGAAGTTTCTGAGAATCATTCTGTCTAGTTTTTATACGAAGATATTTCCTTTTCTACCATTGACCTCAAAGAGGCTGAAATCACCACTTGCCAATTGCACAAAAAGAGTGTTTCAAATCTGCTCTGTCTAAGGGAACGTTCAACTCTGTGAGTTGAATGTGCACAACACAAGGAAGTTACTGGGAATTCTTCTGTCTAGCATAATATGAAGAAATCCCGTTTCCAACGAAGGCCTCAAAGAGGTCTGAATATCAACTTGCAGACTTTACAAACAGAGTGTTTCCTAACTGCTCAATGAAAAGAAAGGTTAAACTCTGTGAGTTGAATGCACACATCACAAAGGAGTTTCTGAGAATCATTCTGTCTAGTTTCTATAGGAAGATATTTCCTATTCTACCATTGACCTCAAAGCGGCTGAAATCTCCACTTGCAAATTCCACAAAAAGAGTGTTTCAAGTCTGTTCTGTGTAAAGGATCGTTCAACTCTGTGAGTTGAATACACACAATACAAGGAAGTTACTGAGAATTCTTCTGTCTAGCCTTACATGAAAAAAACCCGTTTCCAACGAAGGCCTCAAAGAGGTCTGAATATCCACTTGCAGACTTTAAAAACAGAGTGTTTCCCAACTGCTCTATGAAAAGAAAGGTTAAACTTCTGTGAGTTGAACGCACACATCACAAAGAAGTTTCTGAGAATCATTTCTGTCTAGTCTTTATACGAAGATATTTACTTTTCTACCATTGACCTCAAAGCGGCTGAAATCTCCACTTGCAAATTCCACAAAAAGAGTGTTTCAAGTCTGCTCTGTGTAAAGGATCATTCAACTCTGTGAGTTGAATACACACAACACAAGGAAGTTACTGAGAATTCTTCTGTCTAGCAGAATATGAAGAAATCCCGTTTCCAACGAAGGCCTCAAGGAGGTCTGAATATCCACTTGCAGACTTTACAAACAGAGTGTTTCCTAACTGCTCTATGAAAAGAAAGGTTAAACTCTGTGAGTTGAAAGCACACATCACAAAGGAGTTTCTGAGAATCGTTCTGTCTAGTTTTGAAACGAAGATATTTCCTTCTCTGCCGTTGACCTTAAAGCGCTTGAAATCTACACTTGCAAATTGCACAAATAGAGTGTTTCAAATCTGCTCTGTCTAAGGGAACGTTCAACTCTGTGAGTTGAATGCACACAACACAAGGAAGTTACTGGGAATTCTTCTGTCTAGCCTTACATGAAAAAAACCCTTTTCCAACGAAGGCCTCTAAGTGGTCAAAATATCCACGTGCAGACTTTACAAACAGAGTGTTTCCAAACCGCTGAATGAAAAGAAAAGTTAAACTCTGAGAGTTGAACCCACACATCACGCAGCAGTTTCTGAGAATGATTCTGTCTAGTTTTTGTACGAAGATATTTCCTTTTCTGCCTTTGGACCCAAAGCTCTTGAAATCTCCACTTGCAAATTCCACAAAAACAGTGTTTCAAATCTGCTCTCTCTAAATGAAAGTTCAACTCTGTCAGTTGAATACACACAACACAAGGAAGTTACTGAGAATTCTTCTTTCTAGCATAATATGAAGAAATCCCGTTTCCAACGAAGGCCTCAAAGGGGTCTGAATATCCACTTGCAGACTTTATAAACAGAGTGTTTACTAACTGCTCTATGAAAAGAAAGGTTAAACTCTGTGAGTTGAACACACACATCACAAAGGAGTTTCTGAGTATCATTCTGTCTAGTTTCTATAGGAAGATATTTCCTATTCTACCATTGACCTCACAGCGGCTGAAATCTCCACTTGCAAATTCCACAAAAAGAGTGTTTCAAGTCTGCTCTGTGTAAAGGATCGTTCAACTCTGTGAGTTGAATACACACAACACAAGGAAGTTACTGAGAATTCTTCTTTCTAGCAGAATATGAAGAAATCCCGTTTCCAACGAAAGCCTCAAGGATGTCTGAATATCCACTTGCAGACAGTACAAACAGAGTGTTTCCTAACTGCTCTATGAAAAGAAAGGTTAAACTCTGTGAGTTGAACGCACACATCACAAAGGAGTTTCTGAGAATCATTCTGTCTAGTTTTGAAACGAAGATATTTCCTTTTCTGCCATTGACCTTAAAGCGCTTGAAATCTCCACTTGCCAATTGCACAAAAAGAGTGTTTCAAATCTGCTCTGTCTAAGGGAACGTTCAACTCTGTGAGTTGAATGTACACAACACAAGGAAGTTACTGGGAATTCTTCTGTCTAGCCTTATATGAAAAAAACCCGTTTCCAACAAAGGCCTCAAAGAGGGCTGAATATCCACTTGCAGACTTTACAAGCAGAGTGTTTCCTAACTGCTCTATGAAAAGAAAGGTTAAACTCTGTGAGTTGAACGCACACATCACAAAGGAGTTTCTGAGAATCATTCTGTCTAGTTTTTATAGGAAGATATTTCCTTTTCTGCCTTTGGCTTCAAAGCGCTTGAAATCTCCATTTGCAAATTCCACAAAAAGAGTGTTTCAAATCTGCTCTGTGTAAATGAAAGTTCAACTCTGTAAGTTGAATACACACAACACAAGGAAGTTACTGAGAATTCTTCTGTCTAGCCTTACATGAAAAAAACCCGTTTCCAACGAAGGCCTCAAAGAGGTCTGAATATCCACTTGCAGAGTTTACAAACAGAGTGTTTCCTAACTGCTCTATGAAAAGAAAGGTTAAACTCTGTGAGTTGAACGCACACATCACAAAGAAGTTTCTGAGAATCATTCTGTCTAGTTTTTATACGAAGATATTTCTTTTTCTACCATTTACCTCAAAGCGGCTGAAATCTCCACTTGCAAATTCCACAAAAAGAGTGTTTCAAATCTGCTCTGTGTACACCATCGTTCAACTCTGTGAGTTGAATACACACAACACAAGGAAGATTCTGAGAATTCTTCTGTCTAGCCTTACATGAAAAAAACCCGTTTCCAACGAAGACCTCTAAGTGGTCAAATTATCCACGTGCAGACTTTACAAACAGAGTGTTTCCAAACTGCTGAATGAAAAGAAAAGTTAAACACTGAGAGTTGAACGCACACATCGCAGAGCAGTTTCTGAGAATGATTCTGTCTAGTTTTTATACGAAGATATTTCCTTTTCTGCCTTTGGCCCCAAAGCGCTTGAAATCTCCACTTGCAAATTCCACAAAAACAGTGTTTCAAATCAGCTCTCTCTAAATGAAAGTTCAACTCTGTCAGTTGAATACACACAACACAAGGAAAGTTACTGAGAATTCTTCTGTCTAGCCTTACAGGAAAAAAACCCGTTTCCAACGAAGGCCTCTAAGTGGTCAAAATATCCACGTGCAGACTTTACAAACAGAGTGTTTCCAAACTGCTGAATGAAAAGAAAAGTTAAACTCCTGAGAGTTGAACGCACACATCGCAGAGCAGTTTCTGAGAATGATTTCTGTCTAGTTTTTATACGAAGATATTTCCTTTTCTGCCTTTGGCCCCAAATCGCTTGAAATCTCCACTTGCAAATTCCACCAAAACAGTGTTTCAAATCTGCTCTCTCTAAATGAAAGTTCAACTCTGTCAGTTGAATACACACAACACAAGGAAGTTACTGAGAATTCTTCTGTATAGCAGAATATGAAGAAATCCCGTTTCCAACGAAGGCCTCAAGGAGGTCTGAATATCCACTTGCAGACTTTACAAACAGAGTGTTTCCTAACTGCTCTATGAAAAGAAACGTTAAACTCTGTGAGTTGAACGCAGACATCACAAAGGAGTTTCTGAGAATCACTCTGTCTAGTTTTTATACGAAGATATTTCCTTTTCTACCATGGACCTCAAAGCGGCTGAAATCTCCACTTGCAAATTCCACAAAAAGTGTGTTTCAAGTCCGCTCTGTGTAAAGGATCGTTCAACTCTGTGAGTTGAATACACACAACACAAGGAAGTTACTGAGAATTCTTCTGTGTAGCAGAATATGAAGAAATCCTGTTTCCAACGAAGGCCACAAGATGTCAGAATATCCACTTACAGAATTTACCAACAGAGTGTTTCCTAACTGCTCTATGAAAAGAAAGGTTAAACTCTGTGAGTTGAACGAACACATCACAACGCAGTTTGTGGGAATGATTCTGTCTAGTTTTGAAACGAAGATATTTCCTTTTCTGTCATTGACCTTAAAGCGCTTGAAATCTACACTTGCAAATTGCACAAATAGAGTGTTTCAAATCTGCTCTCTCTAAGGGAACGTTCAACTCTGTGAGTTGAATGCACACAACACAAAGAAGTTACTGGGAATTCTTCTGTCTAGCCTTACAGGAAAAAAACCCGTTTCCAACGAAGGCCTCTAAGTGGTCAAAATATCCACGTGCAGACTTTACAAACAGAGTGTTTCCACACTGCTGAATGAAAAGAAAAGTTAAACTCTGAGAGTTGAACGCACACATCGCAGAGCAGTTTCTGAGAATGATTCTGTCTAGTTTTGAAACGAAGATATTTCCTTTTCTACCATTGACCTCAACGCGGCTGAAATCTCCATTTGCAAATTCCACAAAAAGAGTGTTTCAAATCTGCTCTGTTTAAATGAAAGTTCAACTCTGTGAGTTGAACACACACAACACAAGGAAGTTACTGGGAATTCTTCTGTCTAGCCTTATATGAAAAAAACCCGTTTCCAACGAAGGCCTCAAAGAGGTCTGAATATCCTCTTGCAGACTTTACAAACAGAGTGTTTCCTAACAGCTCTATGAAAAGAAAGGTTAAACTCTGTGAGTTGGGCACACACGTCACAAAGGAGTTTCTGAGAATCATTCTGTCTAGTTTCTATAGGAAGATATTTCCTATTCTACCATTGACCTCAAAGCGGCTGAAATCTCCACTTGCAAATTCCACAAAAAGAGTGTTTGAAGTCTGCTCTGTGTAAAGGATCGTTGAACTCTGTGAGTTGAGTACACACAACACAAGGAAGTTACTGAGAATTCTTCTGTCTAGCATAATATGAAGAAATCCCGTTTCCAACGAAGGCCTCAAGCAGGTCTGAATATCCACTTGCAGACTTTACAACCAGAGTGTTTCCTAACTGCTCTATGAAAAGAAAGGTTAAACTCTGTGAGTTGAACGCACACATCACAAAGGAGTTTCTGAGAATCATTCTGTCTAGTTTTGAAACGAAGATATTTCCTTTTCTGCCATTGACCTTAAAGCGCTTGAAATCTACACTTGCAAATTGCACAAATAGAGTGTTTCAAATCTGCTCTGACTAAGGGAACGTTCAACTCTGTGAGTTGAATGCACACAACACAAGGAAGTTACTGGGAATTCTTCTGTCTAGCCTTACAGGAAAAAAACCCGTTTCCAACGAAGGCCTGTAAGTGGTCAAAATATCCACGTGCAGACTTTACAAACACAGTGTTTCCACACTGCTGAATGAAAAGAAAAGTTAAACTCTGAGAGTTGAACGCACACATCGCAGAGCAGTTTCTGAGAATGATTCTGTCTAGTTTTGAAACGAAGATATTTCCTTTTCTACCGTTGACCTCAACGCGGCTGAAATCTCCATTTGCAAATTCCACAAAAAGAGTGTTTCAAATCTGCTCTGTGTAAATGAAAGTTCAACTCTGTGAGTTGAACACACACAACACAAGGAAGTTACTGGGAATTCTTCTGTCTAGCCTTATATGAAAAAAACCCGTTTCCAACGAAGGCCTCAAAGAGGTCTGAATATCCTCTTGCAGACTTTACAAACAGAGTGTTTGCTAACTGCTCTATGAAAAGAAAGTTTAAACCCTGTGAGTTGGACACACACATCACTAAGGAGTTTCTGAGAATCATTCTGTCTGGTTTTGAAACGAAGATATTTCCTTTTCTGCCATTGACCTTAAAGCGCTTGAAATCTCCATTTGCCAATTGCACAAAAAGAGTGTTTCAAATCTGCTCTGTCTAAGGGAACGTTCAACTCTGTGAGTTGAATGTACACAACACAAGGAAGTTACTGGGAATTCTTCTGTCTAGCCTTACATGAAAAAAACCCGTTTCCAACGAAGGCCTCTAAGTGGTCAAATTATCCACGTGCAGACTTTACAAACAGAGTGTTTCCAAACTGCTGAATGAAAAGAAAAGTTAAACTCTAAGAGTTGAACGCACACATCGCAGAGCAGTTTCTGAGAATGATTCTGTCTAGTTTTGAAACGGAGTTATTTCCTTTTCTGCCTTTGGCCTCAAAGCGCTTGAAATCTCCACTTGCAAATTCCACAAAAAGAGTGTTTCAAATCTGCTCTGTGTACATGAAAGTTCAACTCTGTGAGTTGAACACACACAACACAAGGAAGTTACTGGGAATTCTTCTGTCTAGCCTTATATGAAAAAAACCCGTTTCCAACGAAGGCCTCAAAGAGGTCTGAATATCCAGTTGCAGACTTTACAAACAGAGTGTTTCCTAACTGCTCTATGAAAAGAAAGGTCAAACTCTGTGAGTTGAACGCACACATCACAAAGGAGTTTCTGAGAATCATTCTATCTAGTTTCTATATTAAGATATTTCCTTTTCTACCATTGACCTCAAAGCGGCTGAAATCTCCACTTGCAAATTACACAAAAAGAGTGTTTCAAGTCTACTCTGTGTAAAGCATCGTTCAACTCTGTGAGTTGAAAACACACAACACAAGGAAGTTTCTGAGAATTCTTCTGTCTAGCAGAATATGAAGAAATCCCGTTTCCAACGAAGGCCACAAGATGTCAGAATATCCACTTACAGAATTTACAAACAGACTGTTTCCTAACTGCTCTATGAAAAGAAAGGTTAAACTCTGTGAGTTGAACGAACACATCACAACGCAGTTTGTGGGAATGATTCTGTCTAGTTTTGAAACGAAGATATTTCCTTTTCTTCCATTGACCTTAAAGCGCTTGAAATCTCCACTTGCCAATTGCACAAAAAGAGTGTTTCAAATCTGCTCTGTCTAAGGGAACGTTCAAATCTGTGAGTTGAATGCACACAACACAAGGAAGTTACTGGGAATTCTTCTGTCTAGCCTTACATGAAAAAAACCCGTTTCCAACGAAGGCCTCTAAGTGGTCAAAACATCCACTTGCAGACTTTACAAACAGAGTGTTTCCAAACTGCTGAATGAAAAGAAAAGTTAAACTCTGAGAGTTGAACGCACACATCGCAGAGCAGTTTCTGAGAATGATTCTGTCTAGTTTTTATACGAAGATATTTCCTTTTCTGCCTTTGGCCTCAAAGCGCATGAAATCTACCTTTGCAAATTCCACAAAAAGAGTGTTTCAAATCTGCTCTGTCTAAATGAAAGTTCAACTCTGTCAGTTGAATACACACAACACAAGGAAGTTACTGAGAATTCTTCTGTCTAGCAGAATATGAAGAAATACCGTTTCCAACGAAGGCCTCAAGGAGGTCTGAATATCCACTTCCAGACTTTACAAACAGAGTGTTTCCTAACTGCTCTATGAACAGAAAGGTTAAACTCTGTGAGTTGAACGCACACATCACAAAGGAGTTTCTGAGAATCATTCTGTCTAGTTTTTATACGAAGATATTTCCTTTTCTACCATTGACCTCAAAGCGGCTGAAACCTCCAATTGCAATTTCCACAAAAAGAGTGTTTCAAGTCTGCTCTGTGTAAAGGATCGTTCAACTCTGTGAGTTGAATACACACAACACAAGGAAGTTACTGAGAATTCTTCTGTCTAGCAGAATATGAAGAAATCCCGTTTCCAACGAAGGCCTCAAAGAGGTCTGAATATCCACTTGCAGACTTTACAAACAGAGTGTTTCCTAACTGCTCTATGAAAAGAAAGGTTAAACTCTATGAGTTGAACGCACACATCACAAAGGAGTTTCTGAGAATCGTTCTGTCTAGTTTTGAAAGGAAGATATTTCCTTTTCAGCCGTTGACCTTAAAGCGCTTGAAATCTACACTTGCAAATTGCAAAAATAGGCTGTTTCAAATCTGCTCTGTCTAAGGGAACGTTCAACTCTGTGAGTTGAATGCACACAACACAAGGGAAGTTACTGAGAATTCTTCTGTCTAGCCTTACATGCAAAAAACCCGTTTCCAACGAAGGCCTCTAAGTGGTCAAAATATCCACGTGCAGACTTTACAAACAGAGTGTTTCCAAACCGCTGAATGAAAAGAAAAGTTAAATTCTGAGAGTTGAACGCGCACATCACGCAGCAGTTTCTGAGAATGATTCTGTCTAGTTTTGAAACGAAGACATTTCCTTTTCTGCCTTTGGCCTCAAAGCGCTTGAAATCTCCATTTGCAAATTCCACAAAAAGAGTGTTTCAAATCTGCTCTGTGTAAATGAAAGTTCAACTCTGTGAGTTGAACACACACAACACAAGGAAGTTACTGGGAATTCTTCTGTCTAGCATAACATGAAGAAATCCCGTTTCCAACGAAGGCTTCAAAGAGGTCTGAATATCCCCTTGCAGACTTTACAAACAGAGTGTTTCCTAACTGCTCTATGAAAAGAAAGGTTAAACTCTGTGAGTTGAACGCACACATCGCAAAGGAGTTTCTGAGAATCATTCTGTCTAGTTTCTATAGGAAGATATTTCCTATTCTACCATTGACCTCAAAGCGGCTGAAATCTCCACTTGCAAATTCCACAAAAAGAGTGTTTCAAGTCTGCTCTGTGTAAAGGATCGTGCAACTCTGTGAGTTGAATACACACAACACAAGGAAGTTACTGAGAATTCTTCTGTCTAGCATAGTATGAAGAAATCCCGTTTCCAACGAAGGCCACAAGATGTCAGAATATCCACTTACAGAATTGACAAACAGACTGTTTCCTAACTGCTCTATGAAAAGAAAGGTTAAACTCTGTGAGTTGAACGCACACATCACAAAGAAGTTTCTGAGAATCATTCTGTCTAGTTTTGAAACGAAGATATTTCCTTTCCTGCCATTGACCTTAAAGCGCTTGAAATCTACATTTGCAAATTGCACAAATAGAGTGTTTCAAATCTGCTCTGTCTAAGGGAACGTTCAACTCTGTGAGTGGAATGCACACAACACAAGGAAGTTACTGGGAATTCTTCTGTCTAGCCTTACATGAAAAAATCCCGTTTCCAACGAAGGCCTCTAAGTGGTCAAAATATCCACGTGCAGACTTTACAAACAGAGTGTTTCCAAACCGCTGAATGAAAAGAAAAGTTAAACTCTGTGAGTTGAACGCACACATCAAGCAGCAGTTTCTGAGAATGATTCTGTCTAGTTTTTATACGAAGATATTTCCTTTTCTGCATTTGGCCCCAAATCGCTTGAAATCTCCACCTGCAAATTCCACAAAAACAGTGTTTCAAATCTGCTCTCTCTAAATCAAAGTTCAACTCTGTCAGTTGAATACACACAACACAAGGAAGTTACTGAGAATTCTTCTGTCTAGCCTTATATGAAAAAAACCCGTTTCCAACGAAGGCCTCAAAGAGGTCTGAATATCCACTTGCAGACTTTACAAACAGAGTGTTTCCTAACTGCTCTATGTAAAGAAAGGTTAAACTCTGTGAGTTGAACGGCACACATCACAAAGGAGTTTCTGAGAATCATTCTGTCTAGTTTTTATACGAAGATATTTCCTTTTCTACCATTGACCTCAACGCGGCTGAAATCTCCACTTGCAAATTCCACAAAAAGAGTGTTTCAAGTCCGCTCTGTGTAAAGGATCGTTCAACTCTGTGAGTTGAATACACACAACACAAGGAAGTTACTGAGAATTCTTCTGTCTAGCACAGTATGAAGAAATCCCGTTTCCAACGAAGGCCTCAAAGAGGTCTGAATATCCACTTGCAGAGTTTACAAACAGAGTGTTTCCTAACTGCTCTATGAAAAGAAAGGTTAAACTCTGTGAGTTGAACACACTCATCACAAAGGAGTTTCTGAGAATCATTCTGTCTAGTTTTGAAACGAAGAAATTTCCTTTTCTGCCATTGACCTTAAAGCGCTTGAAATCTACACTTGCAAATTGCACAAATAGAGTGTTTCAAATCTGCTCTGTCTAAGGGAACGTTCAACTCTGTGAGTTGAATGCACACAACACAAGGAAGTTACTGGGAATTCTTCTGTCTAGCGTTACAGGAAAAAAACCCGTTTCCAACGAAGGCCTCTAAGTGGTCAAAATATCCACGTGCAGACTTTACAAACAGAGTGTTTCCAAACTGCTGACTGAAAAGAAAAGTTAAACTCTAAGAGTTGAACGCACACATCGCAGAGCAGTTTCTGAGAATGATTCTGTCTAGTTTTGAAACGAAGATATTTCCTTTTCTACCATTGACCTCAACGCGGCAGAAATCTCCATTTGCAAATTCCACAAAAAGAGGGTTTCAAATCTGCTCTGTGTAAATGAAAGTTCAACTCTGTGAGTTGAACACACACAACACAAGGAAGTTACTGGGAATTCTTCTGTCTAGCCTTATATGAAAAAAACCCGTTTCCAACGAAGGCCTCAAAGAGGTCTGAATATCCTCTTGCAGACTTTACAAACAGAGTGTTTCCTAACTGCTCTATGAAAAGAAAGGTTAAACTCTGTGAGTTGGACACACACATCACAAAGGAGTTTCTGAGAATCATTCTGTCTAGTTTTTATACGAAGATATTTCCTTTTCTACCATTGACCTCAACGCGGCTGAAATCTCCACTTGCAAATTCCACAAAAAGTGTGTTTCATGTCCGCTCTGTGTAAAGGATCGTTCAACTCTGTGAGTTGAATACACACAACACAAGGAAGTTACTGAGAATTCTTCTGTCTAGCACAGTATGAAGAAATCCCGTTTCCAACGAAGGCCTCAAAGAGGTCTGAATATCCACTTGCAGACTTTACAAACAGAGTGTTTCCTAACTGCTCTATGAAAAGAAAGGTTAAACTCTGTGAGTTGAACGAACACGTCACAATGAAGTTTCTGAGAATCATTCTGTCTAGTTTTGAAACGAAGATATTTCCTTTTCTGCCGTTGACCTTAAAGCGCTTGAAATCTACACTTGCAAATTGCACAAATAGAGTGTTTCAAATCTGCTCTGTCTAAGGGAACGTTCAACTCTGTGAGTTGAATGCACACAACACAAGGAAGTTACTGGGAATTCTTCTGTCTAGCATAATATGAAGAAAACCCGTTTCGAACGAAGGCCTCAAAGAGGTCTGAATATCCACTTGCAGACTTTACAAACAGAGTGTTTCCTAACTGCTCTATGAAAAGAAAGGTTAAACTCTGTGAGTTGAACGCACACATCACAAAGGAGATTCTGAGAATCATTCTGTCTACTTTTTATATGAAGATATTTCCTTTTCTACCATTGACCTCAAAGCGGCTGAAATCTCCACTTACAAATTCCACAAAAAGAGTGTCTCAAGTCTGCTCTGTGTAAACGATCGTTCAACTCTGTGAGTTGAATACACACAACACAAGGAAGTTTCTGAGAATTCTTTTGTATAGCAGAATATGAAGAAATCCCGTTTCCAATGAAGGCCTCAAGGAGGTCTGAATATCCACTTGCAGACTTTACAAACAGAGTGTTTCCTAACTGCTCTATGAAAAGAAAGGTTAAACTCTGTGAGTTGAACGCAGACATCACAAAGGAGTTTCTGAGAATCACTCTGTCTAGTTTTTATACGAAGATATTTCCTTTTCTACCATTGACCTCAAATCGGCTGAAATCTCCACTTGCAAATTCCACAAAACGAGTGTTTCAAGTCCGCTCTGTGTAAAGGATCGTTCGACTCTGTGAGTTGAATACACACAACACAAGGAAGTTACTGAGAATTCTTCTGTCTAGCAGAATATGAAGAAATCCCGTTTCCAACGAAGGCCACAAGATGTCAGAATATCCACTTACAGACTTTACAAACAGAGTGTTTCCTAACTGCTCTATGTACAGAAAGGTTAAACTCTCTGAGTTGAACGAACACATCACAACGCAGTTTGTGGGAATGATTCTGTCTAGTTTTGAAACGAAGATATTTCCTTTTCTGCCGTTGACCTTAAAGAGCTTGAAAACTACACTTGTAAATTGCACAAATAGAGTGTTTCAAATCTGCTCTGTCTAAGGGAACGTTCAACTCTGTGAGTTGAATGCACACAACACAAGGAAGTTACTGGGAATTCTTCTGTCTAGCCTTACATGAAAAAAACCCGTTTCCAACGAAGGCCTCTAAGTGGTCAAGTTATCCACGTGCAGACTTTACAAACAGAGTGTTTCCAAACTGCTGAATGAAAAGAAAAGTTAAACTCTGAGAGTTGAACGCACACATCGCAGAGCAGTTTCTTAGAATGATTCTGTCTAGTTTTTATACGAAGATATTTCCTTTTCTGCCTTTGGTCTCAAAGCGCTTGAAATCTCCACTTGCAAATTCCACAAAAAGAGTGTTTCAAATCTGCTCTGTGTAAATGAAAGTTCAACTCTGTGAGTTGAACACACACAACACAAGGAAGTTACTGGGAATTCTTCTCTCTAGCAGAATAAGAAGAAATCCCGTTTCCAACGAAGGCCTCAAAGAGTTCTGAATATCCACTTGCAGACTTTACAAACAGAGTGTTTCCTAACAGCTCTATGAAAAGAAAGGTTAAACTCTGTGAGTTGAACGCACACATCACAAAGGAGTTTCTGAGAATCATTCTGTCTAGTTTTTCTACGAAGATATTTCCTTTTCTACTATTGACCTCAAAGCGGCTGAAATCTCCTCTTGCAAATTCCACAAAAAGAGTGTTTCAAGTCTGCTCTGTGTAAAGGATCGTTCAACTCTGTGAGTTGAATACACACAACACAAGGAAGTTACTGAGAATTCTTCTGTCTAGCATAGTATGGAGAAATCCCGTTTCCATCGAAGGCCTCAAAGAGGTCTGAATATCCACTTGCAGAGTTTACAAACAGAGTGTTTCCTAACTGCTGTATGAAAAGAAAGGTTAAACTCTGTGAGTTGAACGAACACATCACAACGCAGTTTGTGGGAATGATTCTGTCTAGTTTTGAAACGAAGATATTTCCTTTTCTGCCGTTGACCTTAAAGCGCTTGAAATCTACACTTGCAAATTGCACAAATAGAGTGTTTCAAATCTGCTCTGTCTAAAGGAACGTTCAACTCTGTGAGTTGAATGCACACAACACAAGGAAGTTACTGGGAATTCTTCTGTCTAGCCTTACATGAAAAAAACCCGTTTCCAACGAAGGCCTCTAAGTGGTCAAATTATCCACGTGCAGACTTTACAAACAGAGTGTTTCCAAACTGCTGAATGAAAAGAAAAGTTAAACTCTGAGAGTTGAACGCACACATCGCAGAGCAGTTTCTGAGAATGATTCTGTCTAGTTTTGAAACGAAGATATTTCCTTTTCTGCCTTTGGCCTCAAAGCGCTTGAAATCTCCACTTGCAAATTCCACAAAATGAGTGTTTCAAATCTGCTCTGTGTAAATGAAAGTTCAACTCTGTGAGTTGAACACACACAACACAAGGAAGTTACTGGGAATTCTTCTGTTTAGCCTTATATGTAAAAAACCCGTTTCCAACGAAGGCCTCAAAGAGGTCTGAATATCCACTTGCAGACTTTACAAACAGAGTGTTTCCTAACTGCTCTATGAAAAGAAAGGTTAAACTCTGTGAGTTGAACGCACACATCACAAAGGAGTTTCTGAGAATCATTCTGTCTAGTTTTTATACGAAGATATTTCCTATTCTACCATTGACCTCAAAGCGGCTGAAATCTCCACTTGCAAATTCCACAAGAAGAGTGTTACAAGTATGCTCTGTGTAAAGGATCGTTCAACTCTGTGAGTTGAATACACACAGCACAAGGAAGTTACTGAGAATTCTTATGTCTAGCAGAATATGAAGAAATCCCGTTTCCAACGAAGGCCCCAAGGAGGTCTGAATATCCACTTGCAGACTTTACAAACAGAGTGTTTCCTAACTGCTCTATGAAAAGAAAGGTTAAACTCGGTGAGTTGAACGCACACATCACAAAGGAGTTTATGAGAATCATTCTGTCTAGTTTTGAAACGAAGATATTTCCTTTTCTGCCATTGACCTTAAAGCGCTTGAAATCTACACTTGCAAATTGCACAAATAGAGTGTTTCAAATCTGCTCTGTCTAAGGGAACGTTCAACTCTGTGAGTTGAATGCACACAACACAAGGAAGTTACTGGGAATTCTTCTGTGTAGCCTTACATGAAAAAAAACCCGTTTCCAACGAAGGCCTCTAAGTGGTCAAAATATCCACGTGCAGACTTTACAAACAGAGTGTTTCCAAACCGCTGAATGAAAAGAAAAGTTAAACTCTGAGAGTTGAACGCACACATCACGCAGCAGTTTCTGAGAATGATTCTGTCTAGTTTTTATACGAAGATATTTCCTTTTCTGCCTTTGGCCTCACAGCGCTTGAAATCTCCACTTGCAAATTCCACAAAAAGAGTGTTTCAAATCTGCTCTGTGTAAATGAAAGTTCAACTCTGTGAGTTGAACACACACAACACAAGGAAGTTACTGGGAATTCTTCTGTCTAGCATAATATGAAGAAATCCCGTTTCCAACGAAGGCCTCAAAGGGGTCTGAATATCCACTTGCAGACTGTATAAACAGAGTATTTACTAACTGCTCTATGAAAAGAAAGGTTAAACTCTGTGAGTTGAACACACACATCACAAAGGAGTTTCTGAGAATCATTCTGTCTAGTCTTCATACGAAGATATTTCCTTTTCTACCATTGACCTCAAAGCGGCTGAAATCTCCACTTGCAAATTCCACAAAAAGAGTGTTTCAAGTCTGCTCTGTGTAAAGGATCGTTCAACTCTGTGAGTTGAATACACACAACACAAGGAAGTTACTGAGAATTCTTCTGTCTAGCAGAATATGAAGAAATCCCGTTTCCAACGAAGGCCACAAGATGTCAGAATATCCACTTACAGAATTTACAAACAGACTGTTTCCTAACTGCTCTATGAAAAGAAAGGTTAAACTCTGTGAGTTGAACGAACTCATGACAACGCAGTTTGTGGGAATGATTCTGTCTAGTTTTGAAACGAAGATATTTCCTTTTCTGCCATTGACCTTAAAGCGCTTGAAATCTACATTTGCAAATTGCACAAATAGAGTGTTTCAAATCTGCTCTGTCTAAGGGAACGTTCAACTCTGTGAGTTGAATGCACACAACACAAGGAAGTTACTGGGAATTCTTCTGTCTAGCCTTACAGGAAAAAAAACCGTTTCCAACGAAGGCCTCTGAGTGGTCAAAATATCCACGTGCAGACTTTACAAACAGAGTGTTTCCAAACTGCTGAATGAAAAGAAAAGTTAAACTCTGAGAGTTGAACGCACACATCGCAGAGCAGTTTCTGAGAGTGATTCTGTCTAGTTTTTATACGAAGATATTTCCTTTTCTGCCTTTGGCCTCAAAGCGCTTGAAATCTCCAATTGCAAATTCCACAAAAAGAGAGTTTCAAATCTGCTCTGTGTAAATAAAAGTTCAACTCTGTGAGTTGAACACACACAACACAAGGAAGTTACTGGGAATTCTTCTGCCTAGCATAATATGAAGAAATCCCGTTTCCAACGAAGGCCTCAAGGAGGTCTGAATATCCACTTGCAGACTTTACAAACAGAGTGTTTCCCAACTGCTCTATGAAAAGAAAGGTTAAACTGTGTGAGTTGAACGCACACATCACAAAGGAGTTTCTGAGAATCATTCTGTCTAGTTTCTATAGGAAGATATTTCCTATTCTACCATTGACCTCAAAGCGGCTGAAATCTCCACTTGCAAATTCCACAAAAAGAGTGTTTCAAGTCTGCTCTGTGTAAAGGATCGTTCAACTCTGTGACTTGAATACACACAACACAAGGCAGTTACTGAGAATTCTTCTGTCTAGCAGAATATGAAGAAATCCCGTTTCCAACGAAGGCCACAAGATGTCAGAATATCCACTTACAGAATTTACAAACAGACTGTTTCCTAACTGCTCTATGAAAAGGAAGGTTAAACTCTGTGAGTTGAACGAACACATCACAACGCAGTTTGTGGGAATGATTCTGTCTAGTTTTGAAACGAAGATATTTCCTTTTCTGCCATTGACCTTAAAGCGCTTGAAATCTCCACTTGCCAATTGCACAAAAAGAGTGTTTCAAATCTGCTCTGTCTAAGGGAACGTTCAACTCTGTGAGTTGAATGTACACAACACAAGGAAGTTACTGGGAATTCTTCTGTCTAGCCTTACAAGAATAAAACCCGTTTCCAACGAAGGCCTCTAAGTGGTCAAAATATCCACGTGCAGACTTTACAAAGAGAGTGTTTCCAAACTGCTGAATGAAAAGAAAAATTAAACTCTGAGAGTTGAATGCACACATCGCAGAGCAGTTTCTGAGAATGATTCTGTCTAGTTTTGAAACGAAGATATTTCCTTTTCTGCCTTTGGCCTCAAAGCGCTTGAAATCTCCACTTGCAAATTCCACAAAAAGAGTGTTTCAAATCTGCGCTGTGTAAATGAAAGTTCAACTCTGTGAGTTGAACACACACAACACAAGGAAGTTACTGGGAATTCTTCTGTCTAGCCTTATATGAAAAAAACCCGTTTCCAACGAAGGCCTCAAAGAGGTCTGAATATCCACTTGCAGACATTACAAACAGAGTGTTTCCTAACTGCTCTATGAAAAGAAAGGTTAAACTCTGTGAGTTGAACGCACACATCACAAAGGAGTTTCTGAGAATCATTCTGTCTAGTTTCTATAGGAAGATATTTCCTATTCTACCATAGACCTCAAAGAGGCTGAAATCTCCACTTGCAAATTCCACAAAAAGAGTGTTTCAAGACTGTTCTGTGTAAAGGATCATTCAACTCTGTGAGTTGAATACACACAACACAAGGAAGTTACTGAGAATTCTTCTTTCTTGCAGAATATGAAGAAATCCCGTTTCCAACGAAAGCCTCAAGGATGTCTGAATATCCACTTGCAGACATTACAAACAGAGTGTTTCCTAACTGCTCTATGAAAAGAAAGGTTAAACTCTGTGAGTTGAACGCACACATCACAAAGGAGTTTCTGAGAATCATTCTGTCTAGTTTTGAAACGAAGATATTTCCTTTTCTGCCTTTGGCCTCAAAGCGCTTGACATCTCCACTTGCAAATTCCACAAAAAGAGTGTTTCAAATCTGCTCTGTCTAAGGGAACGTTCAACTCTGTGAGTTGAATGTACACAACACAAGGAAGTTACTGTGAATTCTTCTGTCTAGCCTTACAGGAAAAAACCCGTTTCCAACGAAGGCCTCTAAGTGGTCAAAATATCCACGTGCAGACTTTACAAACAGAGTGTTTCCAAACTGCTGAATGAAAAGAAAAGTTAAACTCTGAGAGTTGAACGCACACATCGCAGAGCAGTTTCTGAGAATGATTCTGTCTAGTTTTTATACGAAGATATTTCCTTTTCTGCCTTTGGCCCCAAAGCGCTTGAAATCTCCACTTGCAAATTCCACAAAAACAGTGTTACAAATCTGCTCTCTCTAAATGAAAGTTCGACTCTGTCAGTTGAATACACACAACACAGGGAAGTTACTGAGAATTCTTCTGTCTAGCAGAACATGAAGAAATCCCGCTTCCAACGAAGGCCTCAAGGAGGTCTGAATATCCACTTGCAGACTTTACAAACAGAGTGTTTCCTAACTGCTCTATGAAAAGAAAGGTTAAACTCTGTGAGTTGAACGCACACATCACAAAGGAGTTTCTGAGAATCATTCTGTCTACTTTCTATAGGAAGATATTTCCTATTCTACCATTGACCTCAAAGCGGCTGAAATCTCCACTTGCAAATTCCACAAAAAGAGTGTTTCAAGTCTACTCTGTGTAAAGGATCGTTCAACTCTGTGAGTTGAATACACACAACACAAGGAAGTTACTGAGAATTCTTCTGTCTAGCATAATATGAAGAAATCCCGTTTCCAACGAAGGCCTCAAGGAGGTCTGAATATCCACTTGCAGACTTTACAAACAGAGTGTTTCCTAACTGTTCTATGAAAAGAAAGGTTAAACTCTGTGAGTTGAACGCACACATCACAAAGGAGTTTCTCAGAATCATTCTGTCTAGTTTCTATAGGAAAATATTTCCTATTCTACCATTGACCTCAAAGCGGCTGAAATCTCCACTTGCAAATTCCACAAAAAGAGTGTTTCAAGTCTGCTCTGTGTAAAGGATCGTTCAACTCTCTGAGTTGAATACACACAACACAAGGAAGTTACTGAGAATTCTTCTGTCTAGCCTTACATGAAAAAAACCCGTTTCCAACGAAGACCTCTAAGTGGTCAAAATATCCACGTGCAGACTTTACAAACAGAGTGTTTCCAAACCGCTGAATGAAAAGAAAAGTTAAACTCTGAGAGTTGAACGCACACATCACGCAGCAGTTTCTGAGAATGATTCTGTCTAGTTTTTATACGAAGATATGTCCTTTTCTGCCTTTGGCCCCAAAGCGCTTGAAATCTCCACTTGCAAATTCCACAAAAAGAGTGTTTCAAGTCTGCTCTGTGTAAAGGATCGTTCAACTCTGTGAGTTGAATACACACAACACAAGGAAGTTACTGAGAATTCTTCTGTCTAGCAGAATATGAAGAAATCCCGTTTTCAACGAAGGCCTCAAAGAGGTCTGAATATCCACTTGCAGACTTTACAAACAGAGTGTTTCCTAACTGCTCTATGAAAAGAAAGGTTAAACTCTGTGAGTTGAACGCAGACATCACAAAGGAGTTTCTGAGAATCACTCTGTCTAGTTTTTATACGAAGATATTTCCTTTTCTACCATTGACCTCAAAGCGGCTGAAATCTCCACTTGCAAATTCCACAAAAAGAGTGTTTCAAATCTGCTCTGTGTAAACCATCGTTCAACTCTGTGAGTTGAATACACACAACACAAGGACGATTCTGAGAATTCTTCTGTCTAGCACAATATGAAGAAATCCCGTTTCCAACGAAGGCCTCAAGGAGGTCTGAATATCCACTTGCAGACTTTACAAACAGAGTGTTTCCTAACTGCTCTATGAACAGAAAGGTTAAACTCTGTGAGTTGAACGCACACATCACAAAGGAGTTTCTGAGAATCATTCTGTCTAGTTTTGAAACGAAGATATTTCCTTTTCTGCCGTTGACCTTAAAGCGCTTGAAATCTACACTTGCAAATTGCACAAATAGAGTGTTTCAAATCTGCTCTGTCTAAGGGAACGTTCAACTCTGTGAGTTGAATGCACACAACACAAGGAAGTTACTGGGAATTCTTCTGTCTAGCCTTACATGAAAAAAACCCGTTTCCAAGGAAGGCCTCTAAGTGGTCAAAATATCCACGTGCAGACTTTATAAACAGAGTGTTTCCAAACCGCTGAATGAAAAGAAAAGTTAAACTCTGAGAGTTGAACGCACACATCACGCAGCAGTTTCTGAGAATGATTCTGTCTAGTTTTTATACGAAGATATTTCCTTTTCTGCCTTTGGCCCCAAAGCGCTTGAAATCTCCACTTGCAAATTGCACAAAAACAGTGTTTCAAATCTGCTCTCTCTAAATGAAAGTTCAACTCTGTCAGTTGAATACACACAACACAAGGAAGTTACTGAGAATTCTTCTGTCTAGCATAATATGAAGAAATCCCGTTTCCAACGAAGACCTCAAAGAGGTCTGAATATCCACTTGCAGAATTTATAAACAGAGTGTTTACTAACTGCTCTATGAAAAGAAACGTTAAACTCTGTGAGTTGAACACACACATCACAAAGGAGTTTCTGAGAATCATTCTGTGTAGTTTTTTTATGAAGATATTTCCTTTTCTACCATTGACCTCAAAGTGGCTGAAATCTCCACTTGCAAAATCCACAAAAATATTGTTTCTAACCTGCTCTGTGTAAAGGATCTTTCAACTCTGTGAGTTGAATGCACACAACACAAGGAAGTTACTGAGAATTCTTCTGTCTAGCAGAATATGAAGAAATCCCGTTTCCAACGAAGGCTACAAGATGTCAGAATATCCACTTACAGACTTTACAAACAGAGTGTTTCCTAACTGCTCTATGAACAGAAAGGTTAAACTCTGTGAGTTGAACGAACACATCACAACGCAGTTTGTGGGAATGATTCTGTCTAGTTTTGAAACGAAGATATTTCCTTTTCTGCCATTGACCTTAAAGCGCTTGAAATCTCCATTTGCCAATTGCACAAAAAGAGTGTTTCAAATCTGCTCTGTCTAAGGGAACGTTCAACTCTGTGAGTTGAATGTACACAACACAAGGAAGTTACTGGGAATTCTTCTGTCTAGCCTTACATGAAAAAAAACCCGTTTCCAAAGAAGGCCTCTAAGTGGTCAAAATATCCACGTGCAGACTTTACAAACAGAGTGTTTCCAAACTGCTGAATGAAAAGAAAAGTTAAACTCTTAGAGTTGAACGCACACATCACAGAGCAGTTTCTGAGAATGATTCTGTCTAGTTTTTATACGAAGATATTTCCTTTTCTGCGTTTGGCCCCAAAGCGCTTGAAGTCACCATTTGCAAATTCCACAAAAACAGTGTTTCAAATCTGCTCTCTCTAAATGAAAGTTCAACTCTGTCAGTTGAATACACACAACACAAGGAAGTTACTGAGAATTCTTCTGTCTAGCAGAATATGAAGAAATCCCGTTTCCAACGAAGGCCTCAAAGAGGTCTGAATATCCACTTGCAGACTTTACAAACAGAGTGTTTCCTAACTGCTCTATGAAAAGAAAGGTTAAACTCTGTGAGTTCAACGCACACATCACAAAGGAGTTTCTGAGAATCGTTCTGTCTAGTTTTTGTACGAAGATATTTCCTTTTCTACCATGGACCTCAAAGCGGCTGAAATGTCCACTTGCAAATTCCACAAAAAGAGTGTTTCAAGTCTGCTCTGTGTAAAGGATCGTTCAACTCTGTGAGTTGAATACACACAACACAAGGGAAGATTCTGAGAATTCTTCTGTCTAGCAGAATATGAAGAAATCCCGTTTCCAACGGAGGCCACAAGATGTCAGAATATCCACTTACAGAATTTACCAACAGAGTGTTTCCTAACTGCTCTATGAAAAGAAAGGTTAAACTCTGTGAGTTGAACGAACACATCACAACGCAGTTTGTGGGAATGATTCTGTCTAGTTTTGAAACGAAGATATTTCCTTTTCTGCCATTGACCTTAAAGCGCTTGAAATCTCCACTTGCCAATTGCACAAAAAGAGTGTTTCAAATCTGCTCTGTCTAAGGGAACGTTCAACTCTGTGAGTTGAATGTACACAACACAAGGAAGTTACTGGGAATTCTTCTGTCCAGCCTTACAGGAAAAAAACCCGTTTCCAACGAAGGCCTCTAAGTGGTCAAAATATCCACGTGCAGACTTTACAAACAGAGTGTTTCCAAACTGCTGAATGAAAAGAAAAGTTAAACTCTGAGAGTTGAACGCACACATCGCAGAGCAGTTTCTGAGAATGATTCTGTCTACTTTCTATACGAAGATATTTCCTATTCTACCATTGACCTCAAAGCGGCTGAAATCTCCACTTGCAAATTCCACAAAAGGAGTGTTTCAAGTCTGCTCTGTGTAAAGGATCGTTCAACTCTGTGAGTTGAAAACACACAACACAAGGAAGATTCTGAGAATTCTTCTGTCTAGCATAGTTTGAAGAAATCCCGTTTCCAACGAAGGCCTCAAAGAGGTCTGAATATCCACTTGCAGAGTTTACAAACAGAGTGTTTCCTAACTGCTCTATGAAAAGAAAGGTTAAACTCTGTGAGTTGAACGCACACATCACAAAGAAGTTTCTGAGAATCATTCTGTCTAGTTTTTATACGAAGATATTTCCTTTTCTACCATTGACCTCAAAGCGGCTGAAATCTCCACTTGCAAATTCCACAAAAAGAGTGTTTCAAATCTGCTCTGTATAAACAATCGTTCAACTGTGTGAGTTGAATACACACAACACAAGGAAGATTCTGAGAATTCTTCTGTCTAGCAGAATATGAAGAAATCCCGTTTCCAACGAAGGCCTCAAAGAGGTCTGAATATCCACTTGCAGACTTTACAAACAGAGTGTTTCCTAACTGCTCTATGAAAAGAAAGGTTAAACTCTGTGAGTTGAACGCACACATCACAAAGGAGTTTATGAGAATAATTCTGTCTAGTTTTTATACGAAGATATTTCCTTTTCTACCATTGACCTCAAAGCGGCTGAAATCACCACTTGCCAATTGCACAAAAAGAGTGTTTCAAATCTGCTCTGTCTAAGGGAACGTTCAACTCTGTGAGTTGAATGTACACAACACAAGGAAGTTCCTGGGAATTCTTCTGTCTAGCCTTACAAGAAAAAAACCCGTTTCCAACGAAAGCCTCTAAATGGTCAAAATATCCACGTGGAGACTTTACAAACAGAGTGTTTCCAAACTGCTGAATGAAAAGAAAAGTTAAACTCTGAGAGTTGAACTCACACATCGCAGAGCAGTTTCTGAGAATGATTCTGTCTAGTTTTGAAACGAAGACATTTCCTTTTCTGCCTTTGGCCTCAAAGCGCTTGAAATCTCCACTTGCAAATTCCACAAAAAGAGTGTTTCAAATCTGCTCTGTGTTAATGAAAGTTCAACTCTGTGAGTTGAACACACACAACACAAGGAAGTTACTGGGAATTCTTCTGTCTAGCAGAATATGAAGAAATCCCGTTTCCAACGAAAGCCTCAAAGATGTCTGAATATCCACTTGCAGACTTTACAAACAGAGTGTTTCCTAACTGCTCTATGAAAAGAAAGGTTAAACTCTGTGAGTTGAACGCACACATCACAAAGCAGTTTCTGAGAATCATTCTGTCTAGTTTTTATACGAAGATATTTCCTTTTCTACCATGGACCTCAAAGCGACTGAAATCTCCACTTGCAAATTCCACAAAAAGAGTGTTTCAAGTCTGCTCTGTGTAAAGGATCGTTCAACTCTGTGAGTTGAATACACAGAACACAAGGAAGTTTCTGAGAATTCTTCTGTCTAGCAGAATATGAAGAAATCCCGTTTCCAACGAAGGCCACAAGATGTCAGAATATCCACTTACAGAATTGACAAACAGACTGTTTCCTAACTGCTCTATGAAAAGAAAGGTTAAACTCTGTGAGTTGAACTAACACATCACAACGCAGTTTGTGGGAATGATTCTGTCTAGTTTTGAAACGAAGATATTTCCTTTTCTGCCGTTGACCTTAAAGCGCTTGAAATCTACACTTGGAAATTGCACAAATAGAGTGTTTCAAATCTTCTCTGTCTAAGGGAACGTTCAACTCTGTGAGTTGAATGCACACAACACAAGGAAGTTACTGGGAATTCTTCTGTCTAGCCTTACATGAAAAAAACCCGTTTCCAACGAAGGCCTCTAAGTGGTCAAAATTTCCACGTGCAGACTTTACAAACAGAGTGTTTCCAAACCGCTGAATGAAAAGAAAAGTTAAACTCTGAGAGTTGAACGCACACATCACGCAGCAGTTTCTGAGAATGATTCTGTCTAGTTTTTATACGAAGATATTTCCTTTTCTACCATTGACTTCAAAGCGGCTGAAATCTCCACTTGCAAATTACACAAAAAGAGTGTTTCAAGTCTACTCTGTGTAAAGCATCGTTCAACTCTGTGAGTTGAAAACACACAACACAAGGAAAGTTTCTGAGAATTCTTCTGTCTAGCAGAACATGAAGAAATCCCGTTTCCAACGAAGGCCTCAAAGATGTCTGAATATCCACTTGCAGACTTTACAAACAGAGTGTTTCCTAACTGCTCTATGAAAAGAAAGGTTAAACTCTGTGAGTTGAACGCACACATCACAAAGGAGTTTCTGAGAATCATTCTGTCTAGTTTCTATAGGAAGATATTTCCTATTCTACCATTGACCTCAAAGCGGCTGAAATCTCCACTTGCAAATTCCACAAAAAGAGTGTTTCAGGTCTGCTCTGTGTAAAGGATCGTTCAACTCTGTGAGTTGAATACACACAACACAAGGAAGTTACTGAGAATTCTTCTATATAGCATAGTATGAAGAAATCCCGTTTCCAACGAAGGCCTCAAAGAGGTCTGAATATCCACTTGCAGAGTTTACAAACAGAGTGTTTCCTAACTGTTCTATGAAAAGAAAGGTTAAACTCTGTGAGTTGAACGCACACATCACAAAGAAGTTTCTGAGAATCATTCTGTCTAGTTTTTATACGAAGATATTTCCTTTTCTACCATTGACCTCAAGGCGGCTGAAATCTCCACATGCAAATTCCACCAAAAGAGTGTTTCAAATCTGCTCTGTGTAAACCATCGTTCAACTCTGTGAGTTGAATACACACAACACAAGGAAGATTCTGAGAATTCTTCTGTCTAGCCTTACATGAAAAAAACCCGTTTCCAACGAAGACCTCTAAGTGGTCAAGTTATCCACGTGCAGACTTTACAAACAGAGTGTTTCCAAACTTCTGAATGAAAAGAAAAGTTAAACTCTGAGAGTTGAACGCACACATCGCAGAGCAGTTTCTGAGAATGATTCTGTCTAGTTTTTATACGAAGATATTTCCTTTTCTGCCTTTGGCCTCAAAGCGCTTGAAATCTCCACTTGCAAATTCCACAAAAAGAGTGTTTCAAATCTGCTCTGTGTAAATGAAAGTTCAACTCTGTGAGTTGAACACACAAAACACAAGGAAGTTACTGGGAATTCTTCTGTCTAGCCTTATATGAAAAAAACCCGTTTCCAAAGAAGGCCTCAAAGAGGTCAAAATATCCACTTGCAGACTTTACAAACAGAGTGTTTCCTAACTACTCTATGAATAGAAAGGTTAAACTCTGTGAGTTGAACACACACATCACAAAGGACTTTCTGAGAATCATTCTGTCTAGTTTCTATAAGAAGATATTTCCTATTCTACCATTGACCTCAAAGCGGCTGAAATCTCCACTTGCAAATTCGACAAAAAGAGTGTTGCAAGCCTGCTCTCTGTAAAGGATCCTTCAACTCTGTGAGTTGAATACACACAACACAAGGAAGTTACTGAGAATTATTCTGTCTAGCATAATATGAAGAAATCCCGTTTCCAACGAAGGCCACAAAGAGGTCTGAATATCCACTTGCAGACTTTACAAACAGAGTGTTTCCTAACTGCTCTATGAGAAGAAAAGTTAAACTCTGTGAGTTGAACGCACACATCACAAAAGATTTTCTGAGAATCATTCTGTCTAGTTTTGAAACGAAGATATTTCCTTTTCTGCCATTGACCTTAAAGCGCTTGAAATCTCCACTTGCCAATTGCACAAAAAGAGTGTTTCAAATCTGCTCTGTCTAAGGGAACGTTCAACTCTGTGAGTTGAATGTACACAACACAAGGAAGTTACTGGGAATTCTACCGTCTAGCCTTACATGAAAAAAAACCCGTTTCCAACGAAGGCCTCTAAGTGGTCAAAATATCCACGTGCAGACTTTACAAACAGAGTGTTTCCAAACTGCTGAATGAAAAGAAAAGTTAAACTCTGAGAGTTGAACGCACACATCACAGAGCAGTTTCTGAGAATGATTCTGTCTAGTTTCTATAGGAAGGTATTTCCTATTCTACCATTGACCTCAAAGCGGCTGAAATCTCCACTTTCAAATTCCACAAAAAGAGTGTTTCAAGACTGTACTGTGTAAAGGATCATTCAACTCTGTGAGTTGAATACACACAACACAAGGAAGTTACTGAGAATTCTTCTGTCTAGCATAATATGAAGAAATCCCGTTTCCAACGAAGGCCTCAAAGAGGTCTGAATATCCACTTGCAGACTTTACAAACAGAGTGTTTCCTAACTGCTCTATGAAAAGAAAAGTTAAACTCTGTGATTTGAACGCACACATCACAAAGGAGTTTCTGAGAATCATTCTGTCTAGTTTCTATAAGAAGATATTTCCTATTCTACCATTGACCTCAAAGCGGCTGAAATCTCCACTTGCAAATTCGACAAAAAGAGTGTTTGAAGCCTGCTCTCTGTAAAGGATCCTTCAACTCTGTGAGTTGAATACACACAACACAAGGAAGTTACTGAGAATTATTCTGTCTAGCATAATATGAAGAAATCCCGTTTCCAACGAAGGCCTCAAAGAGGTCTGAATATCCACTTGCAGACTTTACAGAGTGTTTCCTAACTGCTCTATGAGAAGAAAAGTTAAACTCTGTGAGTTGAACGCACACATCACAAAAGATTTTCTGAGAATCATTCTGTCTAGTTTTGAAACGAAGATATTTCCTTTTCTGCCATTGACCTTAAAGCGCTTGAAATCTCCACTTGCCAATTGCACAAAAAGAGCGTTTCAAATCTGCTCTGTCTAAGGGAACGTTCAACTCTGTGAGTTGAATGTACACAACACAAGGAAGTTACTGGGAATTCTTCTGTCTAGACTTACAGGAAAAAAACCCGTTTCCAACGAAGGCCTCAAAGAGGTCTGAATATCCACTTGTAGTCTTTACAACCAGAGTGTTTCCTAACTGCTCTATGAAAAGAAAGGTTAAACTACTGTGAGTTGAACGCACACATCACAAAGGAGTTTCTGAGAATCATTCTGTCTAGTTTTTAAACGAAGATATTTCCTTTTCTGCCTCTGGCCTCAAAGCGCTTGAAATCTCCATTTGCAAATTCCACAAAAAGAGTGTTTCAAATCTGCTCTGTGTAAATGAAAGTTCAACTCTGTGAGTTGAACACACATAACACATGGAAGTTACTGGGAATTCTTCTGTCTAGCATAATATGAAGAAAACCCGTTTCCAACGAAGGCCTCCAAGGGGTCTGAATATCCACTTGCAGACTTTATAAACAGAGTGTTTACTAACTGCTCTATGAAAAGAAAGGTTAAACTCTGTGAGTTGAACACACACATCAGAAAGGAGTTTCTGAGAATCATTCTGTCTAGTTTTTCTACGAAGATATTTCCTTTTCTACTATTGACCTCAAAGCGGCTGAAATCTCCACTTGCAAATTCCACAAAAAGAGTGTTTCAAGTCTGCTCTGTGTAAAGGATCGTTCAACTATGTGAGTTGAATACACACAACACAAGGAAGTTACTGAGAATTCTTCTGTCTAGCAGAATAGGAAGAAATACCGTTTCCAACGAAGGCCACAAGATGTCAGAATATCCACTTACAGACTTTACAAACAGAGTGTTTCCTAACTGCTCTATGAACAGAAAGGTTAAACTCTGTGAGTTGAACGAACACATCACAACGCAGTTTGTGGGAATGATTCTGTCTAGTTTTGAAACGAAGATATTTCCTTTTCTCCCATTGACCTTAAAGCGCTTGAGATCTACACTTGCAAATTGCACAAATAGAGTGTTTCAAATCTGCTCTGTCTAAGGGAACGTTCAACTCTGTGAGTTGAATGCACACAACACAAGGAAGTTACTGGGAATTCTTCTGTCTAGCCTTATAGGAAAAAAACCCGTTTCCAACGAAGGCCTCAAAGAGGTCTGAATATCCACTTGCAGACTTTACAAACAGAGTGTTTCCTAACTGCTCTATGAAAAGAAAGGTTAAACTCTGTGAGTTGAACGCACACATCACAAAGGAGTTTCTGAGAATCATTCTGTCTAGTTTTTCTACAAAGATATTTCCTTTTCTACTATTGACCTCAAAGCGGCTGAAATCTCCACTTGCAAATTCCACAAAAAGAGTGTTTCAAGTCTGCTCTGTGTAAAGGATCGTTCAACTCTGTGAGTTGAATACACACAACACAAGGAAGTTACTGAGAATTCTTCTGTCTAGCAGAATATGAAGAAATCCCGTTTCCAACGAAGGCCTAAAGGAGGTCTGAATATCCACTTGCAGACTTTACAAACAGAGTGTTTCCTAACAGCTCTATGAACAGAAAGGTTAAACTCTGTGAGTTGAACGCACACATCACAAAGGAGTTTCTGAGAATCATTCTGTCTAGTCTTTATACGAAGATATTTACTTTTCTACCATTGACCTCAAAGCGGCTGAAACCTCCACTTGCAAATTCCACAAAAAGAGTGTTTCAAGTCTGCTCTGTGTAAAGGATCATTCAACTCTGTGAGTTGAATAAACACAACACAAGGAAGTTACTGAGAATTCTTCTGTCTAGCATAATATGAAGAAATCCCGTTTCCAACGAAGGCCTCAAAGGGGTCTGAATATCCACTTGCAGACTTTATAAACAGAGTGTTTACTAACTGCTCTATGAAAAAAAAGGTTAAACTCTGTGAGTTGAACACACACATCACAAAGGAGTTTCTGAGAATCATTCTGTCTAGTTTTTATAGGAAGATATTTCCTTTTCTACCTTTGACTTCAAAGAGGCTGAAATCTCCACTTGCAAATTCCACAAAAAGAGTGTTACAAGTCTGCTCTGTGTAAAGGATCGTTCAACTCTGTGAGTTGAATACACACAACACAAGGAAGTTACTGAGAATTCTTCTGTCTAGCCTTACATGAAAAAAACCCGTTTCCAACGAAGGCCTCTAAGTGGTCAAATTATCCACGTGCAGACTTTACAAACAGAGTGTTTCCAAACTGCTGAATGAAAAGAAAAATTAAACTCTGAGAGTTGAACGCACACATCGCAGAGCAGTTTCTGAGAATGATTCTGTCTAGTTTTTATACGAAGATATTTCCTTTTCTGCCTTTGGCCCCAAAGCGCTTGAAATCTCCAATTGCAAATTCCACAAAAACAGTGTTTCAAATCTGCTCTCTCTAAATGAAAGTTCAACTCTGTCAGTTGAATACACACAACACAAGGAAGTTACTGAGAATTCTTCTGTCTAGCATAATATGAAGAAATCCCGTTTCCAACGAAGGCCTCCAAGGGGTCTGAATATCCACTTGCAGACTTTATAAACAGAGTGTTTACTAACTGCTCTATGAAAAGAAAGGTTAAACTCTGTGAGTTGAACACACACATCACAAAGGAGTTTCTGAGAATCATTCTGTCTAGTCTTTATATGAAGATAGTTTCCTTTTCTACCATTGACCTCAAAGCGGCTGAAATCTCCACTTGCAAATTCCACAAAAAGAGTGTTTCAAGTCTGCTCTGTGTAAAGGATCGTTCAACTCTGTGAGTTGAATCCTCACAACACAAGGAAGTTACTGAGAATTCTTCTGTCTAGCAGAATATGAAGAAATCCCGTTTCCAATAAGGCCACAAGATGTCAGAATATCCACTTACAGACTTTACAAACAGAGTGTTTCCTAACTGCTCTATGAAAAGAAAAGTTTAAATCTGTGAGTTGAACGAACACATCACAACGCAGTTTGTGGGAATGATTCTGTCTAGTTTTGAAACGAAGATATTTCCTTTTCTGCCATTGACCTTAAAGCACTTGAAATCTCCACTTGCAAATTGCACAAAAACAGTGTTTCAAATCTGCTCTGTCTAAGGGAACGTTCAACTCTGTGAGTTGAATGCACACAACGCAAGGAAGTTACTGGGAATTCTTCTGTCTAGCCTTACATGAAAAAAACCCGTTTCCAACGAAGGCCTGTAAGTGGTCAAAATATCCACGTGCAGACTTTACAAACAGAGTGTTTCCAAACTGCTGAATGAAAAGAAAAGTTAAACTCTGAGAGTTGAACGCACACATCGCAGAGCAGTTTCTGAGAATGATTCTGTCTAGTTTTTATACGAAGATATTTCCTTTTCTGCCTTTGGTCTCAAAGCGCTTGAAATCTCCAATTGCAAATTCCACAAAAAGAGTGTTTCAAATCTGCTCTTTGTAAATGAAAGTTCAACTCTGTGAGTTGAACACACACAACACAAGGAAGTTACTGGGAATCCTTCTTTCTAGCAGAATATGAAGAAATCCCGTTTCCAACGAAAGCCTCAAGGATGTCTGAATACCCACTTGCAGACTTTACAAACAGAGTGTTTCCTAACTGCTCTATGAAAAGAAAGGTTTAACTCTGTGAGTTGAACGCACACATCACAAAGGAGTTTCTGAGAATCACTCTGTCTAGTTTTTATACGAAGATATTTCCTTTTCTACCATTGACCTCAAAGCGGCTGAAATCTCCACCCTGCCAATTCCACAAAAAGAGTGTTTCAAGTCTACTCTGTGTAAAGGATCGTTGAACTCTGTGAGTTGAAAACACACAACACAACGAAGTTTCTGGGAATTCTTCTGTCTAGCAGAATATGAAGAAATCCCTTTTCAAACGAAGGCCACAAGATGTCAGAATATCCACTTACAGACTTTACAAACAGAGTGATTCCTAACTGCTCTATGAACAGAAAGGTTAAACTCTGTGAGTTGAACGAACACATCACAACGCAGTTTGTGGGAATGATTCTGTCTAGTTTTGAAACGAAGATATTTCCTTTTCTGCCTTTGACCTTAAAGCGCTTGAAATCTACACTTGCAAATTGCACAAATAGAGTGTTTCAAATCTACTCTGTCTAAGGGAACGTTCAACTCTGTGATTTGATTGCACACAACACAAGGAAAGTTACTGGGAATTCTTCTGTCTAGCCTTACATGATAAAAACCCGTTTCCAACGAAGGCCTCTAAGTGGTCAAAATATCCACGTGCAGACTTTACAAACAGAGTGTTTCCAAACCGCTGAATGAAAAGAAAACTTAAACTCTGTGAGTTGAACGCACACATCACGCAGCAGTTTCTGAGAATGATTCTGTCTAGCTTTTATACGAAGATATTTCCTTTTCTGCCTTTGGCCCCAAAGCGCTTGAAATCTCCACTTGCAAATTCCACAAAAACAGTGTTTCAAATCTGCTCTCTCTAAATGAAAGTTCAACTCTGTCAGTTGAATACACACAACACAAGGAAGTTACTGAGAATTCTTCTGTCTAGCAGAATATGAAGAAATCCCGTTTCCAACGAAGGCCTCAAAGAGGTCTGAATATCCACTTGCAGACTTTACAAACAGAGTGTTTACTAACTGCTCTATGAAAAGAAAAGTTAAAGTCTGTGAGTTGAACGCACACATCACAAAGAAGTT
This sequence comes from Homo sapiens, assembly GCF_000001405.40. Lineage (NCBI taxonomy): Eukaryota > Metazoa > Chordata > Mammalia > Primates > Hominidae > Homo > Homo sapiens. Next base: position 124,610,229 of record NC_000001.11, on the reverse strand, counting down.
TCTGAGAATCATTCTGTCTAGTTTCTATAGGAAGATATTTCCTATTCTACCATTGACCTCAAAGCGGCTGAAATCTCCACTTGCAAATTCCACAAAAGGAGTGTTTCAAGTCTGCTCTGTGTAAAGGATCGTTCAACTCTGTGAGTTGAAAACACACAACACAAGGGAAGTTTCTGAGAATTCTTCTGTCTAGCAGAATAGGAAGAAATCCCGTTTCCAACGAAGGCCACAAGATGTCAGAATATCCACTTACAGACTTTACAAACAGAGTGTTTCCTAACTGCTCTATGAACAGAAAGGTTAAACTCTGTGAGTTGAACGAACACATCACAACGCAGTTTGTGGGAATGATTCTGTCTAGTTTTGAAACGAAGATATTTCCTTTTCTGCCGTTGACCTTAAAGCGCTTGAAATCCACACTTGCAAATTGCACAAATAGAGTGTTTCAAATCTGCTCTGTCTAAGGGAACGTTCAACTCTGTGAGTTGAATGCACACAACACAAGGAAGTTACTGGGAATTCTTCTGTCTAGCCTTACAAGAAAAAAACCCGTTTCCAACGAAGGCCTCTAAATGGTCAAAATATCCACGTGCAGACTTTACAAACAGAGTGTTTCCAAACTGCTGAATGAAAAGAAAAGTTAAACTCTGAGAGTTGAATGCACACATCGCAGAGCAGTTTCTGAGAATGATTCTGTCTAGTTTTTATACGAAGATATTTCCTTTTCTGCCTTTGGCCTCAAAGCGCTTGAAATCTCCACTTGCAAATTCCACAAAAAGAGTGTTTCAAATCTGCTCTGTGTAAACAATCGTTCAACTGTGTGAGTTGAATACACACAACACAAGGAAGATTCTGAGAATTCTTCTGTCTAGCATAATATGAAGAAATCCCGTTTCCAACGAAGGCCCCAAAGGGGTCTGAATATCCACTTGCAGACTTTATAAACAGAGTGTTTACTAACTTCTCTATGAAAAGAAAGGTTAAACTCTGTGAGTTGAACACACACATCACAAAGGAGTTTCTGAGAATCATTCTGTCTAGTTTTTATACGAAGATATTTCCTTTTCTACCAAGGACCTCAAAGCGGCTGAAATCTCCACTTGCAAATTCCACAAAAAGAGTGTTTCAAATCTGCTCTGTGTAAATGAAATTTCAACTCTGTGAGTTGAACACTCACAACACAAGGAAGTTACTGGGAATTCTTCTGTCCAGCAGAATATGAAGAAATCCCGTTTCCAACGAAGGCCACAAGATGTCAGAATATCCACTTACAGACTTTACAAACAGAGTGTTTCCTAACTGCTCTATGAACAGAAAGGTTAAACTCTGTGAGTTGAACGAACACATCACAACGCAGTTTGTGGGAATGATTCTGTCTAGTTTTGAAACGAAGATATTTCCTTTTCTGCCATTGACCTTAAAGCGCTTGAAATCTCCATTTGCCAATTGCACAAAAAGAGTGTTTCAAATCTGCTCTGTCTAAGGGAACGTTCAACTCTGTGAGTTGAATGTACACAACACAAGGAAGTTACTGGGAATTCTTCTGTCTAGCCTTACATGAAAAAAAACCCGTTTCCAACGAAGGCCTCTAAGTGGTCAAAATATCCACGTGCAGACTTTACAAACAGAGTGTTTCCAAACCGCTGAATGAAAAGAAAAGTTAAACTCTGAGAGTTGAACGCACACATCACGCAGCAGTTTCTGAGAATAATTCTGTGTAGTTTTTATACGAAGATATTTCCTTTTCTGCCTTTGGCCTCAAAGCGCTTGAAATCTCCACTTGCAAATTCCACAAAAAGAGTGTTTCAAATCTGCTCTGTGTAAATGAAAGTTCAACTCTGTGAGTTGAACACACACAACACAAGGGAGTTACTGGGAATTCTTCTGTCTAGCAGAATATGAAGAAATCCCGTTTCCAACGAAGGCCTCAAGGAGGTCTGAATATCCACTTGCAGACTTTATAAACAGAGTGTTTCCTAACTGCTCTATGAAAAGAAAGGTTAAACTCTGTGAGTTGAACACACACATCACAAAGGAGTTTCTGAGAATCATTCTGTCTAGTTTTTATACGAAGATATTTCCTTTTCTACCATTGACCTCAACGCGGCTGAAATCTCCACTTGCAAATTCCACAAAAAGAGTGTTCCAAGTCTGCTCTGTGTAAAGGATCGTTCAACTCTGTGAGTTGAATACACACAACACAAGGAAGTTACTGAGAACTCTTCTGTCTAGCCTTACATGAAAAAAACCCGTTTCCAACGAAAGCCTCTAAGTGGTCAAATTATCCACGTGCAGACTTTACAAACAGAGTGTTTCCAAACTGCTGAATGAAAAGAAAAGTTAAACTCTGAGAGTTGAACGCACACATCGCAGAGCAGTTTCTGAGAATGATTCTGTCTAGTTTTGAAACGAAGATATTTCCTTTTCTGCCATTGAACTTAAAGCGCTTGAAATCTCCATTTGCCAATTGCACAAAAAGAGTGTTTCAAATCTGCTCTGTCTAAGGGAACGTTCAACTCTGTGAGTTGAATGTACACAACACAAGGAAGTTACTGGGAATTCTTCTGTCTAGCCTTACAGGAAAAAAACCCGTTTCCAACGAAGGCCTCTAAGTGGTCAAAATATCCACGTGCAGACTTTACAAACAGAGTGTTTCCAAATTGCTGAATGAAAAGAAAAGTTAAACTCTGAGAGTTCAACGCACACATCGCAGAGCAGTTTCTGAGAATGATTCTGTCTAGTTTCTATAGGAAGATATTTCCTATTCTACCATTGACCTCAAAGCGGCTGAAATCTCCACTTGCAAATTCCACAAAAAGAGTGTTTCAAGTCTGCTGTGTGTAAAGGATCGTTCAACTCTGTGAGTTGTATACACACAACACAAGGCAGTTACTGAGAATTCTTCTGTCTAGCAGAATAGGAAGAAATCCCGTTTCTAACGAAGGCCTCAAAGAGGTCTGAATATCCACTTGCAGACTTTACAAACAGAGTGTTTCCTAACGGCTCTATGAAAAGAAAAGTTAAACTCTGTGAGTTGAACGCACACATCACAAAGGAGTTTCTGAGAATCGTTCTGTCTAGTTTCTACAGGAAGATATTTCCTATTCTACCATTGACCTCAAAGCGGCTGAAATCTCCACTTGCAAATTCCGCAAAAAGAGTGTTTCAAGTCTGCTCTGTGTAAAGGATCGTTCAACTCTGTGAGTTGAATACACACAACACAAGGAAGTTACTGAGAATTCTTCTGTCTAGCAGAATATGAAGAAATCCCGTTTCCAACGAAGGCCACAAGATGTCAGAATATCCTCTTACAGACTTTACAAACAGAGTGTTTCCTAACTGCTCTATGAACGGAAAGGTTAAACTCTGTGAGTTGAACGAACACATCACAACGCAGTTTGTGGGAATGATTCTGTGTAGTTTTGAAACGAAGATATTTCCTTTTCTGCCATTGACCTTAAAGCGCTTGAAATTTGCACTTGCCAATTGCACAAAAAGAGTGTTTCAAATCTGCTCTGTCTAAGGGAACGTTCAACTCTGTGAGTTGAATGTACACAACACAAGGAAGTTACTGGGAATTCTTCTGTCTAGCCTTACAGGAAAAAACCCGTTTCCAAAGAAGGCCTCTAAGTGGTCAAAATATCCACGTGCAGACTTTACAAACAGAGTGTTTCCAAACTGCTGAATGAAAAGAAAAGTTAAACTCTGAGAGTTGAACGCACACATCGCAGAGCAGTTTCTGAGAATGATTCTGTCTAGTTTTGAAACGAAGATATTTCCTTTTCTGCCTTTGGCCTCAAAGCGCTTGAAATCTCCGTTTGCAAATTCCACAAAAAGAGTGTTTCAAATCTGCTCTGTGTAAATGAAAGTTCAACTCTGTGAGTTGAACACACACAACACAAGGAAGTTACTGGGAATTCTTCTGTCTAGCATAATATGAAGAAATCCCGTTTCCAACGAAGGCCTCAAAGAGATCTGAATATCCACTTGCAGACTTTAGAAACAGAGTGTTTCCTAACTGATCTATGAAAAGAAAAGTTAAACTCTGTGATTTGAACTCACACATCACAAAGGAGTTTATGAGAATCATTCTGTCTAGTTTTTCTACGAAGATATTTCCTTTTCTACTATTGACCTCAAAGCGGCTGAAATCTCCACTTGCAAATTCCACAAAAAGAGTGTTTCAAGTCTGCTCTGTGTAAAGGATCGTACAACTCTGTGAGTTGAATACACACAACACAAGGAAGTTACTGAGAATTCTTCTGTCTAGCAGAATATGAAGAAATCCCGTTTCCAACGAAGGACTCAAAGAGGTCTGAATATCCACTTGCAGACTTTACAAACAGAGTGTTTCCTAACTGCTCTATGAAAAGAAAGGTTAAACTCTGTGAGTTGTACGCACACATCACAAAGGAGTTTCTTAGAATCGTTCTGTCTAGTTTTGAAACGAAGATATTTCCTTTTCTGCCATTGAACTTAAAGCGCTTGAAATCTCCACTTGCCAATTGCACAAAAAGAGTGTTTCAAATCTGCTCTGTCTAAGGGAACGTTCAACTCTGTGAGTTGAACGTACACAACACAAGGAAGTTACTGGGAATTCTTCTGTCTAGCCTTACATGAAAAAATCCCGTTTCCAACGAAGGCCTCTAAGTGGTCAAAATTTCCACGTGCAGACTTTACAAACAGAGTGTTTCCAAACCGCTGAATGAAAAGAAAAGTTAAACTCTGAGAGTTGAACGCACACATCACGCAGCAGTTTCTGAGAATGATTCTGTCTAGTTTTTATACGAAGATATTTCCTTTTCTGCCTTTGGCCCCAAAGCGCTTGAAATCTCCACTTGCAAATACCACAAAAACAGTGTTTCAAATCTGCTCTCTCTAAATGAAAGTTCAATTCTGTCAGTTGAATACACACAACACAAGGAAGTTACTGAGAATTCTTCTGTCTAGCATAATATGAAGAAATCCCGTTTCCAACGAAGGCCACAAAGGGGTCTGAATATCCACTTGCAGACTTTATAAACAGAGTGTTTCCTAACTGCTCTATGAAAAGAAAGGTTAAACTCTGTGAGTTGAACACACACATCACAAAGGAGTTTCTGAGAATCATTCTGTCTAGTTTCTATACGAAGATATTTCCTATTTTACCATTGACCTCAAAGCGGCTGAAATCTCCACTTGCAAATTCCACAAAAAGAGTGTTTCAAGTCTGCTCTCTGTAAAGGACCGTTCAACTCTGTGAGTTGAATACACACAACACAAGGAAGTTACTGAGAATTCTTCTGTCTAGCATAATATGAAGAAATCCCGTTTCCAACGAAGGCCACAATATGTCAGAATATCTACTTACAGACTTTACAAACAGAGTGTTTCCTAACTGCTCTATGAACAGAAAGGTTAAACTCTGTGAGTTGAACGAACACATCACAACGCAGTTTGTGGGAATGATTCTGTCTAGTTTTTATACGAAGATATTCCCTTTTCTACCATTGACCTCAAAGCGGCTGAAATCACCACTTGCCAATTGCACAAAAAGAGTGTTTCAAATCTGCTCTGTCTAAGGGAACGTTCAACTCTGTGAGTTGAATGTACACAACACAAGGAAGTTTCTGGGAATTCTTCTGTCTAGCCTTACAGGAAAAAAACCCGTTTCCAACGAAGTCCTCTAAGTGGTCAAGTTATCCACATGCAGACTTTACAAACAGAGTGTTTCCAAACTGCTGAATGAAAAGAAAAGTTAAACTCTGAGAGTTGAACGCACACATCGCAGAGCAGTTTCTGAGAATGATTCTGTCTAGTTTTTATACGAAGATATTTCCTTTACTGCCTTTGGCCTCAAAGCGCTTGAAATCTCCACCTGCAAATTCCACAAAAAGAGTGTTTCAAATCTGCTCTGTGTAAATGAAAGTTCAACTCTGTGAGTTGATCACACACAACACAAGGAAGTTACTGGGAATTCTTCTGTCTAGCATAATATGAAGAAATCCCGTTTCCAACGAAGGCCTCAAGGAGGTCTGAATATCCACTTGCAGACTTTACAAACAGAGTGTTTCCTAACTGCTCTATGAAAAGAAAGGTTAAACTCTGTGAGTTGAACGCACACATCACAAAGGAGTTTCTCAGAATAATTCTGTCTAGTTTCTATAGGAAGATATTTCCTATTCTACCATTGAACTCAAAGCGGCTGAAATCTCCACTTGCAAATTCCACAAAAAGAGTGTTTCAAGTCTGCTCTGTGTAAAGGATCGTTCAACTCTGTGAGTTGAATACACAAAACACAAGGAAGTTACTGAGAATTCTTCTGTCTAGCATAATATGAAGAAATCCCGTTTCCAACGAAGGCTTCAAGGAGGTCTGAATATCCACTTGCAGACTTTACAAACAGAGTGTTTCCTAACTGCTCTATGAAAAGAAAGGTTAAACTCTGTGAGTTGAACGCACACATCACAAAGGAGTTTCTCAGAATCATTCTGTCTAGTTTCTATAGGAAGATATTTCCTATTCTACCATTGACCACAAAGCGGCTGGAATCTCCACTTGCAAATTTCACAAAAAGAGTGTTTCAAGTCTGCTCTGTGTAAAGGATCGTTCAACTCTGTGAGTTGAATACACACAACACAAGGAAGTTACTGAGAATTCTTCTGTCTAGCATAATATGAAGAAATCCCGTTTCCAACGAAGGCCTCAAGGAGGTCTGAATATCCACTTGCAGACTTTACAAACAGAGTGTTTCCTAACTGCTCTGTGAAAAGAAAGGTTAAACTCGGTGAGTTGAACGCACACATCACAAAGGAGTTTCTCAGAATCATTCTGTCTAGTTTTTATACGAAGATATTTCCTTTTCTGCCTTTGGCCCCAAAGCGCTTGAAATCTCCACTTGCAAATTCCACAAAAACAGTGTTTCAAATCTGCTCTCTCTAAATGAAAGTACAACTCTGTCAGTTGAATACACACAACACAAGGAAGTTACTGAGAATTCTTCTGTCTAGCATAATATGAAGAAATCCCGTTTCCAACGAAGGCCTCAAAGGGGTCTGAATATCCACTTGCAGACTTTATAAACAGAGTGTTTACTAACTGCTCTAGGAAAAGAAAGGTTAAACTCTGTGAGTTGAACACACACATCACAAAGGAGTTTCTGAGAATCATTCTGTCTAGTTTTTCTACGAAGATATTTCCTTTTCTACTATTGACCTCAAAGCGGCTGAAATCTCCACTTGCAAATTCTACAAATAGAGTGTTTCAAGTCTGCTCTGTGTAAAGGATCGTTCAACTCTGTGAGTTGAATACACACAACACAAGGAAGTTACTGAGAATTCTTCTGTCTAGCAGAATATGAAGAAATCCCGTTTCCAACGAAGGCCTCAAGGAGGTCTGAATATCCACTTGCAGACTTTACAAACAGAGTGTTTCCTAACTGCTCTATGAACAGAAAGGTTAAACTCTGTGAGTTGAACGAACACATCACAATGCAGTTTGTGGGAATGATTCTGTCTAGTTTTGAAACGAAGATATTTCCTTTTCTGCCATTGACCTTAAAGCGCTTCAAATCTACACTTGCAAATTGCACAAATAGAGTGTTTCAAATCTGCTCTGTCTAAGGGAACGTTCAACTCTGTGAGTTGAATGCACACAACACAAGGAAGTTACTGGGAATTCTTCTGTCTAGCCTTACATGAAAAAAAACCGTTTCCAACGAAGGCCTCTAAGTGGTCAAAATATCCACGTGCAGACTTTACAAACAGAGTGTTTCCAAACCGCTGAATGAAAAGAAAAGTTAAACTCTGAGAGTTGAACGCACACATCACGCAGCAGTTTCTGAGAATGATTCTGTCTAGTTTTTATACGAAGATATTTCCTTTTCTGCCTTTGGCCCCAAAGCGCTTGAAATCTCCACTTGCAAATTGCACAAAAACAGTGTTTCAAATCTGCTCTCTCTAAATGAAAGTTCAACTCTGTCAGTTGAATACACACAACAAAAGGAAGTTACTGAGAATTCTTCTGTCTAGCACAGTATGAAGAAATCCCGTTTCCAACGAAGGCCTCAAAGAGGTCCGAATATCCACTTGCAGACTTTACAAACAGAGTGTTTCCTAACTGCTCTATGAAAAGAAAGGTTAAACTCTGTGAGTTGAACGCACACGTCACAATGAAGTTTCTGAGAATCATTCTGTCTAGTTTTTATACGAAGATATTTCCTTTTCTACCATGGACCTCAAAGCGGCTGAAATCTCCACTTGCAAATTCCACAAAAAGAGTGTTTCAAGTCTGCTCTGTGTAAAGGATCGTTCACCTCTGTGAGTTGAATACACACAACACAAGGAAGATTCTGAGAATTCTTCTGTCTAGCAGAATATGAAGAAATCCCGTTTCCAACGAAGGCCACAAGATATCAGAATATCCACTTACAGACTTTACAAACAGAGTGTTTCCTAACTGCTCTATGAACAGAAAGGTTAAACTCTGTGAGTTGAACGAACACATCACAACGCAGTTTGTGGGAATGATTCTGTCTAGTTTTGAAAGGAAGATATTTCCTTTTCTGCCATTGACCTCAAAGCGCTTGAAATCTCCACTTGCCAATTGCACAAAAAGAGTGTTTCAAATCTGCTCTGTCTAAGGGAACGTTCAACTCTGTGAGTTGAATGTACACAACACAAGGAAGTTACTGGGAATTCTTCTGTCTAGCCTTACAAGAATAAAACCCGTTTCCAACGAAGGCCTCTAAGTGGTCAAAATATCCACGTGCAGACTTTACAAAGAGAATGTTTCCAAACTGCTGAATGAAAAGAAAAATTAAACTCTGAGAGTTGAATGCACACATCGCAGAGCAGTTTCTGAGAATGATTCTGTCTAGTTTTTCTACGAAGATATTTCCTTTTCTACTATTGACCTCAAAGCGGCTGAAATCTCCACTTGCAAATTCCACAAAAAGAATGTTTCAAGTCTGCTCTGTGTAAAGGATCGTTCAACTCTGTGAGTTGACTACACACAACACAAGGAAGTTACTGAGAATTCTTCTGTCTAGCATAATATGAAGAAATCCCGTTTCCAACGAAGGCCTCAAAGAGGTCTGAATATCCACTTGCAGACTTTACAAACAGAGTGTTTCCTAACTGCTCTATGAAAAGAAAAGTTAAACTCTTTGAGTTGAACGCACACATCACAAAGGAGTTTCTGAGAATCATTCTGTCTAGTTTTTATACGAAGATATTTCCTTTTCTACCATTGACCTCAAAGCGGCTGAAATTTCCAATTGCAAATTCCACAAAAAGAGTGTGTCAAATCTGCTCTGTGTAAACCATCGTTCAACTGTGTGAGTTGAATACACACAACACAAGGAAGATTCTGAGAATTCTTCTGTCTAGGAGAATATGAAGAAATCCCGTTTCCAAAGAAGGCCACAAGATGTCAGAATATCCACTTACAGAATTGACAAACAGACTGTTTCCTAACTGCTCTATGAAAAGAAAGGTTAAACTCTGTGAGTTGAACGAACACATCACAACGCAGTTTGTGGGAATGATTCTGTCTAGTTTTGAAACGAAGATATTTCCTTTTATGCCATTGACCTTAAAGTGCTTGAAATCTACACTTGCAAATTGCACAAATAGAGTGTTTCACATCTGCTCTGTCTAAGGGAACGTTCATCTCTGTGAGTTGAATGCACACAACACAAGGAAGTTACTGGGAATTCTTCTGTCTAGCCTTACATGAAAAAAACCCGTTTCCAACGAAGGACTCTAAGTGGTCAAAATATCCACGTGCAGACTTTACAAACAGAGTGTTTCCAAACTGCTGAATGAAAAGAAAAGTTAAACTCTGAGAGGTGAACGCACACATCGCAGAGCAGTTTCTGAGAAAGATTCTGTCTAGTTTCTATAGGAAGATATTTCCCATTCTACCATTGACCTCAAAGCGGCTGAAATCTCCACTTGCAAATTCCACAAAAAGAGTGTTTCAAGTCTGCTCTCTGTAAAGGATCGTTCAACTCTGTGAGTTGAATACACACAACACAAGGAAGTTACGGAGAATTATTCTGTCTAGCATAATATGAAGAAATCCCGTTTCCAACGAAGGCCTCAAAGAGGTCTGAATATCCACTTGCAGACTTTACAAACAGAGTGTTTCCTAACTGCTCTATGAAAAGAAAAGTTAAACTCTGTGTGTTGAACGCACACATCACAAAGGAGTTTCTGAGAATCATTCTGTCTAGTCTTTATACGAAGATATTTCCTTTTCTGCCATTGACCTCAAAGCGGCTGAAATCTCCACTTGCAAATTCCACAAAAAGAGTGTTTCAAGTCTGCTCTCTGTAAAGGATCGTTCAACTCTGTGAGTTGAATACACACAACACAAGGAAGTTACTGAGAATTCTTCTGTCTAGCAGAATATGAAGAAATCCCGTTTCCAACGAAGGCCACAAGATGTCAGAATATCCACTTACAGAATTTTCAAACAGACTGTTTCCTAACTGCTCTATGAAAAGAAAGGTTAAACTCTGTGAGTTGAACGAACACATCACAACGCAGTTTGTGGGAATGATTCTGTCTAGTTTTGAAACGAAGATATTTCCTTTTCTGCCGTTGACCTTAAAGCGCTTGAAATCTACACTTGCAAATTGCACAAATAGAGTGTTTCAAATCTGCTCTGTCTAAGGGAACGTTCAACTCTGTGAGTTGAATGCACACAACACAAGGAAGTTACTGGGAATTCTTCTGTCTAGCCTTACATGAAAAAATCCCGTTTCCATCGAAGGCCTCTAAGTGGTCAAAATATCCACGTGCAGACTTTACAAACAGAGTGTTTCCAAACCGCTGAATGTAAAGAAAAGTTAAACTCTGAGAGTTGAACGCACACATCACGCAGCAGTTTCTGAGAATGATTCTGTCTAGTTTTTATACGTAGATATTTCCTTTTCTGCCTTTGGCCTCAAAGCGCTTGAAATCTCCATTTGTAAATTCCACAAAAAGAGTGTTTCAAATCTGCTCTGTGTAAATGAAAGTTCAACTCTGTGAGTTGAACACACACAACACAAGGAAGTTACTGGGAATTCTTCTGTCTAGCCTTATATGAAAAAAACCCGTTTCCAACGAAGGCCTCAAAGAGGTCTGAATATCCACTTGCAGACTTTACAAACAGAGTGTTTCCTAACTGCTCTATGAAAAGAAATGTTAAACTCTGTGAGTTGAACACACACATCACAAAGGAGTTTCTGAGAATCATTTCTGTCTAGTTTCTATAGGACGATATTTCCTATTCTACCATTGACCTCAAAGCGGCTGAAATCTCCACTTGCAAATTCCGCAAAAAGAGTGTTTCAAGTCTGCTCTGTGTAAAGGATCGTTCAACTCTGTGAGTTGAATACACACAACACAAGGAAGTTACTGAGAATTCTTCTGTCTAGCAGAATATGAAGAAATCCCGTTTCCAACGAAGGCCACAAGATGTCAGAATATCCACTTACAGACTTTACAAACAGAGTGTTTCCTCACTGCTCTATGAACAGAAAGGTTAATCTCTGTGAGTTGAACGAACACATCACAACGCAGTTTGTGAGAATGATTCTGTCTAGTTTTGAAACGAAGATATTTCCTTTTCTGCCATTGACCTTAAAGCGCTTGAAATCTACACTTGCGAATTGCACAAATAGAGTGTTTCAAATCTGCTCTGTCTAAGGGAACGTTCAACTATGTGAGTTGAATGCACACAACACAAGGAAGTTACTGTGAATTCTTCTGTCTAGCCTTACATGAAAAAAACCAGTTTCTAACGAAGGCCTCTAAGTGGTCAAAACATCCACGTGCAGACTTTACAAACAGAGTGTTTCCAAACCGCTGAATGAAAAGAAAAGTTAAACTCTGAGAGTTGAACGCACACATCACGCAGCAGTTTCTGAGAATGATTCTGTCTAGTTTTTATACGAAGATATTTCCTTTTCTGCCTTTGGCCTCAAAGCGCTTGAAATCTCCACTTGCAAATTCCACAAAAAGAGTGTTTCAAATCTGCTCTTTGTAAATGAAAGTTCAACTCTGTGAGTTGAACACACACAACACAAGGAAGTTACTAGGAATCCTTCTGTCTAGCAGAATATGAAGAAATCCCGCTTCCAACGAAGGCCTCAAAGAAGTTTGAATATCCACTTGCAGACTTTACAAACAGAGTGTTTTCCAACTGCTCTATGAAAAGAAAGGTTGAACTCTGTGAGTTGAACGCACACATCACAAAGGAGTTTCTGAGAATCATTCTGTCTAGTTTCTATAGGAAGATATTTCCTATTCTACCATTGACCTCAAAGCGGCTGAAATCTCCACTTGCAAATTCCACAAAAAGAGTGTTTCAAGACTGTTCTGTGTAAAGGATCATTCAACTCTGTGAGTTGAATACACACAACACAAGGAAGTTACTGAGAATTCTTCTTTCTAGCAGAATATGAAGAAATCCCGTTTCCAACGAAAGCCTCAAAGATGTCTGAATATCCACTTGCAGACTTTACAAACAGAGTGTTTCCTAACTGCTCTATGAAAAGAAACGTTAAACTCTGTGAGTTGAACGCACACATCACAAAGGAGTTTCTGAGAATCATTCTGTCTAGTTTTGAAACGAAGATATTTCCTTTTCTGCCATTGACCTTAAAGCGCTTGAAATCTACACTTGCAAATTGCACAAATAGAGTGTTTCAAATCTGCTCTGTCTAAGGGAACGTTCAACTCTGTGAGTTGAATGCACACAACACAAGGAAGTTACTGGGAATTCTTCTGTCTAGCCTTACATGAAAAAAACCCGTTTCCAACGAAGGCCTCTAAGTGGTCAAAATATCCACGTGCAGACTTTACAAACAGAGTGTTTCCAAACCGCTGAATGAAAAGAAAAGTTAAACTCTGAGAGTTGAAGGCACACATCACGCAGCAGTTTCTGAGAATGATTATGTCTAGTTTCTATAGGAAGATATTTCCTATTCTACCATTGACCTCAAAGCGGCTGAAATCTCCACTTGCAAATTCCACAAAAAGAGTGTTTCAAGTCTGCTCTGTGTAAAGGATCGTTCAACTCTGTGAGTTGAATACACACAACACAAGGAAGTTACTGAGAATTCTTCTTTCTAGCAGAATATGAAGAAATCCCGTTTCCAACGAAAGCCTCAAGGATGTCGGAATATCCACTTGCAGACTTTACAAACAGAGTGTTTCCCAACTGCTCTATGAAAAGAAAGGTTAAACTCTGTGAGTTGAACGTACACATCACAAAGGAGTTTCTGAGAATCATTCTGTCTACTTTCTATAGGAAGATATTTCCTATTCTACCATTGACCTCAAAGCGGCTGAAATCTCCACTTGCAAATTCCACAAAAGGAGTGTTTCCAGTCTGCTCTGTGTAAAGGATCGTTCAACTCTGTGAGTTGAAAACACACAACACAAGGAAGTTTCTGAGAATTCTTCTGTCTAGCAGAATATGAAGAAATCCCGTTTCCAACGAAGGCCACATGATGTCAGAATATCCACTTACAGACTTTACAAACAGAGTGTTTCCTAACTGCTCTATGAACAGAAAGGTTAAACTCTGTGAGTTGAACGAACACATCACAACGCAGTTTGTGGGAATGATTCTGTCTAGTTTTGAAACGAAGATATTACCTTTTCTGCCATTGACCTTAAAGCGCTTGAAATCTACACTTGCAAATTGCTCAAATAGAGTGTTTCAAATCTGCTCTGTCTAAGGGAACGTTCAACTCTGTGAGTTGAATGCACACAACACAAGGAAGTTACTGGGAATTCTTCTGTCTAGCCTTACATGAAAAAATCCCGTTTCCAACGAAGGTCTCTAAGTGGTCAAAATATCCACGTGCAGACTTTACACACAGAGTGTTTCCAAACCGCTGAATGAAAAGAAAAGTTAAACTCTGAGAGTTGAACGCACACATCACGCAGCAGTTTCTGAGAATGATTCTGTCTAGTTTTGAAACGAAGATATTTCCTTTTCTGCCTTTGGCCTCAAAGCGCTTGAAATCTCCACTTGCAAATTCCACAAAAAGAGTGTTTCAAATCTGCTCTGTGTAAATCAAAGTTCAACTCTGTGAGTTGAACACACACAACACAAGGAAGTTACTGGGAATTCTTCTGTCTAGCATAATATGAAGAAATCCCGTTTCCAACGAAGGCCTCAAAGGGGTCTGAATATCCACCTGCAGACTTTATAAACAGACTTTTTACTAACTGCTCTATGAAAAGAAAGGTTAAACTCTGTGAGTTGAACACACACATCACAAAGGAGTTTCTGAGAATCATTCTGTCTAGTTTCCATAGGAAGATATTTCCTATTCTACCATTGACCTCAAAGCGGCTGAAATCTCCACTTGCAAATTCCACAAAAAGAGTGTTTCAAGTCTGCTCTCTGTAAAGGATCGTTCAACTCTGTGAGTGGAATACACACAACACAAGGAAGTTAATGAGAATTATTCTGTCTGGCAGAATATGTAGAAATCCCGTTTCCAACGAAGGCCACAAGATGTCAGAATATCCACTTACAGAATTTACCAACAGAGTGTTTCCTAACTGCTCTATGAAAAGAAAGGTTAAACTCTGTGAGTTGAACGAACACATCACAACGCAGTTTGTGGGAATGATTCTGTCTAGTTTTGAAACGAAGATATTTCCTTTTCTGCCATGGACCTTAAAGCGCTTGAAATCTCCACTTGCCAGTTGCACAAAAAGAGTGTTTCAAATCTGCTCTGTCTAAGGGAACGTTCAACACTGTGAGTTGAATGTACACAACACAAGGAAGTTACTGGGAATTCTTCTGTCTAGCCTTACATGAAAAAAACCCGTTTCCAACGAAGGCCTCTAAGTGGTCAAAATATCCACGTGCAGACTTTACAAACAGAGTGTTTCCAAACCGCTGAATGAAAAGAAAAGTTAAACTCTGAGAGTTGAACGCACACATCACACAGCAGTTTCTGAGAATGATTCTGTCTAGTTTGTATAAGAAGATATTTCCTATTCTACCATTGACCTCAAAGCGGCTGAAATCTCCACTTGCAAATTCCACAAAAAGAGTGTTTCAAGCCTGCTCTCTGTAAAGGATCCTTCAACTCTGTGAGTTGAATACACACAACACAAGGAAGTTACTGAGAATTATTCTGTCTAGCATAATATGAAGAAATCCCGTTTCCAACGAAGGCCTCAAGGAGGTCTGAATATCCACTTGCAGACTTTACAAACAGAGTGTTTCCTAACTGCTCTATGAAAAGAAAGGTTAAACTCTGTGAGTTGAACGCACACATCACAAAGGAGTTTCTGAGAATGATTCTGTCTAGTTTTTATACGAAGATAATTCCTTTTCTACCATTGACCTCAAAGCGGCTGAAATCTCCACTTACAAATTCCGCAAAAAGAGTGTTTCAAGTCTGCTCTGTGTAAAGGATCGTTCAACTCTGTGAGTTGAATACACACAACACAAGGAAGTTACTGAGAATTCTTCTGTCTAGCAGAATATGAAGAAATCCCGTTTCCAACGAAGGCCACAAGATGTCAGAATATCCACTTACAGAATTTTCAAACAGACTGTTTCCTAACTGCTCTATGAAAAGAAAGGTTAAACTCTGTGAGTTGAACGAACACATCACAACGCAGTTTGTGGGAATGATTCTGTCCAGTTTTGAAACGAAGATATTTCCTTTTCTGCCATTGAACTTAAAGCGCTTGAAATCTCCATTTGCCAATTGCACAAAAAGAGTGTTTCAAATCTGCTCTGTCTAAGGGAACGTTCAACTCTGTGAGTTGAATGTACACAACACAAGGAAGTTACTGGGAATTCTTCTGTCTAGCCTTACAGGAAAAAAACCCGTTTCCAACGAAGGCCTCTAAGTCGTCAAAATATCCACGTGCAGACTTTACAAACAGAGTGTTTCCAAACTGCTGAATGAAAAGAAAAGTTAAACTCTGAGAGTTGAACGCACACATCGCCAGAAGCAGTTTCTGAGAATGATTCTGTCTAGTTTTGAAACGAAGACATTTCCTTTTCTGCCTTTGGCCTCAAAGCCCTTGAAATCTCCATTTGCAAATTCCACAAAAAGAGTGTTTCAAATCTGCTCTGTGTAAATGAAAGTTCAACTCTGTGAGTTGAACACACACAACACAAGGAAGTTACTGGGAATTCTTCTGTCTAGCAGAATATGAAGAAATCCCGTTTCCAACGAAAGCCTCAATGATGTCTGAAAATCCACCTGCAGACTTTACAAACAGAGTGTTTCCTAACTGCTCTATGAAAAGAAAGTTTAAACTCTGTGAGTTGAACGCACACAGCACCAAGGAGTTTCTGACAATCATTCTGTCTAGTTTCTATAGGAAGATATTTCCTATTATACCATTGACCTCAAAGCGGCTGAAATCTCCACTTGCAAATTCCACAAAAAGAGTGTTTCAAGTCTGCTCTGTGTAAAGGATCGTTCAACTCTGTGAGTTGAATACACACAACACAAGGAAGTTACTGAGAATTCTTCTGTCTAGCAGAATATGAAGAAATCCCGTTTCCAACGAAGGCCACAAGATGTCAGAATATCCACTTACAGACTTTACAAACAGAGTGTTTCCTAACTGCTCTATGAACAGAAAGGTTAAACTCTGTGAGTTGAACGAACACATTACAACGCAGTTTGTGGGAATGATTCTGTCTAGTTTTGAAACGAAGATATTTCCTTTTCTGCCATTGACCTTAAAGCGCTTGAAATCTCCACTTGCCAATTGCACAAAAAGAGTGTTTCAAATCTGCTCTGTCTAAGGGAACGTTCAACTCTGTGAGTTGAATGTACACAACACAAGGTAAGTTACTGGGAATTCTTCTGTCTAGCCTTACATGAAGAAAACCCGTTTCCAACGAAGGCCTCTAAGTGGTCAAAATATCCACGTGCAGACTTTACAAACAGAGTGTTTCCAAACCGCTGAATGAAAAGAAAAGTTAAACTCTGAGAGTTGAACGCACACATCACGCAGCAGTTTCTGAGAATGATTCTGTCTAGTTTTTATACGAAGATATTTCCTTTTCTGCCTTTGGCCCCAAAGCGTTTGAAATCTCCACTTGCAAATTCCACAAAAACAGTATTTCAAATCTGCTCTCTCTAAATGAAAGTTCAACTCTGTCAGTTGAATACACACAACACAAGGAAGTTACTGAGAATTCTTCTGTCTAGCATAATATGAAGAAATGCAGTTTCCAACGAAGGCCTCAAGGAGGTCTGAATATCCACTTGCAGACTTTACAAACAGAGTGTTTCCTAACTGCTCTATGAAAAGAAAGGTTAAACTCTGTGAGTTGAACGTACACATCACAAAGGGGTTTCTGAGAATCATTCTGTCTAGTTTCTATAGGAAGATATTTCCTATTTTACCATTGACCTTAAAGCGGCTGAAATCTCCACTTGCAAATTTCACAAAAAGAGTGTTTCCAGTCTGCTCTGTGTAAAGGATCGTTCAACTCTGTGAGTTGAATACACACAACACAAGGAAGTTTCCGAGAATTCTTCTGTCTAGCAGAATATGAAGAAATCCCGTTTCCAACGAAGGCCACAAGATGTCAGAATATCCACTTACAGAATTTACAAACAGACTGTTTCCTAAGTGCTCTATGAAAAGAAATGTTAAACTCTGTGAGTTGAACGAACACATCGCAACGCAGTTTGTGGGAATGATTCTGTCTAGTTTTTATAGGAAGATATTTCCTTTTCTACCTTTGACTTCAAAGCGGCTGAAATCTCCACTTGCAAATTCCACAAAAAGAGTGTTACAAGTCTGCTCTGTCTAAGGGAACTTTCAACTCTGTGAGTTGAATGTACACAACACAAGGAAGTTACTGGGAATTCTTCTGTCTAGCCTTACGTGAAAAAAAAACCCGTTTCCAACGAAGGCCTCTAAGTGGTCAAAATATCCACGTGCAGACTTTACAAACAGAGTGTTTCCAAACTGCTGAATGAAAAGAAAAGTTAAACTCTGAGAGTTGAACGCACACATCACAGAGCAGTTTCTGAGAATGATTCTGTCTAGTTTTTATACGAAGATATTTCCTTTTCTGCCTTTGGCCCCAAAGCGCTTGAAATCTCCACTTGCAAATTCCACAAAAACAGTGTTTCAAATCTGCTCTCTCTAAATGAAAGTTCAACTCTGTCAGTTGAATACACACAACAAAAGGAAGTTACTGAGAATTCTTCTGTCTAGCATAATATGAAGAAATCCCGTTTCCAACGAAGGCCTCAAAGGGGTCTGAATATCCACTTGCAGACTTTATAAACAGAGTGTTTACTAACTGCTCTATGAAAACAAAGGTTAAACTCTGTGAGTTGAACACACACATCACAAAGGAGTTTCTGAGAATCATTCTGTCTAGTTTTTCTTCGAAGATATTTCCTATTCTACCATTGACCTCAAAGCGGCTGAAATCTCCACTTGCAAATTCCACAAAAAGAGTGTTTCAAGTCTGCTCTCTGTAAAGGATCATTCAACTCTGTGAGTTGAATACACAGAACACAAGGAAGTTACTGAGAATTCTTCTGTCTAGCAGAATATGTAGAAATCCCGTTTCCAAAGAAGGCCTCAAAGAGGTCTGAATATCCACTTGCAGACTTTACAAACAGAGTGTTTCCTAACTGCTCTATGAAAAGAAAAGTTAAACTCTGTGAGTTGAACGCACACATCACAAAGCATTTTCTGAGAATCATTCTGTCTAGTCTTTATACGACGATAGTTTCCTTTTCTACCATTGACCTCAAAGCGGCTGAAATCTCCACTTGCAAATTCCACAAAAAGAGTGTTTCAAGTCTGCTCTGTGTAAAGGATCGTTCAACTCTGTGAGTTGAATACACACAACACAAGGAAGTTACTGAGAATTCTTCTGTCTAGCCTTACAGGAAAAAAACCCGTTTCCAACGAAGGCCTCTAAGTGGTCAAGTTATCCACGTGCAGACTTTACAACCAGAGTGTTTCCAAACTGCTGAATGAAAAGAAAAGTTAAACTCTGAGAGTTGAACGCACACATCGCAGAGCAGTTTCTGAGAATGATTCTGTCTAGTTTTTATACGAAGATATTTCCTTTTCTGCCTTTGGCCTCAAAGCGCTTGAAATCTCCATTTGCAAATTCCACAAAAAGAGTGTTTCAAATCTGCTCTGTGTAAATGAAAGTTCAACTCTGTGAGATGAACACACACAACACAAGGAAGTTACTGGGAATTCTTCTGTCTAGCAGAATATGAATAAATCCCTTTTCCAACGAAACCCTCAAAGATGTCTGAATATCCACTTTTAGACTTTACCAACCCAGTGTCTCCTAACTTCTCTATGAAAAGAAAGGTTAAATTCTGTGAGTTGAACGCACACATCACAAAGGAGTTTCTGACAATCATTCTGTCTAGTTTCTATAGGAAGATATTTCCTATTCTACCATTGACCTCAAAGCGGCTGAAATCTCCACTTGCAAATTCCACAAAAGGAGTGTTTCAAGTCTGCTCTGTGTAAAGGATCGTTCAACTCTGTGAGTTGAAAACACACAACACAAGGAAGTTACTGAGAATTCTTCTTTCTAGCAGTATATGAAGAAATCCCGTTTCCAACGAAAGCCTCAAGGATGTCTGAATATCCACTTGCAGACTTTACAAACAGAGTGTTTCCCAACTGCTCTATGAAAAGAAAAGTTAAACTCTGTGAGTTGAACGCACACATCACAAAGGAGTTTCTGAGAATCATTCTGTCTAGTTTTTATAGGAAGATATTTCCTTTTCTACCTTTGACTTCAAAGCGGCTGAAATCTCCACTTGCAAATTCCACAAAAAGAGTGTTACAAGTCTGCTCTGTCTAAGGGAACCTTCAACTCTGTGAGTTGAATGTACACAACACAAGGAAGTTACTGGGAATTCTTCTGTCTAGCCTTACAGGAAAAAAACCCGTTTCCAACGAAGGCCTCTAAGTGGTCAAAATATCCACGTGCAGACTTTACAAACAGAGTGTTTCCACACTGCTGAATGAAAAGAAAAGTTAAACTCTGAGAGTTGAACGCACACATCGCAGAGCAGTTTCTGAGAATGATTCTGTCTAGTTTTGAAACGAAGATATTTCCTTTTCTACCATTGACCTCAACGCGGCTGAAATCTCCATTTGCAAATTCCACAAAAAGAGTGTTTCAAATCTGCTCTGTGTAAATGAAAGTTCAACTCTGTGAGTTGAACACACACAACACAAGGAAGTTACAGGGAATTCTTCTGTCTCGCATAATATGAAGAAATCCCGTTTCCAACGAAGGCCTCAAAGAGGTCTGAATATCCACTTGCAGACTTTACAAACAGAGTGTTTCCTAACTGCTCTATGAAAAGAAAAGTTAAACTCTGTGAGTTGAACGCACACATCACAAAGGATTTTCTGAGAATCATTCTGTCTAGTTTCTATAGGAAGATATTTCCTATTCTACCGTTGACCTCAAAGCGGCTGAAATCTCCACTTGCAAATTCCACAAAAAGAGTGTTTCAAGTCTGCTCTCTGTAAAGGATCGTTCAACTCTGTGAGTTGAATACACACAACACAAGGAAGTTACTGAGAATTATTCTGTCTAGCAGAATATGAAGAAATCCCGTTTCCAACGAAGGCCACAAGATGTCAGAATATCCACTTACAGAATTTACAAACAGACTGTTTCCTAACTGCTCTATGAAAAGAAAGGTTAAACTCTGTGAGATGAACGGACACATCACAACGCAGTTTGTGGGAATGATTCTGTCTAGTTTTGAAACGAAGATATTTCCTTTTCTGCCATTGACCTTAAAGTGCTTGAAATCTCCACTTGCCAATTGCACAAAAAGAGTGTTTCAAATCTGCTCTGTGTAAATGAAAGTTCAACTCTGTGAGTTGAACACACACAACACAAGGAAGTTACTGGGAATTCTTCTGTCTAGGCTTATATGAAAAAAACCCGTTTCCAACGAAGGCCTCAAAGAGGTCTGAATATCCACTTGCAGACTTTACAAACAGAGTGTTTCCTAACTGCTCTATGAAAAGAAAGGTTAAACTCTGTGAGTTCAACACACACATCACAAAGGAGTTTCTGAGAATCATTCTGTCTAGTTTTTATACGGAGATATTTCCTTTTCTGCCTTTGTCCCCAAAGCGCTTGAAATCTCCACTTGCAAATTCCACAAAAACAGTGTTTCAAATCTGCTCTCTCTAAATGAAAGTTCAACTCTGTCAGTTGAATACACACAACACAAGGAAGTTACTGAGAATTCCTCTGTCTAGCATAATATGAAGAAATCCCGTTTCCAACGAAGGCCTCAAAGAGGTCTGAATATCCACCTGCAGACTTTACAAACAGAGTGTTTCCTAACTGCTCTATGAAAAGAAAAGTTAAACTCTGTGAGTTGAACGCACACATCACAAAGGAGTTTCTGAGAATCATTCTGTCTAGTCTTTATACGAAGATATTTCCTTTTGTACCATTGACCTCAAAGCGGCTGAAATCTCCACTTGCAAATTCCACAAAAAGAGTGTTTAAAGTCTGCTCTCTGTAAAGGATCGTTCAACTCTGTGAGTTGAATACACACAACACAAGGAAGTTACTGAGAATTCTTCTGTCTAGCAGAATATGAAGAAATCCCGTTTCCAAAGAAGGCCTCAAGGAGGTCTGAATATCCACTTGCAGACTTTACAAACAGAGTGTTTCCTAACTGCTCTATGAACACAAAGGTTAAACTCTGTGAGTTGAACGCACACATCACAAAGGAGTTTCTGAGAATCATTCTGTCTAGTTTTGAAACCAAGATATTTCCTTTTCTGCCATTGACCTTAAAACTCTTGAAATCTCCACTTGCCAATTGCACAAAAAGAGTGTTTCAAATCTGCTCTGTCTAAGGGAATGTTCAACTCTGTGAGTTGAATGTACACAACACAAGGAAGTTACTGGGAATTCTTCTGTCTAGCCTTACAGGAAAAAAACCCATTTCCAACGAAGGCCTCTAAGTGGTCAAAATATCCACGTGCAGACTTTACAAACAGAGTGTTTCCAAACTGCTGAATGAAAAGAAAAGTTAAACTCTGAGAGTTGAACGCACACATCGCAGAGCAGTTTCTGAGAATGATTATGTCTAGTTTTTATACGAATTTATTTCCTTTTCTGCCTTTGGCCCCAAAGCGCTTGAAATCTCCACTTGCAAATTCCACAAAAACAGTGGTTCAAATCTGCTCTCTCTAAATGAAAGTTCAACTCTGTCAGTTGAATACACACAACGCAAAGAAGTTACTGAGAACTCTTCTGTCTAGCAGAATATGAAGAAATCCCGTTTCCAACGAAGGCCTAAAAGAGGTCTGAATATCCACTTGCAGACTTTACAAACAGAGTGTTTCCTAACTGCTCTATGAAAAGAAAGGTTAAACTCTGTGAGTTGAACGCACACATTACAAAGGAGATTCCGAGAATCATTCTGTCTAGTTTCTATAGGAAGATATTTCCTATTCTACCATTGAACTCAAAGCGGCTGAAATCTCCACTTGCAAATTCCACAAAAAGAGTGTTTCAAGTCTGCTCTGTGTAAAGGATCGTTCAACTTTGTGAGTTGAATACACACAACACAAGGAAGTTACTGAGAATTCTTCTGTCTAGCAGAATATGAAGAAATGCCGTTTCCAACGAAGGCCACAAGATGTCAGAATATCCACTTACAGAATTGACAAACAGACTGTTTCCTAACTGCTCTATGAAAAGAAAGGTTAAACTCTGTGAGTTGAACGAACACATCACAACGCAGTTTGTGGGAATGATTCTGTCTAGTTTTGAAACGAAGATATTTCCTTTTCTGCCATTGACCTTAAAGCGCTTGAAATCTCCATTTGCCAATTGCACAAAAAGAGTGTTTCAAATCTGCTCTGTCTAAGGGAACGTTCAACTCTGTGAGTTGAATGTACACAACACAAGGAAGTTACTGGGAATTCTTCTGTCTAGCCTTACAGGAAAAAAACCCGTTTCCAACGAAGGCCTCTGAGTGGTCAAAATATCCACCTGCAGACTTTACAAACAGAGTGTTTCCAAACTGCTGAATGAAAAGAAAAGTTAAACTCTGAGAGTTGAACGCACACATCGCAGAGCAGTTTCTGAGAATGATTCTCTCTAGTTTCTATAGGAAGAAATTTCCTATTCTACCATTGACCTCAAAGCGGCTGAAATCTCCACTTGCAAATTCCACAAAAACAGTGTTTCAACTCTGCTCTGTGTAAAGGATCGTTCAACTCTCTGAGTTGAATACACACAACACAAGGAAGTTACTGAGAATTCTTCTGTCTAGCATAATATGAAGAAATCCCGTTTCCAACGAAGACCTCAAGGAGGTCTGAATATCCACTTGCAGACTTTACAAACAGTGTGTTTCCTAACTGCTCTATGAAAAGAAAGGTTAAACTCTGTGAGTTGAACGCCCACATCACAAAGGAGTTTCTCAGAATCATTCTGTCTAGTTTGTATAGGAAGATATTTCCTATTCTACCATTGACCTCAAAGCGGCTGAAATCTCCACTTGCAAATTCCACAAAAAGAGTGTTTCAAGTCTGCTCTCTGTAAAGGATCGTTCAACTCTGACAGTTGAATACACACAACACAAGGAAGTTACTGAGAATTATTCTGTCTAGCAGAATATGAAGAAATCCCGTTTCCAACGAAGGCCACAAGATGTCAGAATATCCACTTACAGAATTTACAAACAGACTGTTTCCTAACTGCTCTACGAAAAGAAAGGTTAAACTCTGTGAGATGAAGGAACACATCACAACGCAGTTTGTGGGAATGATTCTGTCTAGTTTTGAAACGAAGATATTTCCTTTTCTGCCATTGACCTTAAAGCGCTTGAAATCTACACTTGCAAATTGCACAAATAGAGTGTTTCAAATCTGCTCTGTCTAAGGGAACGTTCAACTCTGTGAGTTGAAAGCACACAACACAAGGAAGTTACTGGGAATTCTTCTGTCTAGCCTTACATGAAAAAAACCCGTTTCCAACGAAGGCCTCTAAGTGGTCAAATTATCCACGTGCAGACTTTACAAACAGAGTGTTTCCAAACTGCTGAATGAAAAGCAAAGTTAAACTCTGAGAGTTGAACGCACACATCGCAGAGCACTTTCTGAGAATGATTCTGTCTAGTTTTTATACGAAGATATTTCCTTTTCTGCCTTTGGCCTCAAAGCGCTTGAAATCTCCACTTGTAAATTCCACAAAAAGAGTGTTTCAAATCTGCTCTGTGTAAATGAAAGTTCAACTCTGTGAGTTGAACACACACAACACAAGGAAGTTACTGGGAATTCTTCTGTCTAGCATAGTATGGAGAAATCCCGTTTCCAACGAAGGCCTCAAAGAGGTCTGAATATCCACTTGCAGAGTTTACAAACAGAGTGTTTCCTAACTGCTCTATGAAAAGAAAGGTTAAACTCTGTGAGTTGAAGGCACACATCACAAAGAAGTTTCTGAGAATCATTCTGTCTAGTTTCTATAAGAAGATATTTCCTATTCTACCATTCACCTCAAAGCGGCTGAAATCTCCACTTGCAAATTCGACAAAAAGAGTGTTTCAAGCCTGCTCTCTGTAAAGGATCCTTCAACTCTGTGAGTTGAATACACACAACACAAGGAAGTTACTGAGAATTCTTCTGTCTAGCAGAATATGAAGAAATCCCGTTTCCAACGAAGGCCACAAGATGTCAAAATATCCACTTACAGAATTGACAAACAGACTGTTTCCTAACTGCTCTATGAAAAGAAAGGTTAAACTCTGTGAGTTGAACGAACACATCACAACGCAGTTTGTGGGAATGATTCTGTCTAGTTTTGAAACGAAGATATTTCCTTTCCTGCCATTGACCTTAAAGCGCTTGAAATCTCCATTTGCCAATTGCACAAAAAGAGTGTTTCAAATCTGCTCTGTCTAAGGGAACGTTCAACTCTGTGAGTTGAATGTACACAACACAAGGAAGTTACTGGGAATTCTTCTGTCTAGCCTTACAGGAAAAAAAACCGTTTCCAACTAAGGCCTCTAAGTGGTCAAAATATCCACGTGCAGACTTTACAAACAGAGTGTTTCCAAACTGCTGAATGAAAAGAAAAGTTAAACTCTGAGAGTTGAACGCACACATCGCAGAGCAGTTTCTGAGAATGATTCTGTCTAGTTTTTATACGAAGATATTTCCTTTTCTGCCTTTGGCCTCAAAGCGCTTGAAATCTCCACTTGCAAATTCCACAAAAAGAGTGTTTCAAATCTGCTCTGTCTAAATGAAAGTTCAACTCTGTGAGTTGAACACACACAACACAAGGAAGTTACTGGGAATTCTTCTGTCTAGCATAATATGAAGAAATCCCGTTTCCAACGAAGGCCTCAAGGAGGTCTGAATATCCACTTGCAGACTTTACAAACAGAGTGTTTCCTAACGGCTCTATGAAAAGAAAGGTTAAACTCTGTGAGTTGAACGCACACATCACAAAGGAGTTTCTGAGAATCATTCTGTCTAGTTTCTATAGGAAGATATTTCCTATTCTACCATTGACCACAAAGCGGCTGAAATCTCCACTTGCAAATTTCACAAAAAGAGTGTTTCAAGTCTGCTCTGTGTAAAGGATCGTTCAACTCTGTGAGTTGAATACACACAATACATGGAAGTTACTGAGAATTCTTCTGTCTAGCAGAATATGATGAAATCCCTTTTCCAACGAAGGCCACAAGATGTCAGAATATCCACTTACAGACTTTACAAACAGAGTGTTTCCTAACTGCTCTATGAACAGAAAGGTTAAACTCTGTGAGTTGAACGAACACATCACAACGCAGTTTGTGGGAATGATTCTGTCTAGTTTTGAAACGAAGATATTTCCTTTTCTGCCATTGACCTTAAAGCGCTTGAAATCTACACTTGCAAATTGCACAAATAGAGTTTTTCAAATCTGCTCTGTCTAAGGGAACGTTCAACTCTTTGAGTTGAATGCACACAACACAAGGAAGTTACTGGGAATTCTTCTGTCTAGCCTTACAGGAAAAAAACCCGTTTCCAACGAAGGCCTCTAAGTGGTCAAAATATCCACGTGCAGACTTTACAAACAGAGTGTTTCCAAACTGCTGAATTAAAAGAAAAGTTAAACTCTGAGAGTTGAACGCACACATCGCAGAGCAGTTTCTGAGAATGATTCTGTCTAGTTTTTATACGAAGATATTTCCTTTTCTGCCTTTGGCCCCAAAGCGCATGAAATCTCCACTTGCAAATTCCACAAAAACAGTGTTACAAATCTGCTCTCTCTAAATGAAAGTTCAACTCCGTCAGTTGAATACACACAACACAAGGAAGTTACTGAGAATTCTTCTGTCTAGCCTTATATGAAAAAAACCCGTTTCCAACGAAGGCCTCAAAGAGGTCTGAATATCCTCTTGCAGACTTTACAAACAGAGTGTTTCCTAACAGCTCTATGAAAAGAAAGGTTAAACTCTGTGAGTTGGGCACACACATCACAAAGGAGTTTCTGAGAATGATTCTGTCTAGTTTTTATACGAAGATATTTCCTTTTCTACCATTGACCTCAAAGCGGCTGAAATCTCCACTGGCCAATTCAACAAAAAGAGTTTTTCAAGTCTACTCTGTGTAAAGGATCGTTGAACTCTGTGAGTTGAAAACACGCAACACCAGGAAGTTTCTGAGAATTCTTCTGTCTAGCAGAATATGAAGAAATTCCGTTTCCAAAGAAGGCCTCAAAGAGGTCTGAATATCCACTTGCAGACTTTACCAACAGAGTGTTTCCTAACTGCTCTATGAAAAGAAAGGTTAAACTCTGTGAGTTGAACGCACACATCACAAAGGAGTTTCTGAGAATCATTCTGTCTAGTTTTGAAACGAAGATATTTCCTTTTCTGCCATTGACCTTAAAGTGCTTGAAATCTACACTTGCAAATTGCACAAATAGAGTGTTTCAAATCTGCTCTGTCTAAGGGAACGTTCAACTCTGTGAGTTGAATGCACACAACACAAGGAAGTTACTGGGAATTCTTCTGTCTAGCCTTACATGAAAAAACCCGTTTCCAACGAAGGCCTCTAAGTGGTCAAAATATACACGTGCAGACTTTACAAACAGAGTGTTTCCAAACCGCTGAATGAAAAGAAAAGTTAAACTCTGAGAGTTGAACGCACACATCACGCAGCAGTTTCTGAGAATGATTCTGTCTAGTTTTTATACGAAGATATTTCCTTTTCTGCCTTTGGCCTCCAAGCGCTTGAAATCTCCAATTGCAAATTCCACAAAAAGAGTGTTTCAAATCTGCTCTGTGTAAATGAAAGTTCAACTCTGTGAGTTGAACACACACAACACAAGGAAGTTACTGGGAATTCTTCTGTCTAGCATAATATGAAGAAATCCCGTTTCCAACGAAGGCTTCAAAGAGGTCTGAATATCCGCTTGCAGACTTTACAAACAGAGTGTTTCCTAACTGCTCTATGAAAAGAAAGTTTAAACTCTGTGAGTTGAACGCACACATCACAAAGGAGTTTCTGAGAATCGTTCTGTCTAGTTTTTCTACGAAGATATTTCCTTTTCTACTATTGACCTCAAAGCGGCTGAAATCTCCACTTGCAAATTCTACAAATAGAGTGTTTCAAGTCTGCTCTGTGTAAAGGATCGTTCAACTCTATGAGTTGAATACACACAACACAAGGAAGTTACTGAGAATTCTTCTGTCTAGCAGAATATGAAGAAATCCCGTTTCCAACGAAGGCCTCAAAGAGGTCTGAATATCCACTTGCAGACTTTACACACAGAGTGTTTCCTAACTGCTCTATGAACAGAAAGGTTAAACTCTGTGAGTTGAACGAACACATCACAACGCAGTTTGTGGGAATGATTCTGTCTAGTTTTGAAACGAAGATATTTCCTTTTCTGCCGTTGACCTTAAAGAGCTTGAAAACTACACTTGCAAATTGCACAAATAGAGTGTTTCAAACCTGCTCGGTCTAAGGGAACGTTCAACTCTGTGAGTTGAATGCACACAACACAAGGAAGTTACTGGGAATTCTTCTGTCTAGCCTTACATGAAAAAAACCCGTTTCCAACGAAGGCCTCTAAGTGGTCAAAATATCCACGTGCAGAATTTACAAACAGAGTGTTTCCAAACTGCTGAATGAAAAGAAAAGTTAAACTCTGAGAGTTGAACGCATACATCGCAGAGCAGTTTCTGAGAATGATTCCGTCTAGTTTTTATACGAAGATATATCCTTTTCTGCCTTTGGCCTCAAAGCGCTTGAAATCTCCACTTGCAAATTCCAGAAAAAGAGTGTTTCAAATCTGCTCTGTCTAAATGAAAGTTCAACTCTGTCAGTTGAATACACACAACAAAAGGAAGTTACTGAGAATTCTTCTGTCTAGCAGAATATGAAGAAATCCCGTTTCCAACGAAGGCCTCAAGGAGGTCTGAATATCCACTTGCAGACTTTACAAACAGAGTGTTTCCTAACTGCTCTATGAAAAGAAAGGTTTAACTCTGTGAGTTGAACGCACACATCACAAAGGAGTTTCTGAGAATCATTCCGTCTAGTTTTTATACGAAGATATTTCCTTTTCTACCATGGACCTCAAAGCGGCTGAAATCTCCACTTGCAAATTCCACAAAAAGAGTGTTTCAAGTCTGCTCTGTGTAAAGGATCGTTCAACTCTGTGAGTTGAATACACACAACACAAGGAAGATTCTGAGAATTCTTCTGTCTAGCAGAATATGAAGAAATCCCGTTTCCAACGAATGCCACAAGATGTCAGAATATCCACTTACAGAATTGACAAACAGACTGTTTCCTAACTGCTCTATGAAAAGAAAGGTTAAACTCTGTGAGTTGAACGAACACATCACAACGCAGTTTGTGGGAATGATTCTGTCTAGTTTTGAAACGAAGATATTTCCTTTTCTGCCTTTGAACTTAAAGCGCTTGAAATCTCCATTTGCCAATTGCACAAAAAGAGTGTTTCAAATCTGCTCTGTCTAAGGGAACGTTCAACTCCTGTGAGTTGAATGTACACAACACAAGGAAGTTACTGGGAATTCTTCTGTCTAGCCTTACATGAAAAAAACCCGTTTCCAACGAAGGCCTCTAAGTGGTCAAAATTTCCACGTGCAGACTTTACAAACAGAGTGTTTCCTAACAGCTCTATGAACAGAAAGGTTAAACTCTGTGAGTTGAACGCACACATCACAAAGGACTTTCTGAGAATCATTCTGTCTAGTTTTTATACGAAGATATTTCCTTTTCTGCCTTTGGCCCCAAAGCGCTTGAAATCTCCAATTGCAAATTCCACAAAAACAGTGTTTCAAATCTGCTCTCTCTAAATGAAAGTTCAACTCTGTCAGTTGAATACACACAACACAAGGAAGTTACTGAGAATTCTTCTGTGTAGCATAATATGAAGAAATCCCGTTTCCAACGAAGGCCTCAAGGAGGTCTGAATATCCACTTGCAGACTTTACAAACAGAGTGTTTCCTAACTGCTCTATGAAAAGAAATGTTAAACTCTGTGAGTTGAACGCACACATCACAAAGGAGTTTCTGAGAATCATTCTGTCTAGTTTTTCTACGAAGATATTTCCTATTCTACTATTGACCTCAAAGCGGCTGAAATCTCCACTTGCAAATTCTACAAATAGAGTGTTTCAAGTCTGCTCTGTGTAAAGGATCGTTCAACTCTGTGAGTTGAATACACACAACACAAGGAAGTTACTGAGAATTATTCTGTCTAGCATAATATGAAGAAATCCCGTTTCCAACGAAGGCCTCAAGGAGTTCTGAATATCCACTTGCAGACTTTACAATCAGAGTGTTTCCTAACTGCTCTATGAAAAGAAAGGTTAAACTCTGTGAGTTGAACGCACACATCACAAAGGAGTTTCTGAGAATCATTCTGTCTAGTTTTGAAACGAAGATATTTCCTTTTCTGCCATTGACCTTAAAGCGCTTGAAATCTCCACTTGCCAATTGCACAAAAAGAGTGTTTCAAATCTGCTCTGTCTAAGGGAACGTTCAACTCTGTGAGTTGAATGTACACAACGCAAGGAAGTTACTGGGAATTCTTCTGTCTAGCCTTACAGGAAAAAAACCCGTTTCCAACGAAGGCCTCTAAGTGGTCAAATTATCCAGGTGCAGACTTTACAAACAGAGTGTTTCCAAACTGCTGAATGAAAAGAAAAGTTAAACTCTGAGACTTGAACGCACACATCGCAGAGCAGTTTCTGAGAATGATCTGTCTAGTTTTTATACGAAGATATTTCCTTTTCTGCCTTTGGCCTCAAAGCGCTTGAAATCTCCACTTGCAAATTCCACAAAAAGAGTGTTTCAAATCTGCTCTGTGTAAATCAAAGTTCAACTCTGTGAGTTGAACACACACAACACAAGGAAGTTACTGGGAATTCTTTCTGTCTAGCATAATATGAAGAAATCCCGTTTCCAACGAAGGCCTCAAAGGGGTCTGAATATCCACTTGCAGACATTACAAACAGAGTGTTTCCTAACTGCTCTATGAAAAGAAACGTTAAACTCTGTGAGTTGAACGCACACATCACAAAGGAGTTTCTGAGAATCATTCTGTCTAGTCTTTATACGAAGATATTTCCTTTTCTACCATTGACCTCAAAGCGGCTGAAATCTCCACTTGCAAATTCCACAAAAAGAGTGTTTCAAGTCTGCTCTGTGTAAAGCATCGTTCAACTCTGTGTGTTGAATACACACAACACAAGGAAGTTACTGAGAATTCTTCTGTCTAGCAGAATATGAAGAAATCCCGTTTCCAACGAAGGCCACAAGATGTCAGAATATCCACTTACAGACTTTACAAACAGAGTGTTTCCTAACTGCTCTATGAACAGAAAGGTTAAACTCTGTGAGTTGAACGAACACATCAGAACGCAGTTTGTGGGAATGATTCTGTCTAGTTTTTATACGAAGATATTTCCTTTTCTACCATTGACCTCAAAGCGGCTGAAATCACCACTTGCCAATTGCACAAAAAGAGTGTTTCAAATCTGCTCTGTCTAAGGGAACGTTCAACTCTGTGAGTTGAATGTACACAACACAAGGAAGTTACTGGGAATTCTTCTGTCTAGCCTTACATGAAAAAAACCCGTTTCCAACGAAGACCTCTAAGTGGTCAAGTTATCCACGTGCAGACTTTACAAACAGAGTGTTTCCAAACTGCTGAATGAAAAGAAAAGTTAAACTCTGAGAGTTGAACGCACACATCGCAGAGCAGTTTCTGAGAATGATTCTGTCTAGTTTTTCTACGAAGATATTTCCTTTTCTGCCTTTGGCCTCAAAGTGCTTGAAATCTCCATTTGCAAATTCCACAAAAAGAGTGTTTCAAATCTGCTCTGTGTAAATGAAAGTTCAACTCTGTGAGTTGAACACACACAACACATGGAAGTTACTGGGAATTCTTCTGTCTAGCAGAATATGAAGAAATCCCGTTTCCAACGAAGGCCTCAAAGAGGTCTGAATATCCACTTGCAGACTTTACAAACAGAGTGTTTCCTAACTGCTCTATGAAAAGAAAGGTTAAACTCTGTGAGTTGAACGCACACATCACAAAGGAGTTTCTGACAATCATTCTGTCTAGTTTTTATACGAAGATATTTCCTTTTCTACCATTGACCTGAAAGCGGCTGAAATCTCCACCCTGCCAATTCCACAAAAAGAGTGTTTCAAGTCTACTCTGTGTAAAGGATCGTTGAACTCTGTGATTTGAAAACACACAACACAACGAAGTTTCTGAGAATTCTTCTGTCCAGCAGAATATGAAGAAATCCCGTTTCCAACGAAAGCCTCAAAGATGTCTGAATATCCACTTGTAGACTTTACAAACAGAGTGTTTCCTAACTGCTCTATGAAAAGAAAGGTTAAACTCTGTGAGTTGAACGCACACATCACAAAGGAGTTTCTGAGAATCATTCTGTCTAGTTTTGAAACGAAGATATTTCCTTTTCTGCCATTGACCTTAAAGAGCTTGAAATCTACACTTGCAAATTGCACAAATAGAGTGTTTCAAATCTGCTCTGTCTAAGGGAACGTTCAACTCTGTGAGTTGAATGCACACAACACAAGGAAGTTACTGGGAATTCTTCTGTCTAGCCTTACATGAAAAAAACCCGTTTCCAACGAAGGCCTCTAAGTGGTCAAAATATCCACGTGCAGACTTTACAAACAGAGTGTTTCCAAACTGCTGAATGAAAAGAAAAGTTAAACTCTGAGAGTTGAACGCACACATCACGCAGCAGTTTCTGAGAATGATTCTGTCTAGTTTTTATACGAAGATATTTCCTTTTCTGCCTTTGGCCTCAAAGCGCTTGAAATCTCCCCTTGCAAATTCCACAAAAAGAGTGTTTCCAATCTGCTCTGTGTAAATGAAAGTTCAACTCTGTGAGTTGAACACACACAACACAAGGAAGTTACTGGGAATTCTTCTTTCTAGCAGAACATGAAGAAATCCCTTTTCCAACGAAGGCCTCAAAGATGTCTGAATATCCACTTGCAGCCTTTACAAACAGAGTGTTTCCTAACTGCTCTATGAAAAGAAAGGTTAAACTCTGTGAGTTGAACGCACACATCACAAAGGAGTTTCTGAGAATCATTCTGTCTAGTTTCTATAGGAAGATATTTCCTATTCTACCATTGACCTCAAAGCGGCTGAAATCTCCACTTGCAAATTCCACAAAAAGAGTGTTTCAAGTCTGCTCTGTGTAAACGATCGTTCAACTCTGTGAGTTGAATACACACAACACAAGGCAGTTACTGAGAATTCTTCTGTCTAGCAGAATATGAAGAAATCCCGTTTCCAACGAAGGCCACAAGATGTCAGAATATCCACTTACAGAATTGACAAACAGACTGTTTCCTAACTGCTCTATGAAAAGAAAGGTTAAACTCTGTGAGTTGAAGGAACACATCACAACGCAGTTTGTGGGAATGATTCTGTCTAGTTTTGAAACGAAGATATTTCCTTTTCTGCCATTGACCTCAAAGCGCTTGAAATCTCCACTTGCCAATTGCAGAAAAAGAGTGTTTCAAATCTGCTCTGTCTAAGGGAACGTTCAACTCTGTGAGTTGAATGTACACAACACAAGGAAGTTACTGGGAATTCTTCTGTCTAGCCTTACATGAAAAAAAACCCGTTTCCAACGAAGGCCTCTAAGTGGTGAAAATATCCACGTGCAGACTTTACAAACTGAGTGTTTCCAAACCGCTGAATGAAAAGAAAAGTTAAACTCTGAGAGTTGAACGCACACATCACGCAGCAGTTTCTGAGAATGATTCTGTCTAGTTTTTATACGAAGATATTTCCTTTTCTGCCTTTGGCCTCAAAGCGCTTGAAATCTCCATTTGCAAATTCCACAAAAAGAGAGTTTCAAATCTGCTCTGTGTAAATGAGAGTTCATCTCTGTGAGTTGAACACACACAACACAAGGAAGTTACTGGGATTTCTTCTCTCTAGCCTTATATGAAAAAAACCCGTTTCCAACGAAGGCCTCAAAGAGGTCTGAATATCCACTTGCAGACTTTAGAAACAGAGTGTTTCCTAACTGCTCTATGAAAAGAAAGGTTAAACTCTGTGAGTTGAACTCACACATCACAAAGGAGTTTCTGAGAATCATTCTGTCTAGTTTTTATAGGAAGTTATTTCCTTTTCTAACTTTGACTTCAAAGCGGCTGAAATCTCCACTTGCAAATTCCACAAAAAGAGTGTTACAAGTCCGCTCTGTGTAAAGGATCGTTCAACTCTGAGAGTTGAATACACACAACACAAGGAAGTTACTGAGAATACTTCTGTCTAGCAGAATATGAAGAAATCCCGTTTCCAACGAAGGCCTCAAGGAGGTCTGAATATCCACTTGCAGACTTTACAAACAGAGTGTTTCCTAACTGCTCTATGAACAGAAAGGTTAAACTCTGTGAGTTGAACGAACACATCACAACGCAGTTTGTGGGAATGATTCTGTCTAGTTTTGAAACGAAGATATTTCCTTTTCTGCCATTGACCTCAAAGCGCTTGAAATCTCCACTTGCCAATTGCACAAAAAGAGTGTTTCAAATCTGCTCTGTCTAAGGGAACGTTCAACTCTGTGAGTTGAATGTACACAACACAAGGAAGTTACTGGGAATTCTTCTGTCTAGCCTTACATGAAAAAAACCCGTTTCCAACGAAGGCCTCTAAGTGGTCAAAATTTCCACGTGCAGACTTTACAAACAGAGTGTTTCCAAACCGCTGAATGAAAAGAAAAGTTAAACTCTGAGAGTTGAACGCACACATCACGCAGCAGTTTCTGAGAATGATTCTGTCTAGTCTTTATACGAAGATATTTCCTTTTCTACCATTGACCACAAAGCGGCTGAAATCTCCACTTGCAAATTCCACAAAAAGAGTGTTTCAAGTCTGCTCTGTGTAAAGGATCATTCAATTCTGTGAGTTGAATAAACACAACACAAGGAAGTTACTGAGAATTCTTCTGTCTAGCAGAATATGAAGAAATCCCGTTTCCAACGAAGGTCTCAACGAGGTCTGAATATCCACTTGCAGACTTTACAAACAGAGTGTTTCCTAACTGCTCTATGAAAAGAAAGGTTAAACTCTGTGAGTTGAACACACACATCACAAAGGAGTTTCTGAGAATCATTCTGTCTAGTTTTTATACGAAGATATTTCCTTTTCTACCATGGACCTCAAAGCGGCTGAAATCTCCACTTGCAAATTCCACAAAAAGAGTGTTTCAAGTCTGCTCTGTGTAAAGGATCGTTCAACTCTGTGAGTTGAATACACACAACACAAGGAAGATTCTGAGAATTCTTCTCTCTAGCAGAATATGAAGAAATCCCGTTTCCATCGAAGGCCACAAGATGTCAGAATATCCACTTACAGAATTGACAAACAGACTGTTTCCTAACTGCTCTATGAAAAGAAAGGTTAAACTCTGTGAGTTGAACGAACACATCTCAACGCAGTTTGTGGGAATGATTCTGTCTAGTTTTGAAAGGAAGATATTTCCTTTTCTGCCATTGACCTTAAAGCGCTTGAAATCTCCACTTGCCAATTGCACAAAAAGAGTGTTTCAAATCTGCTCTGTCTAAGGGAACGTTCAACTCTGTGAGTTGAATGTACACAACACAAGGAAGTTACTGTGAATTCTTCTGTCTAGCCTTACATGAAAAAAACCCGTTTCCAACGAAGGCCTCAAAGAGGTCAAAATATCCACTTGCAGACTTTACAAACAGAGTGTTTCCAAACTGCTGAATGAAAAGAAAAGTTAAACTCTGAGAGTTGAACGCACACATCGCAGAGCAGTTTCTGAGAATGATTCTGTCTAGTTTTTATACGAATATATTTCCTTTTCTGCCTTTGGCCTCAAAGCGCTTGAAATCTCCACTTGCAAATTCCACAAAAAGAGTGTTTCAAATCTGCTCTGTGTAAATGAAAGTTCAACTCTGTGAGTTGAACACACACAACACAAGGAAGTTACTGGGAATTCTTCTGTCTAGCAGAATATGAAGAAATCCCGTTTTCAACGAAGGCCTCAAAGGGGTCTGAATATCCACTTGCAGACTTTACAAACAGAGTGTTTCCTAACTGCTCTATGAAAAGAAAAGTTAAACTCTGTGAGTTGAACGCACACATCACAAAGGAGTTTCTGAGAATCGTTCTGTCTAGTTTTTATACGAAGATATTTCCTTTTCTACAATTGACCTCAAAGCGGTTGAAATCTCCACTTGCAAATTCCACGAAAACAGTGTCTCAAGTCTGCTCTGTGTAAAGAATCGTTGAACTCTGTGAGTTGAATACACACAACAGAAGGAAGTTACTGAGAATTCTTCTGTCTAGCAGAATATGAAGAAATCCCGTTTCCAACGAAGGCCACAAGATGTCAGAATATCCACTTACAGAATTTTCAAACAGACTGTTTCCTAACTGCGCTATGAAAAGAAAGGTTAAACTCTGTGAGTTGAACGAACACATCACAACGCAGTTTGTGGGAATGATTCTGTCTAGTTTTTATACGAAGATATTTCCTTTTCTACCATTGACCTCAAAGCGGCTGAAATCACCACTTGCCAATTGCACAAAAAGTGTGTTTCAAATCTGCTCTGTCTAAGGGAACGTTCAACTCTGTGAGTTGAATGTACACAACACAAGGAAGTTACTGGGAATTCTTCTGTCTAGCCTTACATGAAAAAAACCCGTTTCTAACGAAGGCCTCTAAGTGGTCAAAATATCCACGTGCAGACTTTACAAACAGAGTGTTTCCAAACCGTTGAATGAAAAGAAAAGTTAAACTCTGAGAGTTGAACGCACACATCACGCAGCAGTTTCTGAGTATGATTCTGTCTACTTTTTATACGAAGATATTTCCTTTTCTGCCTTTGGCCTCAAAGCGCTTGAAATCTCCACTTGCAAATTCCACAAAAAGAGTGTTTCAAATCTGCTCTGTGTAAATGAAAGTTCACCTCTGTGAGCTGAACACACACAACACAAGGAAGTTACTGGGAATTCTTCTGTCTAGCATAATATGAAGAAATCCCGTTTCCAACGAAGGCCTCAAATGGGTCTGAATATCCACTTGCAGACTTTATAAACAGAGTGTTTACTAACTGTTCTATGAAAAGAAAGGTTAAACTCTGTGAGTTGAACACACACATCACAAAGGAGTTTCTGAGAATCATTCTGTCTAGTTTTTATACGAAGATATTTCCTTTTCTACCATTGACCTCAAAGCGGCTGAAATGTCCACTTGCAAATTCCACAAAAAGAGTGTTTCAAATCTGCTCTGTGTAAACCATCATTCAACTCTGTGAGTTGAATACACACAACACAAGGAAGATTCTGAGAATTCTTCTGTCTAGCAGAATATGAAGAAATCCCGTTTCCAACGAAGGCCACAAGATGTCAGAATATCCACTTACAGAATTTACAAACAGACTGTTTCCTAACTGCTCTATGAAAAGAAAGGTTAAACTCTGTGAGATGAACGAACACATCACAACGCAGTTTGTGGGAATGATGTCTGTCTAGTTTTGAAACGAAGATATTTCCTTTTCTGCCATTGACCTTAAAGCGATTGAAATCTCCATTTGCCAATTGCACAAAAAGAGTGTTTCAAATCTGCTCTGTCTAAGGGAACGTTCAACTCTGTGAGTTGAATGTACACAACACAAGGAAGTTACTGGGAATTCTTCTGTCTAGACTTACAGGAAGAAAACCCGTTTCCAACGAAGGCCACTAAGTGGTCAAAATATCCACGTGCAGACTTTACAAACAGAGTGTTTCCAAACTGCTGAATGAAAAGAAAAGTTAAACTCTGAGAGTTGAACGCACACATCGCAGAGCAGTTTCTGAGAATGATTCTGTCTAGTTTTGAAACAAAGATATTTCCTTTTCTGCCTTTGGCCTCAAAGCGCTTGAAATCTCCACTTGCAAATTCCACAAAAAGAGTGTTTCAAATCTGCTCTGTGTAAATGAAAGTTCAACTCTGTGAGTCGAACACACACAACACAAGGAAGTTACTGGGAATTCTTCTGTCTAGCAGAATATGAAGAAATCCCGTTTCCAAAGAAGGCCTCAAAGAGGTCTGAATATCCACTTGCAGACTTTACAAACAGAGTGTTTCCTAACTGCTCTATGAGAAGAAAAGTTAAACTCTGTGAGTTGAACGCACACATCACAAAAGATTTTCTGAGAATCATTCTGTCTAGTCTTTATATGAAGGTAGTTTCCTTTTCTACCATTGACCTCAAAGCGGCTGAAATCTCCACTTGCAAATTCCACAAAAAGAGTACTTCAAGTCTGCTCTGTGTAAAGGATCGTTCAACTCTGTGAGTTGAATACACACAACACAAGGAAGTTACTGAGAATTCTTCTGTCTAGCAGAATATGAAGAAATCCCGTTTCCAACGAAGGCCACAAGATGTCAGAATATCCACTTACAGACTTTACAAACAGAGTGTTTCCTAACTGCTCTATGAACAGAAAGGTTAAACTACTGTGAGTTGAACGAACACATCACAACGCAGTTTGTGGGAATGATTTCTGTCTAGTTTTGAAACGAAGATATTTCCTTTTCTGCCTTTGACCTTAAAGCGCTTGAAATCTACACTTGCAAATTGCACAAATAGAGTGTTTCAAATCTGCTCTGTCTAAGGGAACGTTCAACTCTGTGAGTTGAATGCACACAACACAAGGAAGTTACTGGGAATTCTTCTGTCTAGCCTTACATGAAAAAAACCCGTTTCCAACGAAGGCCTCTAAGGGGTCAAATTATCCACGTGCAGACTTTACAAACAGAGTGTTTCCAAACTGCTGAATGAAAAGAAAAGTTAAACTCTGAGAGTTGAACGCACACATCGCAGAGCAGTTTCTGAGAATGATTCTGTCTAGTTTTTATACGAAGATATTTCCTTTTCTGCCTTTGGCTTCACAGCGCTTGAAATCTCCACTTGCAAATTCCACAAAAAGAGTGTTTCAAATCTGCTCTGTGTAAATGAAAGTTCAACTCTGTGAGTTGAACACACACAACACAAGGAAAGTTACTG
Source organism: Homo sapiens (assembly GCF_000001405.40). Lineage (NCBI taxonomy): Eukaryota > Metazoa > Chordata > Mammalia > Primates > Hominidae > Homo > Homo sapiens. The sequence goes on along the minus strand of NC_000001.11, from coordinate 124,571,644 downwards.
GGAATTCTTCTGTCTAGCATAATATGAAGAAAACCCGTTTCCAACGAAGGCCTCAAAGAGGTCTGAATATCCACTTGCAGACTTTACAAACAGAGTGTTTCCTAACTGCTCTATGAGAAGAAAAGTTAAACTCTGTGAGTTGAACGCACACATCAACAAGGAGTTTCTGAGAATCATTCTGTCTAGTTTTTCTACGAAGATATTTCCTTTTCTACTATTGACCTCAAAGCGGCTGAAATCTCCACTTGCAAATTCCACAAAAAGAGTGTTTCAAGTCTGCTCTGTGTAAAGGATCGTTCAACTACTGTGAGTTGAATACACACAACACAAGGAAGTTACTGAGAATTATTCTGTCTAGCAGAATAGGAAGAAATCCCGTTTCCAACGAAGGCCTCAAGGAGGTCTGAATATCCACTTGCAGACTTTACAAACAGAGTGTTTCCTAACAGCTCTATGAACAGAAAGGTTAAACTCTGTGAGTTGAACGCACACATCACAAAGGAGTTTCTGAGAATCATTCTGTCTAGTTTTGAAACGAAGATATTTCCTTTTCTGCCGTTGACCTTAAAGCGCTTGAAATCTACACTTGCAAATTGCACAAATAGAGTGTTTCAAATCTGCTCTGTCTAAGGGAACGTTCAACTCTGTGAGTTGAATGCACACAACACAAGGAAGTTACTGGGAATTCTTCTGTCTAGCCTTACATGAAAAAAAACCCGTTTCCAACGAAGGCCTCTAAGTGGTCAAAATATCCACGTGCAGACTTTACAAACAGAGTGTTTCCAAAACGCTGAATGAAAAGAAAAGTTAAACTCTGAGAGTTGAACGCACACATCACGCAGCAGTTTCTGAGAATGATTCTGTCTAGTTTTTCTACGAAGATATTTCCTTTTCTACTATTGACCTGAAAGCGGCTGAAATCTCCACTTGCAAATTCCACAAAAAGAGTGTCTCAAGTCTGCTCTGTGTAAAGGATCGTTCAACTCTGTGAGTTGAATACACACAACACAAGGAAGTTACTGAGAATTCTTCTGTCTAGCAGAATAGGAAGAAATCCCGTTTCCAACGAAGGCCTCAAAGAGGTCTGAATATCCACTTGCAGACTTTACAAACAGAGTGTTTCCTAACTGCTCTATGAAAAGAAAGGTTAAACTCTGTGAGTTGAACGCACACATCACAAAGGAGTTTCTGAGAATCATTCTGTGTAGTTTCTATAGGAAGATATTTCCTATTCTACCATTGAACTCAAAGCGGCTGAAATCTCCACTTGCAAATTCCACAAAAAGAGTGTTTCAAGTCTGCTCTGTGTAAAGGATCGTTCAACTCTGTGAGTTGAATACACACAACACAAGGAAGTTCCTGAGAATTCCTCTGTCTAGCATAATATGAAGAAATCCCGTTTCCAACGAAGGCCTCAAGGAGGTCTGAATATCCACTTGCAGACTTTACAAACAGAGTGTTTCCTAACTGCTCTATGAAAAGAAAGGTTGAACTCTGTGAGTTGAACGCACACATCACAAAGGATATCTCAGAATCATTCTGTCTAGTTTTGAAACCAAGATATTTCCTTTTCTGCCGTTGACCTTAAAGAGCTTGAAAACTACACTTGCAAATTGCACAAATAGAGTGTTTCAAATCTGCTCTGTCTAAGGGAACGTTCAACTCTGTGAGTTGAATGCACACAACACAAGGAAGTTACTGGGAATTCTTCTGTCTAGCCTTACATGAAAAAAACCCCTTTCCAACGAAGGCCTCTAAGTGATCAAATTATCCACGTGCAGACTTTACAAACAGAGTGTTTCCAAACTGCTGAATGAAAAGAAAAGTTAAACTCTGAGAGTTGAACGCACACATCACAGAGCAGTTTCTGAGAATGATTCTGTCTAGTTTTTATACGAAGATATTTCCTTTTCTGCCTTTGGCCTCAAAGCGCTTGAAATCTCCACTTGCAAATTCCACAAAAAGAGTGTTTCAAATCTGCTCATTGTAAATGAAAGTTCAACTCTGTGAGTTGAACACACACAACACAAGGAAGTTACTGGGAATCCTTCTGTCTAGCTTTATATGAAAAAAACCCGTTTCCAACGAAGGCCTCAAAGAGGGCTGAATATCCACTTGCAGACTTTACAAGCAGAGTGTTTCCTAACTGCTCTATGAAAAGAAAGGTTAAAATCTGTGAGTTGAACGCACACATCACAAAGGAGTTTCTGAGAATCATTCTGTCTATTTTCTATAGGAAGATATTTCCTATTCTACCATTGACCTCAAAGCGGCTGAAATCTCCACTTGCAAATTCCACAAAAAGAGAGTTTCAAGTCTGCTCTGTGTAAAGGATCGTTCAACTCTGTGAGTTGAATACACACAACACAAGGAAGTTACTGAGAATTCTTCTGTCTGGCAGAATATGAGGAAAACCCGTTTCCAACGAAGGCCACAAGATGTCAGAATATCCACTTACAGACTTTACAAACAGAGTGTTTCCTAACTGCTCTATGAACAGAAAGGTTAAACTCTGTGAGTTGAACGAGCACATCACAGCGCAGTTTGTGGGAATGATTCTGTCTAGTTTTTCTACGAAGATATTTCCTTTTCTACTATTGACCTCAAAGCGGCTGAAATCTCCACTTGCAAATTCCACAAAAAGAGTGTTTCAAGTCTGCTCTGTGTAAAGGATCGTTCAACTCTGTGAGTTGAATACACACAACACAAGGAAGTTACTGAGATTTATTCTGTCTAGCAGAATAGGAAGAAATCCCGTTTCCAACGAAGGCCTCAAAGAGGTCTGAATATCCACTTGCAGACTTTACAAACAGAGTGTTTCCTAACTGCTCTATGAAAAGAAAAGTTAAACTACTGTGAGTTGAACGCACACATCACAAAGGAGTTTCTGAGAATCGTTCTGTCTAGTTTCTATAGGAAGATATTTCCTATTCTACCATTGACCTCAAAGCGGCTGAAATCTCCACTAGCAAATTCCACAAAAAGAGTGTTTCAAGTCTGCTCTGTGTAAAGGATCGTTCAACTCTGTGAGTTGAAAACACACAACACAAGGAAGTTTCTGAGAATTCTTCTGTCTAGCTGAACATGAAGAAATCCCGCTTCCAACGAAGGCCTCAAGGAGGTCTGAATATCCACTTGCAGACTTTACAAACAGAGTGTTTCCTAACTGCTCTATGAAAAGAAAGGTTAAACTCTGTGAGTTGAACGCACACATCACAAAGGAGTTTCTGAGAATCATTCTGTCTAGTTTCTATAGGAAGATATTTCCTATTCTACCATTGACCTCAAAGCGGCTGAAATCTCCACTTGCAAATTCCACAAAAAGAATGTTTCAAGTCTGCTCTGTGTAAAGGACCGTTCAACTCTGTGAGTTGAATACACACAACACAAGGAAGTTACTGAGAATTATTCTGTCTAGCAGAATATGAAGAAATCCCGTTTCCAACGAAGGCCACAAGATGTCAGAATATCCACTTACAGAATTTACAAACAGACTGTTTCCTAACTGCTCTATGAAAAGAAAGGTTAAACTCTGTGAGATGAACGAACACATCACAACGCAGTTTTTGGGAATGATTTCTGTCTAGTTTTAAAACGAAGATATTTCCTTTTCTGCCATTGACCTTAAAGCGCTTGAAATCTACACTTGCAAATTGCACAAATAGAGTGTTTCAAGTCTGCTCTGTGTAAAGGATCCGTTCAACTCTGTGAGTTGAATACACACAACACAAGGAAGTTACTGAGAATTCTTCTGTCTAGCAGAATATGAAGAAATCCCGTTTCCAACGAAGGCCTCAAAGAGGTCTGAATATCCACTTGAAGACTTTACAAACAGAGTGTTTCCTAACTGCTCTATGAAAAGAAAGGTTAATCTCTGTGAGTTGAACGCACACATCACAAAGGAGTTTCTGAGAATCATTCTGTCTAGTTTTTATAGGAAGATATTTCCTTTTCTACCTTTGACTTCAAAGCGGCTGAAATCTCCACTTGCAAATTCCACAAAAAGAGTGTTAGAAGTCTGCTCTGTGTAAAGGATCGTTCAACTCTGTGAGTTGAATACACACAACACAAGGAAGTTACTGAGAATTCTTCTGTCTAGCATAGTATGAAGAAATCCCGTTTCCAACGAAGGCCTCAAACAGGTCTGAATATCCACTTGCAGAGTTTACAAACAGAGTGTTTCCTAACTGCTCTATGAAAAGAAAGGTTAAACTCTGTGAGTTGAACGCACACATCACAAAGAAGTTTCTGAGAATCATTCTGTCTAGTTTCTATAAGAAGATATTTCCTATTCTACCATTGACCTCAAAGCGGCTGAAATCTCCACTTGCAAATTCGACAAACAGAGTGTTTCAAGCCTGCTCTCTCTAAAGGATCCTTCAACTCTGTGAGTTGAATACACACAACACAAGGAAGTTACTGAGAATTATTCTGTCTAGCAGAATATGAAGAAATCCTGTTTCCAACGAAGGCCACAAGATGTCAGAATATCCACTTACAGACTTTACAAACAGAGTGTTTCCTCACTGCTCTATGAACAGAAAGGTTAAACTCTGTGAGTTGAACGAACACATCACAACGCAGTTTGTGGGAATGATTCTGTCTAGTTTTAAAACGAAGATATTTCCTTTTCTGCCATTGACCTTAAAGCGCTTGAAATCTACACTTGCAAATTGCACAAATAGAGTGTTTCAAGTCTGCTCTGTGTAAAGGATCGTTCAACTCTGTGAGTTGAATACACACAACACAAGGAAGTTACTGAGAATTCTTCTGTCTAGCCTTACATGAAAAAAACCCGTTTCCAACGAAGGCCTCTAAGTGGTCAAAATATCCACGTGCAGACTTTACAAACAGAGTGTTTCCAAACCGCTGAATGAAAAGAAAAGTTAAACTCTGAGAGTTGAACGCACATATCATGCAGCAGTTTCTGAGAATGATTCTGTCTAGTTTTGAAACGAAGATATTTCCTTTTCTGCCTTTGGCCTCAAAGCGCTTGAAGTCTCCACTTGCAAATTCCACAAAAAGAGTGTTTCAAATCTGCTCTGTGTAAATGAAAGTTCAACTCTGTGAGTTGAACACACACAACACAAGGAAGTTACTGGGAATTCTTCTGTCTAGCCTTACATGAAAAAAACCCGTTTCCAACGAAGGCCTCAAAGAGGTCAAAATATCCACTTGCAGACATTACAAACAGAGTGTTTCCTAACTACTCTATGAATAGAAAGGTTAAACTCTGTGAGTTGAACGCACACATCACAAAGGAGTTTCTGAGAATCATTCTGTCTAGTTTTTATACGAAGATATTTCCTTTTCTACCATTGACCTCAACGCGGCTGAAATCTCCACTTGCAAATTCCACAAAAAGAGTGTTTCAAGTCCGCTCTGTGTAAAGGGTCTTTCAACTCTGTGAGTTGAATACACACAACACAAGGGAAGATTCTGAGAATTCTTCTGTCTAGCAGAATATGAAGAAATCCCGTTTCCAACGAAGGCCTCAAAGAGGTCTGAATATCCACTTGCAGACTTTACAAACAGAGTGTTTCCTAACTGCTCTATGAAAAGAAAAGTTAAACTCTGCGAGTTGAACGCACACATCAGAAAGGAGTTTCTGAGAATCATTCTGTCTAGTTTTGAAACGAAGATATTTCCTTTTCTGCCATTGACCTTAAAGCGCTTGAAATCTCCACTTGCCAATTGCACAAAAAGAGTGTTTCAAATCTGCTCTGTCTAAGGGAACGTTCAACTCTGTGAGTTGAATGTACACAACGCAAGGAAGTTACTGGGAATTCTTCTGTCTAGCCTTATATGAAAAAAACCCGTTTCCAACGAAGGCCTCAAAGAGGTCTGAATATCCACTTGCAGACTTTACAAACAGAGTGTTTCCTAACTGCTGAATGAAAAGAAAAGTTAAACTCTGAGAGTTGAACGCACACATCGCAGAGCAGTTTCTGAGAATGATTCTGCTGAGTTTTTATACGAAGATATTTCCTTTTCTGCCTTTGGCCCCAAAGCGCTTGAAATCTCCACTTGCAAATTCCACAAAAACAGTGTTTCAAATCTGCTCTCTCTAAATGAAAGTTCAACTCTGTCAGTTGAATACACACAACACAAGGAAGTTACTGAGAATTCTTCTGTCTAGCCTTATATGAAAAAACCCCGTTGCCAACGAAGGCCTCAAAGAAGTCCAAATATCCACGTGCAGACTTTACAAACAGAGTGTTTCCTAACTGCTCTATGAAAAGAAAGGTTAAACTCTGTGAGTTGAACGCACACATCACAAAGGAGTTTCTGAGAATCATTCTGTCTAGTTTTGAAACGAAGATATTTCCTTTTCTACCATTGACCTCAACGCGGCTGAAATCTCCATTTGCAAATTCCACAAAAAGAGTGTTTCAAATCTGCTCTGTGTAAATGAAAGTTCAACTCTGTGAGTTGAACACACACAACACAAGGAAGTTACTGGGAATTCTTCTGTCTAGCCTTACAGGAAAAAAACCCGTTTCCAACGAAGGCCTCAAAGAGGTCTGAATATCCTCTTGCAGACTTTACAAACAGAGTGTTTCCTAACTGCTCTATGAAAAGAAAGGTTAAACTCTGTGAGTTGGACACACACATCACAAAGGAGTTTCTGAGAATCATTCTGTCTAGTTTTGAAACGAAGATATTTCCTTTTCTGCCGTTGACCTTAAAGCGCTTGAAATCTACACTTGCAAATTGCACAAATAGAGTGTTTCAAATCTGCTCTGTCTAAGGGAACGTTCAACTCTGTGAGTTGAATGCACACAACACAAGGAAGTTACTGGGAATTCTTCTCTCTAGCCTTACATGAAAAAAACCCGTTTCCAACGAAGGCCTCTAAGTGGTCAAAATTTCCACGTGCAGACTTTACAAACAGAGTGTTTCCAAACCGCTGAATGAAAAGAAAAGTTAAACTCTGAGAGTTGAACGCACACATCACGCAGCAGTTTCTGAGAATGATTCTGTCTAGTTTTGAAACGAAGATATTTCCTTTTCTGCCTTTGGCCTCAAAGCGCTTGAAATCTCCACTTGCAAATTCCACAAAAAGAGTGTTTCAAATCTGCTCTGTGTAAATGAAAGTTCAAATCTGTGAGTTGAACACACACAACACAAGGAAGTTACTGGGAATTCTTCTTTCTAGCAGAATATGAAGAAATCCCGTTTCCAACGAAAGCTTCAAGGATGTGTGAATATCCACTTGCAGACTTTACAAACAGAGTGTTTCCTAACTGCTCTATGAAAAGAAAGTTTAAACTCTGTGAGTTGAACGCACACATCACAAAGGAGTTTCTGAGAATCATTCTGTCTAGTCTTTATACGAAGATATTTCCTTTTCTACCATTGACCTCAAAGCGGCTGAAATCTCCACTTGCAAATTCCACAAAAAGAGTGTTTCAAGTCTGCTCTGTGTAAAGGATTGTTCAACTCTGTGAGTTGAATACACACAACACAAGGAAGTTACTGAGAATTCTTCTGTCTAGCAGAATATGAAGAAATCCCGTTTCCAACGAAGGCCTAAAGGAGGTCTGAATATCCACTTGCAGACTTTACAAACAGAGTGTTTCCTAACTGCTCTATGAACAGAAAGGTTAAACTCTGTGAGTTGAACGCACACATCACAAAGGAGTTTCTGAGAATCATTCTGTCTAGTTTTGAAACGAAGATATTTCCTTTTCTGCCGTTGACCTTAAAGCGCTTGAAATCTACACTTGCAAATTGCACAAATAGAGTGTTTCAAATCTGCTCTGTCTAAGGGAACGTTCAACTCTGTGAGTTGAATGCACACAACACAAGGAAGTTACTGGGAATTCTTCTGTCTAGCCTTACATGAAAAAAACCCGTTTCCAACGAAGGCCTCTAAGTGGTCAAAATTTCCACGTGCAGAATTTACAAACAGAGTGTTTCCAAACCGCTGAATGAAAAGAAAAGTTAAACTCTGAGAGTTGAACGCACACATCACGCAGCAGTTTCTGAGAATGATTCTGTCTAGTTTTTATACGAAGATATTTCCTTTTCTGTCTTTGGCCTCAAAGCGCTTGAAATCTCCATTTGCAAATTCCACAAAAAGAGTGTTTCAAATCTGCTCTGTGTAAATGAAAGTTCAACTCTGTGAGTTGAACACACACAACACAAGGAAGTTACTGGGAATTCTTCTGTCTAGCAGAATATGAAGAAATCCCGTTTCCAACGAAGGCCTCAAGGAGGTCTGAATATCCACTTGCAGACTTTACAAACAGAGTGTTTCCTAACTGCTCTATGAAAAGAAAGGTGAAACTCTGTGAGTTGAACGCACACATCACAAAGGAGTTTCTGAGAATCATTCTGTCTATTCTTTATACGAAGATATATCCTTTTCTACCATTGACCTCAAAGCGGCTGAAATCTCCACTTGCAAATTCCACAAAAAGAGTGTTTCAAGTCTGCTCTCTGTAAAGGATCGTTCAACTCTGTGAGTTGAATACACACAACACAAGGAAGTTACTGAGAATTCTTCTGTCTAGCATAATATGATGAAATCCCGTTTCCAACGAAGGCCTCAAGGAGGTCTGAATATCCACTTGCAGACTTTACAAACAGAGTGTTTCCTAACTGCTCTATGAACAGAAAGGTTAAACTCTGTGAGTTGAACGAACACATCACAACGCAGTTTGTGGGAATGATTCTGTCTAGTTTTGAAACGAAGATATTTCCTTTTCTGCCGTTGACCATAAAGAGCTTGAAATCTACACTTGCAAATTGCACAAATAGAGTGTTTCAAATCTGCTCTGTCTAAGGGAACGTTCAACTCTGTGAGTTGAATGCACACAACACAAGGAAGTTACTGGGAATTCTTCTGTCTAGCAGAATATGAAGAAATCCCGTTTCCAACGGTAGGCCACAAGATGTCAGAATATCCACTTACAGAATTTACCAACAGAGTGTTTCCTAACTGCTCTATGAAAAGAAAGGTTAAACTCTGTGAGTTGAACGAACACATCACAACGCAGTTTGTGGGAATGATTCTGTCTAGTTTTTATAGGAAGATATTTCCTTTTCTACCTTTGACCTCAAAGCGGCTGAAATCTCCACTTGCAAATTCCACAAAAAGAGTGTTTCAAGTCTGCTCTGTGTAAAGGATCGTTCAACTCTGTGAGTTGAATACACACAACACGCGGAAGTTACTGAGAATTCTTCTGTCTAGCATAGTATGAAGAAATCCCGTTTCCAACGAAGGCCTCAAAGAGGTCTGAATATCAACTTGCAGAGTTTACAAACAGAGTGTTTCCTAACTGCTCTATGAAAAGAAAGGTTAAACTCTGTGAGTTGAACGCACACATCACAAAGAAGTTTCTGAGAATCATTCTGTCTAGTCTTTATACGAAGATATTTACTTTTCTACCATTGACCTCAAAGCGGCTGAAATCTCCACTTGCAAATTCCACAAAAAGAGTGTTTCAAGTCTGCTCTGTGTAAAGGATCATTCAACTCTGTGAGTTGAATAAACACAACACAAGGAAGTTACTGAGAATTCTTCTGTCTAGCAGAATATGAAGAAATCCCGTTTCCAACGAAGGCCTCAAGGAGGTCTGAATATCCACTTGCAGACTTTACAAACAGAGTGTTTCCTAACTGCTCTATGAAAAGAAAGGTTAGACTCTGTGAGTTGAACGCACACATCACAAAGGAGTTTATGAGAATCATTCTGTCTAGTTTTGAAACGAAGATATTTCCTTTTCTGCCGTTGACCTTAAAGAGCTTGAAAACTACACTTGCAAATTGCACAAATAGAGTGTTTCAAATCTGCTCTGTCTAAGGGAACGTTCAACTCTGTGAGTTGAATGCACACAACACAAGGAAGTTACTGGGAATTCTTCTGTCTAGCCTTACATGAAAAAAACCCGTTTCCAACGAAGGCCTCTAAGTGGTCAAAATTTCCACGTGTAGACTTTACAAACAGAGTGTTTCCAAACCGCTGAATGAAAAGAAAAGTTAAACTCTGAGAGTTGAACGCACACATTACGCAGCAGTTTCTGAGAATGATTCTGTCTAGTTTTTATACGAAGATATATCTTTTTCTGCCTTTGGCCCCAAAGCGCTTGAAATCTCCACGTGCAAATTCCACAAAAACAGTGTTTCAAATCTGCTCTCTCTAAATGAAAGTTCAACTCTGTCACTTGAATACACACAACACAAGGAAGTTACTGAGAATTCTTCTGTCTAGCCTTATATGAAAAAAACCCGTTTCCAACGAAGGCCTCAAGGAGGTCTGAATATCCACTTGCAGACTTTACAAACAGAGTGTTTCCTAACTGCTCTATGAAAAGAAAGGTTAAACTCTGTGAGTTGAACGCACACATCACAAAGAAGTTTCTGAGAATCATTCTGTCTAGTTTTTATACGAAGATATTTCCTTTTCTACCATTGAACTCAAAGCGGCTGAAATCTCCACTTGCAAATTACACAAAAAGTGTGTTTCAAGTCTACTCAGTGTAAAGCATCGTTCAACTCTGTGAGTTGAAAACACACAACACAAGGAAGTTTCTGAGAATTCTTCTGTCTAGCACAGTATGAAGAAATCCCGTTTCCAACGAAGGCCTCAAAGAGGTCTAAATATCCACTTGCAGAGTTTACAAACAGAGTGTTTCCTAACTGCTCTATGAAAAGAAAGGTTAAACTCTGTGAGTTGAACGCACACATCACAAAGGAGTTTCTGAGAATCATTCTGTCTAGTTTTTATACGAACATATTTCCTTTTCTACCATTGACCTCAAAGCGGCTGAAATCACCACTTGCCAATTGCACAAAAAGAGTGTTTCAAATCTGCTCTGTCTAAGGGAACGTTCAACTCTGTGAGTTGAATGTACACAACACAAGGAAGTTCCTGGGAATTCTTCTGTCTAGCCTTACATGAAAAAAACCCGTTTCCAACGAAGGCCTCTAAGTGGTCAAATTATCCACGTGCAGACTTTACAAACAGAGTGTTTCCAAACTGCTGAATGAAAAGAAAAGTTAAACTCTGAGAGTTGAACGCACACATCGCAGAGCAGTTTCTGAGAATGATTCTGTCCAGTTTTGAAACGAAGATATTTCCTTTTCTGCCTTTGGCCTCAAAGCGCTTGAAATCTCCACTTGCAAATTCCACAAAAAGAGTGTTTCAAATCTGCTCTGTGTAAATGAAAGTTCAACTCTGTGAGTTGAACACACACAACACAAGGAAGTTACTGGGAATTCTTCTGTCTAGCCTTATATGAAAAAAACCCGTTTCCAACGAAGGCCTCAAAGAGGTCTGAATATCCACTTGCAGACTTTACAAACAGAGTGTTTCCTAACTGCTCTATGAAAAGAAAGGTTAAACTGCTGTGAGTTGAACGCACACATCACAAAGGAGTTTCTGAGAATCATTGTCTGTCTAGTTTCTATAGGAAGATATTTCCTATTCTACCATTGACCTCAAAGCGGCTGAAATCTCCACTTGCAAATTCCACAAAAAGTGTGTTTCAAGTCTGCTCTGTGTAAAGGATCGTTCAACTCTGTGAGTTGAATACACACAACACAAGGAAGTTACTGAGAATTCTTCTGTCTAGCAGAATATGAAGAAATCCCTTTTCCAACGAAGGCCACAAGATGTCAGAATATCCACTTACAGACTTTACAAACAGAGTGTTTCCTAACTGCTCTATGAAGAGAAAGGTTAAACTCTGTGAGTTGAACGAACACATCACAACGCAGTTTGTGGGAATGATTCTGTCTAGTTTTGAAACGAAGATATTTCCTTTTCTGCCACTGACCTTAAAGCGCTTGAAATCTACACTTGCAAATTGCACAAATAGAGTGTTTCAAATCTGCTCTGTCTAAGGGAACGTTCAACTCTGTGAGTTGAATGCACACAACACAAGGAAGTTACTGGGAATTCTTCTGTCTAGCCTTACATGAAAAAAACCCGTTTCCAACGAAGGCCTCTAAGTGGTCAAAATATCCACGTGCAGACTTTACAAACACAGTGTTTCCAAACCGCTGAATGAAAAGAAAAGTTAAATTCTGAGAGTTGAACGCGCACATCACGCAGCAGTTTCTGAGAATGATTCTGTCTAGTTTTTATACGAAGATATTTCCTTTTCTGCCTTTGGCCTCAAAGTGCATGAATTCTCCATTTGCAAATTCCACAAAAAGAGTGTTTCAAATCTGCTCTGTCTAAATGAAAGTTCAACTCTGTGAGTTCAACACACACAACACAAGGGAAGTTACTGGGAATTCTTCTGTCTAGCCTTACATGAAAAAACCCGTTTCCAACGAAGGCCTCAAAGAAGTCCAAATATCCACGTGCAGACTTTACAAACCGAGTGTTTCCTAACTGCTCTATGAAAAGAAAGGTTAAACCCTGTGAGATGAACGCACACATCACAAAGGAGTTTCTGAGAATCATTCTGTCTAGTTTTTTTACGAAGATATTTCCTTTTCTACCATTGACCTCAAAGCGGCTGAAATCTCCACTTGCAAATTCCACAAAAAGAGTGTTTCAAGTCTGCTCTGTGTAAAGGATCGTTCCACTCTGTGAGTTGAATACAAACAACACAAGGAAGTTACTGAGAATTCTTCTGTCTAGCAGAATATGAAGAAATCCCGTTTCCAACGAACGCCACAAGATGTCAGAATATCCACTTACAGACTTTACAAACAGAGTGTTTCCTAACTGCTCTATGAACAGAAAGGTTAAACTCTGTGAGTTGAACGAACACATCACAACGCAGTTTGTGGGAATGATTCTGTCTAGTTTTGAAACGAAGATATTTCCTTTTCTGCCATTGACCTTAAAGCGCTTGAAATCTACACTTGCAAATTGCACAAATAGAGTGTTTCAAATCTGCTCTGTCTAAGGGAACGTTCAACTCTGTGAGTTGAATGCACACAACAAAAGGAAGTTACTGGGAATTCTTCTGTCTAGCCTTACATGAAAAAAACCCGTTTCCAACGAAGGCCTCTAAGCGGTCAAATTATGCACGTGCAGACTTTACAAACAGAGTGTTTCCAAACTGCTGAATGAAAGGAAAAGTTAAACTCTGAGAGTTGAACGCACACATCGCAGAGCAGTTTCTGAGCATGATTCTGTCTAGTTTTTCTACGAAGATATTTCCTTTTCTACTATTGACCTCAAAGCGGCTGAAATCTCCACTTGCAAATTCCACTAAAAGAGTGTTTCAAGTCTGCTTTGTGTAAAGGATCGTTCAACTCTGTGAGTTGAGTACACACAACACAAGGAAGTTACTGAGAATTCTTCTTTCTAGCAGAATATGAAGAAATCCCGTTTCCAACGAAGGCCTCAAGGAGGTCTGAATATCCACTTGCAGACTTTACAAACAGAGTGTTTCCTAACAGCTCTATGAAAAGAAAGGTTAAACTGTGTGAGTTGAACGCACACATCACAAAGGAGTTTCTGAGAATCATTCTGTCTAGTCTTTATACGAAGATATTTACTTTTCTACCATTGACCTCAAAGCGGCTGAAATCTCCACTTGCAAATTCCACAAAAAGAGTGTTTCAAGTCTGCTCTGTGTAAAGGATCATTCAACTCTGTGAGTTGAATAAACACAACACAAGGAAGTTAATGAGAATTCTTCTGTCTAGCACAGTATGAAGAAATCCGGTTTCCAACGAAGGCCTCAAAGAGGTCTGAATATCCACTTGCAGAGTTTACAAACAGAGTGTTTCCTAACTGCTCTATGAAAAGAAAGGTTAAACTCCTGTGAGTTGAACACACACATCTCAAAGGAGTTTCTGAGAATCATTTCTGTCTAGTTTTTATACGAAGATATTTCCTTTTCTACCATTGACCTCAAAGCGCCTGAAATCACCACTTACCAATTGCACAAAAAGAGTGTTTCAAATCTGCTCTGTCTAAGGGAACGTTCAACTCTGTGAGTTGAATGTGGACAACACAAGGAAGTTACTGGGAATTCTTCTGTCTAGCCTTACATGCAAAAAACCCGTTTCCAACGAAGGCCTCTAAGTGGTCAAAATATCCACGTGCAGACTTTACAAACAGAGTGTTTCCAAACCGCTGAATGAAAAGAATAGTTAAACTCTTAGAGTTGAACGCACACATCACGCAGCAGTTTCTGAGAATGATTCTGTCTAGTTTTCAAACGAAGATATTAACTTTTCTGCCTTTGGCCTCAAAGCGCTTGAAATCTCCACTTGCAAATTCCACAAAAAGAGTGTTTCAAATCTGCTCTGTGTAAATGAAAGTTCAACTCTGTGAGTTGAACACACACAACACAAGGAAGTTACTGGGAATTCTTCTGTCTAGCTTATATGAAAAAAACCCGTTTCCAACGAAGGCCTCAAAGAGGTCTGAATATCCACTTGCAGACTTTACAAACAGAGTGTTTCCTAACTGCTCTATGAAAAGAAAGGTTAAACTCTGTGAGTTGAACGCACACATCACAAAGGAGTTTCTGAGAATCATTCTGTCTAGTTTCTATAGGAAGATATTTCCTATTCTACCATTGAACTCAAAGCGGCTGAAATCTCCACTTGCAAATTCCACAAAAAGAGTGTTTCAAGTCTGCTCTGTGTAAAGGATCATTCAACTCTGTGAGTTGAATACACACAACACAGGGAAGTTACTGAGAATTCTTCTGTCTAGCAGAATATGAAGAAATCCCGTTTCCAACGAAGGCCACAAGATGTCAGAATATCCCCTTACAGAATTTTCAAACAGACTGTTTCCTAACTGCTCTATGAAAAGAAAGGTTACACTCTGTGAGTAGAACGAACACATCACAACGCAGTTTGTGGGAATGATTCTGTCTAGTTTTGAAACGAAGATATTTCCTTTTCTGCCATTGACCTCAAAGCGCTTGAAATCTCCACTTGCCAATTGCACAAAAAGAGTGTTTCAAATCTGCTCTGTCTAAGGGAACGTTCAACTCTGTGAGTTGAATGTACACAACACAAGGAAGTTACTGGGAATTCTTTTGTCTAGCCTTACAGGAAAAAAACCCGTTTCCAACGAAGGCCTCTAAGTGGTCAAGTTATCCACGTGCAGACTTTACAGAGTGTTTCCAAACTGCTGAATGAAAAGAAAAGTTAAACTCTGAGAGTTGAACGCACACATCGCAGAGCAGTTTCTGAGAATGATTCTGTCTAGTTTTTATACGAAGATATTTCCTTTTCTGCCTTTGGCCTCAAAGCGCTTGAAATCTCCATTTGCAAATTCCACAAAAAGAGTGTTTCAAATCTGCTCTGTGTAAATGAAAGTTCAACTCTGTGAGTTGAACACACACAACACAAGGAAGTTACTGGGAATTCTTCTGTCTAGCAGAATATGAAGAAATCCCGTTTCCAACGAAGGCCTCAAGGAGATCTGAATATCCACTTGCAGACTTTACAAACAGAGTGTTTCCTAACTGCTCTATGAACAGAAAGGTTAAACTCTGTGAGTTGAACGCACACATCACAAAGGAGTTTCTGAGAATCATTCTGTCTAGTTTTTCTACGAAGATATTTCCTTTTCTACTATTGACGTCAAAGCGGCTGAAATCTCCACTTGCAAATTCTACAAATAGAGTGTTTCAAGTCTGCTCTGTGTAAAGGATCGTTCAACTCTGTGAGTTGAATACACACAACACAAGGAAGTTACTGAGAATTCTTCCGTCTAACCTTACGTGAAAAAAACCTGTTTCCAACGAAGGCCTCTAAGTGGTCAAGTTATCCACGTGCAGACTTTACAAACAGAGTGTTTCCGAACTGCTGAATGAAAAGAAAAGTTAAACTCTGAGAGTTGAACGCACACATCGCAGAGCAGTTTCTGAGAATGATTCTGTCTAGTTTTTATACGAAGATATTTCCTTTTCTGCCTTTGGCCTCAAAGCGCTTGAAATCTCCATTTGCAAATTCCACAAAAAGAGTGTTTCAAATGTGCTCTGTGTAAATGAAAGTTCAACTCTGTGAGTTGAACACACACAACACAAGGAAGTTACTGGGAATTCTTCCGTCTAGCCTTATATGAAAAAAACCCGTTTCCAAAGAAGGCCTCAAAGAGGTCTGAATATCCTCTTGCAGACTTTACAAACAGAGTGTTTCCTAACTGCTCTATGAAAAGAAAGGTTAAACTCTGTGAGTTGAACACACACATCACAAAGGAGTTTCTGAGAATCATTCTGTCTAGTTTTTATACGAAGATATTTCCTTTTCTACCATTGACCTCAACGCGGCTGAAATCTCCACTTGCAAGTTCCACAAAAAGTGTGTTTCAAGTCCGCTCTGTGTAAAGGATCGTTCAACTCTGTGAGTTGAATACACACAACACAAGGAAGTTACTGAGAATTCTTCTGTCTAGCACAGTATGAAGAAATCCCGTTTCCAACGAAGGCCTCAAAGAGGTCTGAATATCCACTTGCAGACTTTACAAACAGAGTGTTTCCTAACTGCTCTATGAAAAGAAAGGTTAAACTCTGTGAGTTGAACGCACACGTCACAATGAAGTTTCTGAGAATCATTCTGTCTAGTTTTTATACGAAGATATTTCCTTTTCTACCATTGACCTCAAAGCGGCTGAAATCACCACTTGCCAATTGCAGAAAAAGAGTGTTTCATATCTGTTCTGTCTAAGGGAACGTTCAACTCTGTGAGTTGAATGTACACAACACAAGGAAGTTACTGGGAATTGCTCTGTCTAGCCTTACATGAAAAAAACCCGTTTCCAATGAAGGCCTCTAAGTGGTCAAATTATCCACGTGCAGACTTTACAAACAGAGTGTTTCCAAACTGCTGAATGAAAAGAAAAGTTAAACTCTGTGAGTTGAACGCACACATCACAAAGGAGTTTCTGAGAATCATTCTGTCTAGTTTTGAAACGAAGATATTTCCTTTTCTGCCATTGAACTTAAAGCGCTTGAAATCTCCATTTGCCAATTGCACAAAAAGAGTGTTTCAAATCTGCTCTGTCTAAGGGAACGTTCAACTCTGTGAGTTGAATGTACACAACACAAGGAAGTTACTGGGAATTCTTCTGTCTAGCCTTACAGGAAAAAAACCCGTTTCCAACGAAGGCCTCTAAGTGGTCAAAATATCCACGTGCAGACTTTACAAACAGAGTGTTTCCAAACTGCTGAATGAAAAGAAAAGTTAAACTCTGAGAGTTGAACGCATACATCGCAGAGCAGTTTCTGAGAAAGATTCTGTCTAGTTTTTATACGAAGATATTACCTTTTCTGCCTTTGGCCCCAAAGCGCTTGAAATCTCCACTTGCAAATTCCACAAAAACAGTGTTTCAAATCTGCTCTCTCTAAATGAATGTTCAACTCTGTCAGTTGAATACACACAACACAAGGAAGTTACTGAGAATTCTTCTGTCTAGCATAGTATGAAGAAATCCCGTTTCCAACGAAGGCCTCAAAGAGGTCTGAATATCCACTTGCAGAGTTTACAGAGTGTTTCCTAACTGCTCTATGAAAGGAAAGGTTAAACTCTGTGAGTTGAACGCACACATCACAAAGAAGTTTCTGAGAATCATTCTGTCTAGTTTCTATAGGAAGATATTTCCTATTCTACCATTGACCTCAAAGCGGCTGAAATCTCCACTTGCAAATTCCACAAAAGGAGTGTTTCAAGTCTGCTCTGTGTAAAGGATCGTTCAACTCTGTGAGTTGAAAACACACAACACAAGGAAGTTTATGAGAATTCTTCCGTCTAGCAGAATATGAAGAAATCCCGTTTCCAACGAAGGCCACAAGATGTCGGAATATCCACTTACAGACTTTACAAACAGAGTGTTTCCTAACTGCTCTATGAACATAAAGGTTAAACTCTGTGAGTTGAACGAACACATCACAACGCAGTTTGTGGGAATGATTCTGCCTAGTTTTGAAACGAAGATATTTCCTTTTCTGCATTGACCTTAAAGCGCTTGAAATCTCCATTTGCCAATTGCACAAAAAGAGTGTTTCAAATCTGCTCTGTCTAAGGGAACGTTCAACTCTGTGAGTTGAATGTACACAACACAAGGAAGTTACTGGGAATTCTTCTGTCTAGCCTTACATGAAAAAATCCCGTTTCCAACGAAGGTCTCTAAGTTGTCAAAATTTCCACGTGCAGACTTTACAAACAGAGTGTTTCCAAACCGCTGAATGAAAAGAAAAGTTAAACTCTGAGTGTTGATCGCACACATCACGCAGCAGTTTCTGAGAATGATTCTGTCTAGTTTTTATACGAAGATATTTCCTTTTCTGCCTTTAGCCTCAAAGCGCTTGAAATCTCCACTTGCAAATTCCACAAAAAGAGTGTTTCAAATCTGCTCTGTGTAAATGAAAGTTCAACTCTGTGAGTTGAACACACACAACACAAGGAAGTTACTGGGAATTCTTCTTTCTAGCAGAATATGAAGAAATCCCGTTTCCAACGAAAGCCTCAAAGAAGTCTGAATATCCACTTGCAGACTTTACAAACAGAGTGTTTCCCAACTGCTCTATGAAAAGAAAGGTTAAACTCTGTGAGTTGAACGCACGCATCACAAAGGAGTTTCTGAGAATCATTCTGTCTAGTTTCTATAGGAAGATATTTCCTATTCTACCATTGACCTCAAAGCGGCTGAAATCTCCACTTGCAAATTCCACAAAAAGAGTGTTTCAAGTCTGCTCTCTGTAAAGGATCGTTCAACTCTGTGAGTTGAATACACACAACACAAGGAAGTTACTGAGAATTATTCTGTCTAGCATAATATGAAGAAATCCCGTTTCCAATGAAGGCCTCAAAGAGGTCTGAATATCCACTTGCAGACTTTACAAACAGAGTGTTTCCTAACTGCTCTATGAAAAGAAAAGTTAAACTCTGTGAGTTGAACGCACACATCACAAAGGATTTTCTGAGAATCATTCTGTCTAGTTTTGAAACGAAGATATTTCCTTTCCTGCCATTGACCTTAAAGCGCTTGAAATCTCCATTTGCCAATTGCACAAAAAGAGTGTTTCAAATCTGCTCTGTCTAAGGGAACGTTCAACTCTGTGAGTTGAATGTACACAACACAAGGAAGTTACTGGGAATTCTTCTGTCTAGCCTTACAGGAAAAAAACCCGTTTCCAACGAAGGCCTCTAAGTGGTCGAAATATCCACGTGCAGACTTTACAAACAGAGTGTTTCCAAACTGCTGAATGAAAAGAAAAGTTAAACTCTGAGAGTTGAACGCACACATCGCAGAGCAGTTTCTGAGAATGATTCTGTCTAGTTTTTATACAAAGATATTTCCTTTTCTGCCTTTGGCCTCAAAGCGCTTGAAATCTCCATTTGCAAATTCCACAAAAAGAGTGTTTCAAATCTGCTCTGTGTAAATGAAAGTTCAACTCTGTGAGTTGAACACACACAACACAAGGAAGTTACTGGGAATTCTTCTGTCTAGCATAATATGAAGAAATCCCGTTTCCAACGAAGGCCTCAAAGGGGTCTGAATATCCACTTGCAGACTTTATAAACAGAGTGTTTACTAGCTGCTCTATGAAAAGAAAGGTTAAACTCTGTGAGTTGAACACACACATCACAAAGGAGTTTCTGAGAATCATTCTGTCTAGTTTCTATAAGAAGATATTTCCTATTCTACCATTGACCTCAAAGCGGCTGAAATCTCCACTTGCAAATTCGACAAAAAGAGTGTTTCAAGCCTGCTCTCTGTAAAGGATCCTTCAACTCTGTGAGTTGAATACACACAACACAAGGAAAGTTACTGAGAATTATTCTGTCTAGCAGAATATGAAGAAATCCCGTTTCCAACGAAGGCCACAAGATGTCAGAATATCCACTTACAGACATTACAAACAGAGTGTTTCCTAACTGCTCTATGTAACAGAAAGGTTAAACTCTGTGAGTTGAACGAACACATCACAACGCAGTTTGTGGGAATGATTCTGTCTAGTTTTTATACGAAGATATTTCCTTTTCTACCATAGACTTCAAAGCGGCTGAAATCACCACTTGCCAATTGCACAAAAAGAGTGTTTCAAATCTGCTCTGTCTAAGGGAACGTTCAACTCTGTGAGTTGAATGTACACAACACAAGGAAGTTACTGGGAATTCTTCTGTCTAGCCTTACATGAAAAAAACCCGTTTCCAACGAAGGCCTCTAAGTGGTCAAAATATCCACGTGCAGACTTTACAAACAGAGTGTTTCCAAACTGCTGAATGAAAAGAAAAGTTAAACTCTGAGAGTTGAACGCACACATCGCAGAGCAGTTTCTGAGAATGATTCTGTCTAGTTTTTATACGAAGATATTTCGTTTTCTGCCTTTGGCCCGAAAGCGCTTGAAATCTCCACTTGCAAATTCCACAAAAACAGTGTTTCAAATCTGCTCTCTCTAAATGAAAGTTCAACTGTGTCAGTTGAATACACACAACACAAGGAAGTTACTGAGAATTCTTCTGTCTAGCAGAATATGAAGAAATCCCGTTTCCAACGAAAGCCTCAAAGATGTCTGAATATCCACATGCAGACTTTACAAACAGAGTGTTTCCTAACTGCTCTATGAAAAGAAAGGTTAAACTCTGTGAGTTGAACGCACACATCACAAAGGAGTTTCTGAGAATCATTCTGTCTAGTTTTTCTACGAAGATATTTCCTTTTCTACTATTGACCTCAAATTGGATGAAATCTCCACTTGCAAATTCCACAAAAAGAGTGTTTCAAGTCTGCTCTGTGTAAAGGATCGTTCAACTCTGTGAGTTGAATACACACAACACAAGGAAGTTACTGAGAATTATTTTGTCTAGCATAATATGAAGAAATCCCGTTTCCAACGAAGGCCTCAAAGAGGTCTGAATATCCACTTGCAGACTTTACAAACAGAGTGTTTCCTAACTGCTCTATGAAAAGAAAAGTTAAACTCTGTGAGTTGAACGCACACATCACAAAGGAGTTTATGAGAATCATTCTGTCTAGTTTTGAAACGAAGATATTTCCTTTTCTGCCGTTGACCTTAAAGAGCTTGAAAACTACACTTGCAAATTGCACAAATAGAGTGTTTCAAATCTGCTCTGTCTAAGGGAACGTTCAACTACTGTGAGTTGAATGCACACAACACAAGGAAGTTACTGGGAATTCTTCTGTCTAGCCTTACAGGAAAAAAACCCGTTACCAACGAAGGCCTCTAAGTGGTCAAAATATCCACGTGCAGACTTTACAAACAGAGTGTTTCCAAACTGCTGAATGAAAAGAAAAGTTAAACTCTGAGAGTTGAACGCACACATCGCAGAGCAGTTTCTGAGAATGATTCTGCCTAGTTTTGAAACGAAGATATTTCCTTTTCTGCCTTTGGCCTCAAAGCGCTTGAAATCTCCACTTGCAAATTCCACAAAAAGAGTGTTTCAAATCTGCTCTGTGTAAATGAAAGTTCAACTCTGTGAGTCGAACACACACAACACAAGGAAGTTACTGGGAATTCTTCTTTCTAGCAGAATAGGAAGAAATCCCGTTTCCAACGAAAGCCTCAAGGATGTCTGAATATCCACTTGCAGACTTTACAAACAGAGTGTTTCCTAACTGCTCTATGAAAAGAAAGGTTAAACTCTGTGAGTTGAACGCACACATCACAAAGGAGTTTCTGAGAATCATTCTGTCTAGTTTTTATACGAAGATATTTCCTTTTCTACCATTGACCTCAAAGCGGCTGAAATCTCCACTTGCAAATTCCACAAAAAGAGTGTCTCAAGTCTGTTCTGTGTAAAGGATCGTTCAACTCTGTGAGTTGAATACACACAACACAAGGAAGTTTCTGAGAATTCTTCTGTATAGCAGAATATGAAGAAATCCCGTTTCCAACGAAGGCCTCAAGGAGGTCTGTATATCCACTTGCAGACTTTACAAACAGAGTGTTTCCTAACTGCTCTATGAAAAGAAACGTTAAACTCTGTGAGTTGAACGCAGACATCACAAAGGAGTTTCTGAGAATCACTCTGTCTAGTTTTGAAACGAAGATATTTCCTTTTCTGCCATTGACCTTAAAGCGCTTGAAATCTACACTTGCAAATTGCACAAATAGAGTGTTTCAAATCTGCTCTGTCTAAGGGAACGTTCAACTCTGTGAGTTGAATGCACACAACACAAGGAAGTTACTGGGAATTCTTCTGTCTAGCCTTACATGAAAAAAACCCGTTTCCAACGAAGGCCTCTAAGTGGTCAAATTATCCACGTGCAGACCTTACAAACAGAGTGTTTCCAAACTGCTGAATGAAAAGAAAAGTTAAACTCTGAGAGTTGAACGCACACATCGCAGAGCAGTTTCTGAGAATGATTCTGTCTACTTTTTATACGAAGATATTTCCTTTTCTGCCTTTGGCCCCAAAGCGCTTGAAATCTCCACTTGCAAATTCCACAAAAACAGTGTTTCAAATCTGCTCTCTCTAAATGAAAGTTCAAGTCTGTCAGTTGAATACACACAACACAAGGAAGTTACTGAGAATTCTTCTGTCTAGCATAATATGAAGAAATCCCGTTTCCAACGAAGGCCTCAAGGAGGTCTGAATATCCACTTGCAGACATTACAAACAGAGTGTTTCCTAACTGCTCTATGAAAAGAAAGGTTGAACTCTGTGAGTTGAACGCACACATCACAAAGGAGTTTCTGAGAATCATTCTGTCTAGTTTTTATACGAAGATATTTCCTTTTCTACCATTGACCTCAACGCGGCTGAAATCTCCACTTGCAAATTCCACAAAAAGAGTGTTTCAAGTCCGCTCTGTGTAAAGGATCGTTCAACTCTGTGAGTTGAATACACACAACACAAGGAAGTTACCGAGAATTCTTCTGTCTAGCCGAATATGAAGAAATCCCGCTTCCAACGAAGGCCTCAAAGAAGTCTGAATATCCACTTGCAGACTTTACAAACAGAGTGTTTCCCAACTGCTCTATTAAAAGAAAGGTTGAACTCTGTGAGTTGAACGCACACATCACAAAGGAGTTTCTGAGAATCATTCTGTCTAGTCTTTATACGAAGATATTTCCTTTTCTAACATTGACCTCAAAGCGGCTGAAATCTCCACTTGCAAATTCCACAAAAAGAGTGTTTCAAGTCTGCTCTCTGTAAAGGATCGTTCAACTCTGTGACTTGAATACACACAACACAAGGAAGTTACTGAGAATTATTCTGTCTAGCAGAATATGAAGAAATCCCGTTTCCAACGAAGGCCACAAGATGTCAGAATATCCACTTACAGACTTTACAAACAGAGTGTTTCCTAACTGCTCTATGAACAGAAAGGTTAAACTCTGTGAGTTGAACGTACACATCACAACGCAGTTTGTGGGAATGATTCTGTCTAGTTTTGAAACGAAGATATTTCCTTTTCTGCCATTGACCTTAAAGCGCTTGAAATCTCCACTTGCCAATTGCACAAAAAGAGTGTTTCAAATCTGCTCTGTCTAAGGAAACGTTCAACTCTGTGAGTTGAATGTACACAACACAAGGAAGTTACTGGGAATTCTTCTGTCTAGCCTTACAGGAAAAAAACCCGTTTCCAACGAAGGCTTCTAAGTGGTCAAAATATCCACGTGCAGACTTTACAAACAGAGTGTTTCCAAACTGCTGAATGAAAAGAAAATTTAAACTCTGAGAGTTGAACGCACACATCGCAGAGCAGTTTCTGAGAATGATTCTGTCTAGTTTTGAAACGAAGATATTTCCTTTTCTGCCTTTGGCCTCAAAGCGCTTGAAATCTCCATTTGCAAATTCCACAAAAAGTGTGTTTCAAATCTGCTCTGTGTAAATGAAAGTTCAACTCTGTGAGTTGAAAACACACAACACAAGGAAGTTACTGGGAAATCTTCTGTCTAGCATAATATGAAGAAATCCCGTTTCCAACGAAGGCCCCAAAGGGGTCTGAATATCCACTTGCAGACTTTATAAACAGAGTGTTTACTAACTGCTCTATGAAAAGAAAGGTTAAACTCTGTGAGTTGAACACACACATCACAAAGGAGTTTCTGAGAATCATTCTGTCTAGTTTCTATAAGAAGATATTTCCTATTCTACCATTGACCTCAAAGCGGCTGAAATCTCCACTTGCAAATTCCACAAAAAGAGTGTTTCAAGCCTGCTCTCTGTAAAGGATCCTTCAACTCTGTGAGTTGAATACACACAACACAAGGAAGTTACTGAGAATTCTTCTGTCTAGCAGAATATGAAGAAATCCCGTTTCCAACGAAGGCCACAAGATGTCAGAATATCCACTTACAGACTTTACAAACAGAGTGTTTCCTAACTGCTCTATGAACAGAAAGGTTAAACTCTGTTAGTTGAACGAACACATCACAACGCAGTTTGTGGGAATGATTCTGTCTAGTTTTGAAACGAAGATATTTCCTTTTCTGCCATTGACCTTAAAGCGCTTGAAATCTACGCTTGCAAATTGCACAAATAGAGTGTTTCAAATCTGCTCTGTCTAAGGGAACGTTCAACTCTGTGAGTTGAATGCACACAACACAAGGAAGTTACTGGGAATTCTTCTGTCTAGCCTTACATGAAAAAAACCCGTTTCCAACGAAGGCCTCTAAGTGGTCAAATTATCCACGTGCAGACTTTACAAACAGAGTGTTTCCAAACTGCTGAATGAAAAGAAAAGTTAAACTCTGAGAGTTGAACGCACACATCGCAGAGCAGTTTCTGAGAATGATTCTGTCTAGTTTTTATACGAAGATATTTCCTTTTCTGCCTTTGGCCTCAAAGCGCTTGAAATCTCCACTTGCAAATTCCACAAAAAGAGTGTTTCAAATCTGCTCTGTCTGAGGGAACGTTCAACTCTGTGAGTTGAACACACACAACACAAGGAAGTTACTGGGAATTCTTCTGTCTAGCAGAATATGAAGAAATCCCGCTTCCAACGAAGGCCTCAAAGAAGTCTGAATATCCACTTGCAGGCTTTACAAACAGAGTGTTTCCCAACTGCTCTATGAAAAGAAAGGTTGAACTCTGTGAGTTGAACGCACACATCACAAAGGAGTTTCTGAGAATCATTCTGTCTAGTTTTTATACGAAGATATTTCCTTTTCTACCATTGACCTCTAAGCGGCTGAAATCTCCACTTGCAAATTCCACAAAAAGAGTGTTTCAAGTCTACTCTGTGTAAAGGATCGTTGAACTCTGTGAGTTGAAAACACGCAACACAACGAAGTTTCTGAGAATTCTTCTTTCTAGCATAATATGAAGAAATCCCGTTTCCAACGAAGGCCTCAAGGAGGTCTGAATATCCACTTGCAGACTTTACAAACAGAGTGTTTCCTAACTGCTCTATGAAAAGAAAGGTTAAACTGTGTGAGTTGAACGCACACATCACAAAGGAGTTTCTGAGAATCATTCTGTCTAGTTTTTATACGAAGATATTTCCTTTTCTACCATTGACCTCAAAGCGGCTGAAATAACCACTTGCCAATTGCACAAAAAGAGTGTTTCAAATCTGCTCTGTCTTAGGGAACGTTCAACTCTGTGAGTTGAATGTACACAACACAAGGAAGTTACTGGGAATTCTACTGTCTAGCCTTACAGGAAAAAAACCCGTTTCCAACGAAGGCCTCTAAATGGTCAAAATATCCACGTGCAGACTTTACAAACAGAGTGTTTCCAAACTGCTGAATGAAAAGAAAAGTTAAACTCTGAGAGTTGAACGCACACATCGCAGAGCAGTTTCTGAGAATGATTCTGTCTAGTTTTTAAACGAAGATATTTCCTTTTCTGCCTTTGGCCTCAAAGCGCTTGAAATCTCCACTTGCAAATTCCACAAAAAGAGTGTTTCAAATCTGCTCTGTGTAAATGAAAGTTCAACTCTGTGAGTTGAACACACACAACACAAGGAAGTTACTGGGAATTCTTCTGTCTAGCCTTATATGAAAAAAACCCGTTTCCAACGAAGGCCTCAAAGAGGTCTGAATATCCACTTGCAGACTTTACAAACAGAGTGTTTCCTAACTGCTCTATGAAAAGAAAGGTTAAACTCTGTGAGTTGAACGCACACATCACAAAGGAGTTACTGAGAATCATTCTGTCTAGTCTTTATACGAAGATATTTCCTTTTCTACCATTGACCCCAAAGCGGCTGAAATCTCCACTTGCAAATTCCACAAAAAGAGTGTTTCATGTCTGCTCTGTGTAAAGGATCGTTCAACTCTGTGAGTTGAATACACACAACACAAGGAAGTTACTGAGAATTCTTCTGTCTAGCAGAATATGAAGAAATCCCGTTTCCAACGAAGGCCACAAGATGTCAGAATATCCACTTACAGAATTTACAAACAGACTGTTTCCTAACTGCTCTATGAAAAGAAAGGTTAAACTCTGTGAGTTGAACGAACACATCACAACGCAGTTTGTGGGAATGATTCTGTCTAGTTTTGAAACGAAGATATTTCCTTTTCTGCCGTTGACCTTAAAGAGCTTGAAAACTACACTTGCAAATTGCACAAATAGAGTGTTTCAAATCTGCTCTGTCTAAGGGAACGTTCAACTCTGTGAGTTGAATGCACACAACACAAGGAAGTTACTGGGAATTCTTCTGTCTAGCCTTACAGGAAAAAAACCCGTTTCCAACGAAGGCCTCTAAGTGGTCAAAATATCCACGTGCAGAGTTTACAAACAGAGTGTTTCCAAACTGCTGAATGAAAAGAAGAGTTAAACTCTGAGAGTTGAACGCACACATTGCAGAGTAGTTTCTGAGAATGATTCTGTCTAGTTTTTATATGAAGATATTTCCTTCTCTACCATTGACCTCAAAGCGGCTGAAATCTCCACTTACAAATTCCACAAAAAGAGTGTCTCAAGTCTGCTCTGTGTAAACGATCGTTCAACTCTGTGAGTTGAATACACACAACACAAGGAAGTTTCTGAGAATTCTTCTGTATATCAGAATATGAAGAAATCCCGTTTCCAACGAAAGCCTCAAAGATGTCTGAATATCCACTTGCAGACTTTACAAACAGAGTGTTTCCTAACTGCTCTATGAAAAGAAAGGTTAAACTCTGTGAGTTGAACGCCCACATCACAAAGGAGTTTCTGAGAATCATTCTGTCTAGTTTCTATAGGAAGATATTTCCTATTCTACCATTGACCTCAAAGCGGCTGAAATCTCCACTTCCAAATTCCACAAAAAGAGTGTTTCAAGACTGTTCTGTGTAAAGGATCATTCAACTCTGTGAGTTGAATACACACAACACAAGGAAGTTACTGAGAATTCTTCTGTCTAGCAGAATATGAAGAAATCCCGTTTCCAAAAAAGGCCTCAAGGAGGTCTGAATATCCACTTGCAGACTTTACAAACAGAGTGTTTCCTAACTGCTCTATGAAAACAAAGGTTAAACTCTGTGAGTTGAACGCACACATCACAAAGGAGTTCATGAGAA
The DNA here is from genome assembly GCF_000001405.40 of Homo sapiens. NCBI lineage: Eukaryota > Metazoa > Chordata > Mammalia > Primates > Hominidae > Homo > Homo sapiens. Next base: position 124,544,279 of record NC_000001.11, on the reverse strand, counting down.
TCATTCTGTCTAGTTTTGAAACGAAGATATTTCCTTTTCTGCCATTGACCTTAAAGCGCTTGAAATCTCCATTTGCCAGTTGCACAAAAAGAGTGTTTCAAATCTACTCTGTCTAAGGGAACGTTCAACTCTGTGAGTTGAATGTACACAACACAAGGAAGTTACTGGGAATTCTTCTGTCTAGCCTTACATGAAAAAAACCCGTTTCCAACGAAGGCCTCTAAGTGGTCAAATTATCCACGTGCAGACTTTACAAACAGAGTGTTTCCAAACTGCTGAATGAGAAGAAAAGTTAAACTCTGAGAGTTGAACGCACACATCGCAGAGCAGTTTATGAGAATGATTCTGTCTAGTTTTGAAACGAAGATATTTCCTTTTCTGCCTTTGGTCTCAAAGCGCTTGAAATCTCCACTTGCAAATTCCACAAAAAGAGTGTTTCAAATCTGCTCTGGGTAAATGAAAGTTCAACTCTGTGAGTTGAACACACACAACACAAGGAAGTTACTGGGAATTCTTCTGTCTAGCAGAATATGAAGAAATCCCGTTTCCAACGAAGGCCTCAAGGAGGTCTGAATATCCACTTGCAGACTTTACAAACAGAGTGTTTCCTAACTGCTCTATGAAAAGAAAGGTGAAACTCTGTGAGTTGAACACACACATCACAAAGGAGTTTCTGAGAATCATTCTGTCTAGTTTCTATTGGAAGATATTTCCTATTCTACCATTGACCTCAAAGCGGCTGAAATCTCCACTTGCAAATTCCACAAAAAGAGTGTTTCAAGTCTGCTCTCTGTAAAGGATCGTTCAACTCTGTGAGTTGAATACACACAACACAAGGAAGTTACTGAGAATTATTTCTGTCTAGCAGAATATGAAGAAATCCCGTTTCCAACGAAGGCCACAAGATGTCAGAATATCCACTTACAGAATTTACAAACAGACTGTTTCCTAACTGCTCTATGAAAAGAAAGGTTAAACTCTGTGAGATGAACGAACACATCACAACGCAGTTTGTGGGAATGATTCTGTCTAGTTTTGAAACGAAGATATTTCCTTTTCTGCCATTGACCTTAAAGCGCTTGAAGTCTCCACTTGCCAATTGCACAAAAAGAGTGTTTCAAATCTGCTCTGACTAAGGGATCGTTCAACTCTGTGAGTTGAATGTACACAACACAAGGAAGTTACTGGGAATTCTTCTGTCTAGCCTTACATGAAAAAAACCCGTTTCCAACGAAGGCCTCTAAGTGGTCAAGTTATCCACGTGCAGACTTTACAAACAGAGTGTTTCCAAACTGCTGAATGAAAAGAGAAGTTAAACTCTGAGAGTTGAACGCACACATCGCAGAGCAGTTTCTGAGAATGATTCTGTCTAGTTTTTATACGAAGATATTTCCTTTTCTGCCTTTGGCCTCAAAGCGCTTGAAATCTCCTCTTGCAAATTCCACAAAAAGAGTGTTTCAAATCTGCTCTGTGTAAATCAAAGTTCAACTCTGTGAGTTGAACACACACAACACAAGGAAGTTACTGGGAATTCTTGTGTCTAGCAGAACATGAAGAAATCCCGTTTCCAACGAAGGCCTCAAAGGTGTCTGAATATCCACTTGCAGACTTTACAAACAGAGTGTTTCCTAACTGCTCTATGAAAAGAAAGGTTAAGCTCTGTGAGTTGAACGCACACATCACAAAGGAGTTTCTGAGAATCATTCTGTCTAGTCTTTATACGAAGATATTTCCTTTTCTACCATTGACCTCAAAGCGGCTGTAATCTCCACTTGCAAATTCCACAAAAAGAGTGTTTCAAGTCTCCTCTGTGTAAAGGATCGTTCAACTCTGTGAGTTGAATACACGCAACACAAAGAAGTTACTGAGAATTCTTCTGTCTAGCAGAACATGAAGAAATCCCGCTTCCAACGAAGGCCTCAAAGAAGTCTGAATATCCACTTGCAGACTTTACAAACAGAGTGTTTCCCAACTGCTCTATGAAAAGAAAGGTTGAACTCTGTGAGTTGAACGCACACATCACAAAGGAGATTCTGAGAATCATTCTGTCTAGTTTTGAAACGACGATATTTCCTTTTCTGCCATTGACCTTAAAGCGCTTGAAATCTACACTTGCAAATTGCACAAATAGAGTGTTTCAAATCTGCTCTGTCTAAGGGAACGTTCAACTCTGTGAGTTGAATGCACACAACACAAGGAAGTTACTGGGAATTCTTCTGTCTAGCCTTATATGAAAAAAACCCGTTTCCAACGAAGGCCTCTAAGTGGTCAAATTATCCACGTGCAGACTTTACAAACAGAGTGCTTCCAAACTGCTGAATGAAAAGAAAAGTTAAACTCTGAGAGTTGAACGCACACATCGCAGAGCAGTTTCTGAGAATGATTCTGTCTAGTTTTTATACGAAGATATTTCCTTTTCTGCCCTTGGCCCCAAAGCGCTTGAAATCTCCACTTGCAAATTCCACAAAAACAGTGTTTCAAATCTGCTCTCTCTACATGAAAGTTCAACTCTGTCAGTTGAATACACACAACACAAGGAAGTTACTGAGAATTCTTCTCCCTAGCAGAATATGAAGAAATCCCGTTTTCAACGAAGGCCTCAAAGAGGTCTGAATATCCACTTGCAGACTTTACAAACAGAGTGTTTCCTAACTGCTCTATGAAAAGAAAGGTTAAACTCTGTGAGTTGAACGCACACATCACAAAGGAGTTTCTGAGAATCATTCTGTCTAGTTTTTATAGGAAGGTATTTCCTTTTCTACCATTGACCTCAAAGCGGCTGAAATCTCCACTTGCAAATTCCACAAAAAGAGTGTTTCAAGTCTGCTCTGTGTAAAGGATCGTTCAACTCTGTGAGTTGAATACACACAACACGCGGAAGTTACTGAGAATTCTTCTGTCTAGCAGTAATATGAAGAAATCCCGTTTCCAACGAAGGCCACAAGATGTCAGAATATCCACTTACAGAATTTTCAAACAGACTGTTTCCTAACTGCTCTATGAAAAGAAAGGTTAAACTCTGTGAGTTGAACGAACACATCACAACGCAGTTTGTGGGAATGATTCTGTCTAGTTTTGAAACGAAGATATTTCCTTTTCTGCCATTGACCTCAAAGCGCTTGAAATCTCCACTTGCCAATTGCACAAAAAGAGTGTTTCAAATCTGCTCTGTCTAAGGGAACGTTCAACTCTGTGAGTTGAATGTACACAACACAAGGAAGTTACTGGGAATTCTTCTGTCTAGCCTTACATGAAAAAAACCCGTTTCCAACGAAGGCCTCTAAGTGGTCAAATTATCCACGTGCAGACTTTACAAACAGAGTGTTTCCAAACTGCTGAATGAAAAGCAAAGTTAAACTCTGAGAGTTGAACGCACACATCGCAGAGCACTTTCTGAGAATGATTCTGTCTAGTTTTTCTACGAAGATATTTCCTTTTCTACTATTGACCTCAAAGCGGCTGAAATCTCCACTTGCAAATTCCACAAAAAGAGTGTTTCAACTCTGCTCTGTGTAAAGGATCGTTCAACTCTGTGAGTTGAATACACACAACACAAGGAAGTTACTGAGAATTCTTCTGTCTAGCAGAATAGGAAGAAATCCCGTTTCCAACGAAGGCCTCAAAGAGGTCTGAATATCCACTTGCAGACTTTACAAACAAAGTGTTTCCTAACTGCTCTATGAAAAGAAAGGTTAAACTCTGTGAGTTGAACGCACACATCACAAAGGAGTTTCTGAGAATCGTTCTGTCTAGTCTTTATACGAAGATATTTCCTTTTCTACCATTGACCTCAAAGCGGCTGAAATCTCCACTTGCAAATTCCACAAAAAGAGTGTTTCAAGTCTGCTCTGTGTAAATGATCGTTCAACTCTGTGAGTTGAATACACACAACACAAGGAAGTTACTGAGAATTCTTCTGTCTAGCAGAATATGAAGAAATCCCGTTTCCAACGAAGGCCACAAGATGTCAGAATATCCACTTACAGAATTTACAAACAGACTGTTTCCTAACTGCTCTATGAAAAGAAAGGTTAAACTCTGTGAGATGAACGAACACATCATAACGCAGTTTTTGGGAATGATTCTGTCTAGTTTTGAAACGAAGATATTTCCTTTTCTGCCATTGACCTTAAAGCGCTTGAAATCTACACTTGCAAATTGCACAAATAGCGTGTTTCAATTCAGCTCTGTCTAAGGAAACGTTCAACTATGTGAGTTTAATGCACACAACACAAGGAAGTTACTGGGAATTCTTCTGTCTAGCCTTACATGAAAAAAACCCGTTTCCAACGAAGGCCTCTAAGTGGTCAAGTTATCCACGTGCAGACTTTACAAACAGAGTGTTTCCAAACTGCTGAATGAAAAGAAAAGTTAAACTCTGAGAGTTGAACGCACACATCGCAGAGCAGTTTCTGAGAATGATTCTGTCGAGTTTTTATACGAAGATATTTCCTTTTCTGCCTTTGGCCTCAAAGCGCTTGAAATCTCCATTTGCAAATTCCACAAAAAGAGTGTTTCAAATCTGCTCTGTGTAAATGAAAGTTCAACTCTGTGAGTTGAACACAGCCAACACAAGGGAAGTTACTGGGAATTCTTCTGTCTAGCAGAACATGAAGAAATCCCGCTTCCAACGAAGGCCTCAAAGAAGTCTGAATATCCACTTGCAGACTTTACAAACAGAGTGTTTCCCAACTGCTCTATGAAAAGAAAGGTTGAACTCTGTGAGTTGAATGCACACATCACAAAGGAGTTTCTGAGAATCATTCTGTCTAGTTTTTATACGAAGATATTTCCTTTTCTACCATGGACCTCAAAGCGGCTGAAATCTCCACTTACAAATTCCACAAAAAGAGTGTTTCAAGTCTGCTCTGTGTAAAGGATCGTTCAACTCTGTGAGTTGAATACACACAACACAAGGAAGATTCTGAGAATTCTTCTGTCTAGCAGAATATGAAGAAATCCCGTTTCCAACGAAGGCCACAAGATGTCAGAATATCCACTTACAGACTTCACAAACAGAGTGTTTCCTAACTGCTCTATGAAGAGAAAGCTTAAACTCTGTGGGTTGAACGAACACATCACAACGCAGTTTGTGGTAATGATTCTGTCTAGTTTTGAAACGAAGATATTTCCTTTTCTGCCGTTGACCTTAAAGCGCTTGAAATCTACACTTGCAAATTGCACAAATAGAGTGTTTCAAATCTGCTCTGTCTAAGGGAACGTTCAACTCTGTGAGTTGAATGCACACAACACAAGGAAGTTACTGGGAATTCTTCTGTCTAGCATAATATGAAGAAATCCCGTTTCCAACGAAGGCCTCAAAGGGGTCTGAATATCCACTTGCAGACGTTATAAACAGAGTGTTTACTAAATGCTGTATGAAAAGAAAGGTTAAACTCTGTGAGTTGAACACACACATCACAAAGGAGTTTCTGAGAATCATTCTGTCTAGTTTCTATAGGAAGATATTTCCTATTCTACCATTGACCTCAAAGTGGCTGAAATCTCCACTTGCAAATTCCACAAGAAGAGTGTTTCAAGTATGCTCTGTGTAAAGGATCGTTCAACTCTGTGAGTTGAATACACACAACACAAGGAAGTTACTGAGAATTCTTCTGTCTAGCATAATATGAAGAAATCCCGTTTCCAACGAAGGCCTCAAGGAGGTCTGAATATCCACTTGCAGACTTTACAAACACAGTGTTTCCTAACTGCTCTATGAAAAGAAAGGTTAAACTCTGTGAGTTGAACGCACACATCACAAAGGAGTTTCTGAGAATCATTCTGTCTAGTTTTTCTACGAAGATATTTCCTTTTCTACTATTGACCTCAAAGCGGCTGAAATCTCCACTTGCAAATTCTACAAATAGAGTGTTTCAAGTCTGCTCTGTGTAAAGGATCGTTCAACTCTGTGAGTTGAATACACACAACACAAGGAAAGTTACTGAGAATTATTCTGTCTAGCAGAATATGAAGAAATCCCGTTTCCAACGAAGGCCTCAAGGAGGTCTGAATATCCACTTGCAGACTTTACAAACAGAGTATTTCCTAACTGCTCTATGAACAGAAAGGTTAAACTCTGTGAGTTGAACGAACACATCACAACGCAGTTTGTGGGAATGATTCGGTCTAGTTTTGAAACGAAGATATTTCCTTTTCTGCCGTTGACCTTAAAGAGCTTGAAAACTACACTTGCAAATTGCACAAATAGAGTGTTTCAAATCTGCTCTGTCTAAGGGAACGTTCAACTCTGTGAGTTGAATGCACACAACACAAGGAAGTTACTGGGAATTCTTCTGTCTAGCCTTACATGAAAAAATCCCGTTTCCAACGAAGGCCTCTAAGTGGTCAAAATTTCCACGTGCAGACTTTACAAACAGAGTGTTTCCAAACCGCTGAATGAAAAGAAAAGTTAAACTCTGAGAGTTGAACGCACACATCACGCAGCAGTTTCTGAGAATGATTCTGTCTAGTTTTTATACGAAGATGTTTCCTTTTCTGCCTTTGGCCCCAAAGCGTTTGAAATCTCCACTTGCAAATTCCACAAAAACAGTGTTTCAAATCTGCTCCCTCTAAATGAAATTTCAACTCTGTCAGTTGAATACACACAACACAAGGAAGTTACTGAGATTACTTCTGTCTAGCCTTATATGAAAAAAACCCGTTTCCAACGAAGGCCTCAAAGAGGTCAGAATATCCACTTGCAGACTTTACAAACAGAGTGTTTCCTAACTGCTCTATGAAAAGAAAGGTTAAACTCTGTGAGTTGAACGCACACATCACAAAGGAGTTTCTGAGAATCATTCTGTCTAGTTTTTATAGGAAGTTATTTCCTTTTCTACCTTTGACTTCAAAGTGGCTGAAATCTCCACTTGCAAATTCCACAAAAAGAGTGTTACAAGTCTGCTCTGTGTAAAGGATCGTTCAACTCTGTGAGTTGAATACACACAACACAAGGAAAGTTACTGAGAATTCTTCTGTCTAGCAGAATATGAAGAAATCCCGTTTCCAACGAAGACCTCAAGGAGATCTGAATATCCACTTACAGACTTTAGAGAGTGTTTCCTAACTGCTCTATGAACGGAAAGGTTAAACTCTGTGAGTTGAACGAACACATCACAACGCAGTTTGTGGGAATGATTCTGTCTAGTTTTGAAACGAAGATATTTCCTTTTCTGCCATTGAACTTAAAGCGCTTGAAATCTCCATTTGCCAATTGCACAAAAAGAGTGTTTCAAATCTGCTCTGTCTAAGGGAACGTTCAACTCTGTGAGTTGAATGTACACAACACAAGGAAGTTACTGGGAATTCTTCTGTCTAGCCTTACATGAAAAAAACCCGTTTCCAACGAAGGCCTCTAAGTGGTCAAAATATCCACGTGCAGACTTTACAAACAGAGTGTTTCCAAACCGCTGAATGAAAAGAAAAGTTAAAGTCTGAGAGTTGAACGCACACATCACGCAGCAGTTTCTGAGAATGATTCTGTCTACTTTTTATACGAAGATATTTCGTTTTCTGCCTTTGGCCCCAAAGTGCTTGAAATCTCCACTTGCAAATTCCACAAAAACAGTGTTTCAAATCTGCTCTCTCTAAATGAAAGTTCAACTCTGTCAGTTGAATACACACAACACAAGGAAGTTACTGAGAATTCTTCTGTCTAGCAGAATATGAAGAAATCCCTTTTCCAACGAAGGCCTTAAAGAGGTCTGAATATCCTCTTGCAGACTTTACAAACAGAGTGTTTCCTAACTGCTCTATGAAAAGAAAAGTTAAACTCTGTGAGTTGAACGCACACATCACAAAGGAGTTTCTGAGAATCATTCTGTCTAGTCTTTATACAAAGATATTTCCTTTTCTACCATTGACCTCAAAGCGGCTGAAATCTCCACTTGCAAATTCCACAAAAAGAGTGTTTCAACTCTGCTCTCTGTAAAGGATCGTTCAACTCTGTGAGTTGAATACACACAACACAAGGAAGTTACTGAGAATTATTCTGTCTAGCATAATATGAAGAAATCCCGTTTCCAACCAAGGCCTCAAGGAGGTCTGAATATCCACTTGCAGACTTTACAAACAGAGTGTTTCCTAACTGCTCTATGAAAAGAAAAGTTAAACTCTGTGAGTTGAACGCACACATCACAAAGGAGTTTCTCAGAATCATTCTGTCTAGTTTTGAAACGAAGATATTTCCTTTTCTGCCATTGACCTTAAAGCGCTTGAAATCTACACTTGCAAATTGCACAAATAGAGTGTTTCAAATCTGCTCTGTCTAATGGAACGTTCAACTCTGTGAGTTGAATGCACACAACACAAGGAAGTTACTGGGAATTCTTCTGTCTAGCCTTACATGAAAAAAACCCGTTTCCAACGAAGGCCTCTAAGTGGTCAAAATTTCCACGTGCAGACTTTACAAACAGAGTGTTTCCAAACCGCTGAATGAAAAGAAAAGTTAAACTCTGAGAGTTGAACGCACACATCACGCAGCAGTTTCTGAGAATGATTCTGTCTAGTTTTGAAACGAAGATATTTCCTTTTCTGCCTTTGGCCTCAAAGCGCTTGAAATCTCCACTTGCAAATTCCACAAAAAGAGTGTTTCAAATCTGCTCTGTGTAAATGAAAGTTCAACTCTGTGAGTTGAACACACAGAACACAAGGAAGTTACTGGGAATTCTTCTGTCTAGCATAATATGAAGAATTCCCGTTTCCAACGAAGGCCTCAAAGAGGTCCGAATATCCACTTGCAGACTTTACAAACAGAGTGTTTCCTAACTGCTCTATGAAAAGAAAAGTTAAACTCTGCGAGTTGAACGCACACATCAGAAAGGAGTTTCTGAGAATCATTCTGTCTAGTTTTTATAGGAAGATATTTCCTTTTCTACCTTGGACTTCAAAGCGGCTGAAATCTCCACTTGCAAATTCCACAAAAAGAGTGTTACAAGTCTGCTCTGTGTAAAGGATCGTTCAACTCTGTGAGTTGAATACACACAACACAAGGAAGTTACTGAGAATTCTTCTGTCTAGCAGAATATGAAGAAATCCCGTTTCCAACGAAGGCCACAAGATGTCAGAATATCCACTTACAGACTTTACAAACAGAGTGTTTCCTAACTGCTCTATGAACAGAAAGGTTAAACTCTGAGTTGAACGAACACATCACAACGCAGTTTGTGGGAATGATTCTGTCTAGTTTTGAAACGAAGATATTTCCTTTTCTGCCGTTGACCTTAAAGCGCTTGAAATCTACACTTGCAAATTGCACAAATAGAGTGTTTCAAATCTGCTCTGTCTAAGGGAACGTTCAACTCTGTGAGTTGAATGCACACAACACAAGGAAGTTACTGGGAATTCTTCTGTCTAGCCTTAAATGAAAAAAACCCGTTTCCAACGAAGGCCTCTAAGTGGTCAAAATTTCCACGTGCAGACTTTACAAACAGAGTGTTTCCAAACCGCTGAATGAAAAGAAAAGTTAAACTCTGAGAGTTGAACGCACACATCACGCAGCAGTTTCTGAGAATGATTCTGTCTAGTTTCTATAGGAAGATATTTCCTATTCTACCATTGACCTCAAAGCGGCTGAAATCTCCACTTGCAAATTCCACAAAAAGAGTGTTTCAAGTCTGCTCTGTGTAAAGGATCGTTCAACTCTGTGAGTTGAATACACGCAACACAAGGAAGTTACTGAGAATTCTTCTGTCTAGCATAATATGAAGAAATCCCGTTTCCAACGAAGGCCTCAAGGAGGTCTGAATATCCACTTGCAGACTTTACAAACAGAGTGTTTCCTAACTGCTCTATGAAAAGAAAGGTTGAACTCTGTGAGTTGAACGCACACATCACAAAGGAGTTTCTGAGAATCATTCTGTCTAGTCTTTATACGAAGATATTTCCTTTTCTACCATTGACCTCAAAGCGGCTGAAATCTCCACTTGCAAATTCCACAAAAAGAGTGTTTCAAGTCTGCTCTGTGTAAAGGATCGTACAACTCTGTGAGTTGAATACACACAACACAAGGAAGTTACTGAGAATTATTCTGTCTAGCAGAATATGAAGAAATCCCGTTTCCAACGAAGGCCTCAAGGAGGTCTGAATATCCACTTGCAGACTTTACAAACAGAGTGTTTCCTAACTGCTCTATGAACAGAAAGGTTAAACTCTGTGAGTTGAACGAGCACATCACAACGCAGTTTGTGGGAATGATTCTGTCTAGTTTTGAAACGAAGATATTTCCTTTTCTGCCATTGACCTTAAAGCGCTTGAAATCTACACTTGCAAATTGCACAAATAGAGTGTTTCAAATCTGTTCTGTCTAAGGGAACGTTCAACTCTGTGAGTTGAATGCACACAACACAAGGAAGTTACTGGGAATTCTTCTGTCTAGCCTTACATGAAAAAAACCCGTTTCCAACGAAAGCCTCTAAGTCGTCAAAATATCCACGTGCAGATTTACAAACAGAGTGTTTCCAAACTACTGAATGAAAAGAAAAGTTAAACTCGGAGAGTTGAACGCACACATCACAGAGTAGTTTCTGAGAATGATTCTGTCTAGTCTTTATACGAATATATTTCCTTTTCTACCATTGACGTCAAAGCGGCTGTAATCTCCACTTGCAAATTCCACAAAAAGAGTGTTTCAAGTCTGCTCTGTGTAAAGGATCGTTCAACTCTGTGAGTTGAATACACACAACACAAAGAAGTTACTGAGAATTCTTCTGTCTAGCAGAATATGAAGAAATCCTGTTTCCAACGAAGGCCTCAAGGAGGTCTGAATATCCACTTGCAGACTTTACAAACAGAGTGTTTCCTAACTGCTCTATGAAAAGAAAGGTTAAACTCTGTGAGTTGAACGCACACATCACAAAGGAGTTTCTGAGAATCATTCTGTCTAGTCTTTATACGAAGATATTTCCTATTCTACCATTGACCTCAAAGCGGCTGAAATCTCCACTTGCAAATTCCACAAAAAGAGTGTTTCAAGTCTGCTCTGTGTAAAGGATCATTCAACTCTGTGAGTTGAATAAACACAACACAAGGAAGTTACTGAGAATTCTTCTGTCTAGCAGAATATGAAGAAATCCCGTTTCCAACGAAGGCCTCAAGGAGGTCTGAATATCCACTTGCAGACTTTTCAAACAGAGTGTTTCCTAACTGCTCTATGAAAAGAAAGGTTAAACTCTGTGAGTTGAACGCACCCATCACAAAGGAGTTTATGAGAATCATTCTGTCTAGTTTTGAAACGAAGATATTTCCTTTTCTGCCGTTGACCTTAAAGCGCTTGAAATCTACACTTTCAAATTGCACAAATAGAGTGTTTCAAATCTGCTCTGTCTAAGGGAACGTTCAACTCTGTGAGTTGAATGCACACAACACAAGGAAGTTACTGGGAATTCTTCTGTCTAGCCTTACATGAAAAAAACCCGTTTCCAACGAAGGCCTCTAAGTGGTCAAAATTTCCACGTGCAGACTTTACAAACAGAGTGTTTCCAAACCGCTGAATGAAAAGAAAAGTTAAACTCTGAGAGTTGAACGCACACATCACGCAGCAGTTTCTGAGAATGATTCTGTCTAGTTTTTATACGAAGATATTTCCTTTTCTGCCTTTGGCCCCAAAGCGCTTGAAATCTCCATTTGCAAATTCCACAAAAACAGTGTTTCAAATCTGCTCTCTCTAAATGAAAGTTCAACTCTGTCAGTTGAATACACACAACACAAGGAAGTTACTGAGAATTCTTCTGTCTAGCCTTATATGAAAAAAACCCGTTTCCAACGAAGGCCTCAAAGAGGTCTGAATATCCACTTGCAGACTTTACAAACAGAGTGTTTCCTAACTGCTCTATGAAAAGAAAGGTTAAACTCTGTGAGTTGAACAGCACACATCACAAAGGAGTTTCTGAGAATCATTCTGTCTAGTTTTTATACGAAGATATTTCCTTTTCTACCATTGACCTCAACGCGGCTGAAATCTCCACTTGCAAATTCCACAAAAAGAGCGTTTCAAGTCTGCTCTGTGTAAAGGATCGTTCAACTCTGTGAGTTGAATACACACAACACAAGGAAGTTACTGAGAATTCTTCTGTCTAGCACAGTATGAAGAAATCCCGTTTCCAACGAAGGCCTCAAAGAGGTCTGAATATCCACTTGCAGAGTTTACAAACAGAGTGTTTCCTAACTGCTCTATGAAAAGAAAGGTTAAACTCTGTGATTTGATGCACACATCACAAAGAATTTTCTGAGAATCATTCTGTCTAGTTTTGAAACGAAGATATTTCCTTTTCTGCCATTGACCTTAAAGCGCTTGAAATCTCCATTTGCCAATTGCACAAAAAGAGTGTTTCAAATCTGCTCTGTCTAAGGGAACGTTCAACTCTGTGAGTTGAATGTACACAACACAAGGAAGTTACTGGGAATTCTTCTGTCTAGCCTTACGTGAAAAAAACCCGTTTCCAACAAAGACCTCTAAGTGGTCAAAATATCCACGTGCAGACTTTAGAAACAGAGTGTTTCCAAAGTGCTGAATGAAAAGAAAAGTTAAACTCTGAGAGTTGAACGCACACATCACAGAGCATTTTCTGAGAATGATTCTGTCTAGTTTTTATACGAAGATATTTCCTTTTCTACCATTGACCTCAACGCGCCTGAAATCTCCACTTGCAAATTCCACAAAAAGAGTGTTTCAAGTCCGCTCTGTGTAAAGGATCGTTCAACTCTGTGAGTTGAATACACACAACACAAGGAAGTTACTGAGAATTCTTCTGTCTAGCACAGTATGAAGAAATCCCGTTTCCAACGAAGGCCTCAAAGAGGTCTGAATATCCACTTGCAGAGTTTACAAACAGAGTGTTTCCTAACTGCTCTATGAAAAGAAAGGTTAAACTCTGTGAGTTGAACGCACACATCACAAAGAAGTTTCTGAGAATCATTCTGTCTAGTTTTTATACGAAGATATTTCCTTTTCTACCATTGACCTCAAAGCGGCTGAAATCTCCACTTGCAAATTCCACAAAAAGAGTGTTTCACATCTGCTCTGTGTAAACAGTCGTTCAACTGTGTGAGTTGAATACACACAACACAAGGAAGATTCTGAGAATTCTTCTGTCTAGCATAGTATGAAGAAATCCCGTTTCCAACAATGGCCTCAAAGAGGTCTGAATATCCACTTGCAGAGTTTACAAACAGAGTGTTTCCTAACTGCTCTATGAAAAGAAAGGTTAAACTCTGTGAGTTGAACGCACACATCACAAAGAAGTTTCTGAGAATCATTCTGTCTAGTTTTGAAACGAAGATATTTCCTTTTCTTCCATTGACCATAAAGCGCTTGAAATCTCCACTTGCAAATTGCACAAATAGAGTGTTTCAAATCTGCTCTGTCTAAGGGAACGTTCAACTCTGTGAGTTGAGTGCACACAACACAAGGAAGTTACTGGGAATTCTTCTGTCTAGCAAAATATGAAGAAATCCCGTTTCCAACGAAGGCCTCAAAGAGGTCTGAATATCCACTTGCAGACTTTACAAACAGAGTGTTTCCTAACTGCTCTATGAAAAGAAAAGTTAAACTCTGTGAGTTGAACGCACACATCACAAAGGAGTTTCTGAGAATCATTCTGTCTACTTTTTAAACGAAGATATTTCCTTTTCTGCCTTTGGCCCCAAGGCGCTTGATATCTCCACTTGCAAATTCCACAAAAACAGTGTTTCAAATCTGCTCTCTCTAAATGAAAGTTCAACTCTGTCAGTTGAATACACACAACACAAGGAAGTTACTGAGAATTCTTCTTTCTAGCAGAATATGAAGAAATCCCGTTTCCAACGAAAGCCTCAAGGATGTCTGAATATCCACTTGCAGACTTTACAAACAGAGTGTTTCCTAACTGCTCTATGAAAAGAAAGGTTAAACTCTGTGAGTTGAACGCACACATCACAAAGGAGGTTCTGAGAATCATTCTGTCTAGTTTTTATACGAAGATATTTCCTTTTCTACCATGGACCTCAAAGCGGCTGAAATCTCCACTTGCAAATTCCACAAAAAGAGTGTTTCAAGTCTGCTCTGTGTAAAGGACCGTTCACCTCTGTGAGTTGAATACACACAACACAAGGAAGATTCTGAGAATTCTTCTGTCTAGCAGAATATGAAGAAATCCCGTTTCCAACGAAGGCCACAAGATGTCAGAATATCCACTTACAGAATTTACAAACAGACTGTTTCCTAACTGCTCTATGAAAAGAAAGGTTAAACTCTGTGTGTTGAACGAAGACATCACAACGCAGTTTGTGGGAATGATTCTGTCTAGTTTTGAAACCAAGATATTTCCTTTTCTGCCGTTGACCTAAAAGAGCTTGAAAACTACACTTGCAAATTGCACAAATAGAGTGTTTCAAATCTGCTCTGTCTAGGGGAACGTTCAACTCTGTGGGTTGAATGCACACAACACAAGGAAGTTACTGGGAATTCTTCTGTCTAGCCTTACATGAAAAAAACCCGTTTCCAACGAAGGCCTCTAAGTGGTCAAAATATCCACGTGCAGACTATACAAACAGAGTGTTTCCAAACCGCTGAATGAAAAGAAAAGTTAAACTCTGAGAGTTGAACGCACACATCACGCAGCAGTTTCTGAGAATGATTCTGTCTAGTTTTTATACGAAGATATTTCCTTTTCTGCCTTTGGCCCCAAAGCTTGAAATCTCCACTTGCAAATTCCACAAAAACAGTGTTTCAAATCTGCTCTCTCTAAATGAAAGTTCAACTCTGTCAGTTGAATAAACACAACACAAGGAAGTTACTGAGAATTCTTCTGTCTAGCAGAATATGAAGAAATCCCGTTTCCAACGAAGGCCTCAAAGAGGTCTGAATATCCACTTGCAGACTTTACAAAGAGAGTGTTTCCTAACTGCTCTATGAAAAGAAAGGTTAAACTCTGTGAGTTGTACGCACAAATCACAAAGGAGTTTCTGAGAATCGTTCTGTCTAGTCTTTATACGAAGATATTTACTTTTCTACCATTGACCTCAAAGCGGCTGAAATCTCCACTTGCAAATTCCACAGAAAGAGTGTCTCAAGTCTACTCTGTGTAAACGATCGTTCAACTCTGTGAGTTGAATACACACAACACAAGGAAGTTTCTGAGAATTCTTCTGTCTAGCAGAATATGAAGAAATCCCGTTTCCAACGAAGGCCTCAAGGAGGTCTGAATATCCACTTGCAGACTTTACAAACAGAGTGTTTCCTAACTGCTCTATGAAAAGAAAGGTTAAACTCTTTGACTTGAACGCACACATCACAACGCAGTTTGTGGGAATGATTCTGTCTAGTCTTTATACGAAGATATTTCCTTTTCTACCATTGACCTCAAAGCGGCTGAAATCTCCACTTGCAAATTCCACAAAAAGTGTGTTTCAAGTCTGCTCTGTGTAAAGGATCGTTCAACTCTGTGAGGTTGAATACACACAACACGAGGAAGTTACTGAGAATTCTTCTGTCTAGCAGAATATGAAGAAATCCCGTTTCCAACGAAGGCCTCAAGGAGGTCTGAATATCCACTTCCAGACTTTACAAACAGAGTGTCTCCTAACTGCTCTATGAAAAGAAAAGTTAAACTCTGTGAGTTGCACGCACACATCACAAAGGAGTTTCTGAGAATCATTCTGTCTAGTTTTGAAACGAAGATATTTCCTTTTCTGCCTTTGGCCTCAAAGCGCTTGAAATCTCCATTTGCAAATTCCACAAAAAGAGTGTTTCAAATCTGCTCTGTGTAAATGAAAGTTCAACTCTGTGAGTTGAACACACACAACACAAGGATGTTAGTGGGAATTCTTCTGTCTAGCAGAATATGAAGAAATCCCGTTTCCAACGAAGGCCTCAAGGAGGTCTGAATATCCACTTGCAGACTTTACAAACAGAGTGTTTCCTAACTGCTCTATGAACAGAAAGGTTAAACTCTGTGAGTTGAACGAACACATCACAACGCAGTTTGTGGGAATGATTCTGTCTAGTTTTGAAACGAAGATATTTCCTTTTCTGCCGTTGACCTTAAAGTGCTTGAAATCTACACTTGCAAATTGCACAAATAGAGTGTTTCAAATCTGCTCTGTCTAAGGGAACGTTCAACTCTGTGAGTTGAATGGACACAACACAAGGAAGTTACTGGGAATTCTTCTGTCTAGCCTTACATGAAAAAAACCCGTTTCCAACGAAGGCCTCTAAGTGGTCAAAATATGCACGTTCAGACTTTACAAACAGAGTGTTTCCAAACCGCTGAATGAAAAGAAAAGTTAGACTATGAGTGTTGAACGCACACATCACGCAGCAGTTTCTGAGAATGATTCTGTCTAGTTTTGAAACGAAGATATTTCCTTTTCTGCCATTGACCTTAAAGCGCTTGAAATCTCCATTTGCCAATTGCACAAAAAGAGTGTTTCAAATCTGCTCTGTCTAAGGGAACGTTCAACTCTGTGAGTTGAATGTACACAACACAAGGAAGTTACTGGGAATTCTTCTGTCTAGCCTTATATGAAAAAAACCCGTTTCCAACGAAGGCCTCAAAGAGGTCTGAATATCCACATGCAGACTTTACAAGCAGAGTGTTTCCTAACTGCTCTATGAAAAGAAAGGTTAAACTCTGTGAGTTGAACGCACACATCACAAAGGAGTTTCTGAGAATCATTGTGTCTAGTTTTTATACGAAGATATTTCCTTTTCTACCATTGACCTCAAAGCGGCTGAAATCTCCACTTGCAATTTCCACAAAAAGAGTGTTTCAAGTCTGCTCTGTGTAAAGGATCGTTCAACTCTGTGAGTTGAATACACACAACACAAGGAAGTTACTGAAAATTCTTCTGTCTAGCACAGTATGAAGAAATCCCGTTTCCAACGAAGGCCTCAAAGAGGTCTGAATATCCACTTGCAGAGTTTACAAACAGAGTGTTTCCTAACTGCTCTATGAAAAGAAAGGTTAAACTCTGTGAGTTCAACGCACACATCACAAAGAAGTTTCTGAGAATCATTCTGTCTAGTTTCTATAGGAAGATATTTCCTATTCTACCATTGACCTCAAAGCGGCTGAAATCTCCACTTGCAAGTTCCACAAAAAGAGTGTTTCAAGTCTGCTCTGTGTAAAGGATCGTTCAACTCTGTGAGTTGAATACACACAACACAAGGCAGTTACTGAGAATTCTTCTGTCTAGCAGAATATGAAGAAATCCCGTTTCCAACGAAGGCCACAAGATGTCAGAATATCCACTTACAGACTTTACACAGTGTTTCCTAACTGCTCTATGAACAGAAAGGTTAAACTCTGTGAGTTGAACGAACACATCACAACGCAGTTTGTGGGAATGATTCTGTCTAGTTTTGAAACGAAGATATTTCCTTTTCTGCCATTGACCTTAAAGCGCTTGAAATCTACACTTGCAAATTGCACAAATAGAGTGTTTCAAATCTGCTCTGTCTAAGGGAACGTTCAACTCTGTGAGTTGAATGCACACAACACAAGGAAGTTACTGGGAATTCTTCTGTCTAGCCTTACATGCAAAAAACCCGTTTCCAACGAAGGCCTCTAAGTGGTCAAAATATCCACGTGCAGACTTTACAAACAGAGTGTTTCCAAACCTCTGAA
Source organism: Homo sapiens (assembly GCF_000001405.40). Classification (NCBI taxonomy): domain Eukaryota; kingdom Metazoa; phylum Chordata; class Mammalia; order Primates; family Hominidae; genus Homo; species Homo sapiens. Next base: position 124,526,673 of record NC_000001.11, on the reverse strand, counting down.
TGAAAAGAAAAGTTAAACTCTGAGAGTTGAACGCACACATCACGCAGCAGTTTCTGAGAATGATTCTGTCTAGTTTTTATACGAAGATATTTCCTTTTCTGCCTTTGGCCACAAAGCGCTTGAAATCTCCACTTGCAAATTCCACAAAAAGAGTGTTTCAAATCTGCTCTGTGTAAATGAAAGTTCAACTCTGTGAGTTGAACACACACAACACAAGGAAGTTACTGGGAATTCTTCTGTCTAGCCTTATATGAAAAAAACCCGTTTCCAACGAAGGCCTCAAAGAGGTCTGAATATCCACTTGCAGACTTTACAAACAGAGTGTTTCCTAACTGCTGAATGAAAAGAAAGGTTAAACTCTGTGAGTTGAACACACACATCACAAAGGAGTTTCTGAGAATCATTCTGTCTAGTTTCTATAGGAAGATATTTCCTATTCTATCATTGACCTCAAAGCGGCTGAAATCTCCACTTGCAAATTCCACAAAAAGAGTGTTTCAAGTTTGCACTCTGTAAAGGATCGTTCAACTCTGTGAGTTGAATACACACAACACAAGGAAGTTACTGAGAATTATTCTGTCTAGCAGAATATAAAGAAATCCCGTTTCCAACGAAGGCCACAAGATGTCAGAATATCCACTTACAGAATTGACAAACAGACTGTTTCCTAACTGCTCTATGAAAAGAAAGGTTAAACTCTGTGAGTTGAACGAACCCATCACAACGCAGTTTGTGGGAATGATTCTGTCTAGTTTTGAAACGAAGATATTTCCTTTTCTGCCATTGACCTCAAGCGCTTGAAATCTCCACTTGCCAATTGCACAAAAAGAGTGTTTCAAATCTGCTCTGTCTAAGGGAACGTTCAACTCTGTGAGTTGAATGTACACAACACAAGGAAGTTACTGGGAATTCTTCTGTCTAGCCTTACATGAAAAAAACCCGTTTCCAACGAAGGCCTCTAAGTGGTCAAATTATCCACGTGCAGACTTTACAAACAGAGTGTTTCCAAACTGCTGAATGAGACGAAAAGTTAAACTCTGAGAGTTGAACGCACACATCGCAGAGCAGTTTCTGAGAATGATTCTGTCTAGTTTTTATACGAAGATATTTCCTTTTCTGCCTTTGGCCCCAAAGCGCTTGAAATCTCCATTTGCAAATTCCACAAAAAGAGTGTTTCAAATCTGCTCTGTGTAAATGAAAGTTCAACTCTGTGAGTTGAACACACACAACACAAGGAAGTTACTGGGAATTCTTCTGTCTAGCATAGTATGAAGAAATCCCGTTTCCAACGAAGGCCTCAAAGTGGTCTGAATATCCACTTGCAGAGTTTACAAACAGAGGGTTTCCTAACTGCTCTATGAAAAGAAAGGTTAAACTCTGTGAGTTGAACGCACACATCACAAAGAAGTTTCTGAGAATCATTTTGTCTAGTTTCTATAAGAAGATATTTCCTATTCTACCATTGACCTCAAAGCGGCTGAAATCTCCACTTGCAAATTCGACAAAAAGAGTGTTTCAAGCCTGCTCTCTGTAAAGGATCCTTCAACTCTGTGAGTTGAATACACACAACACAAGGAAGTTACTGAGAATTCTTCTGTCTAGCACAGTATGAAGAATTCCCGTTTCCAACGAAGGCCTCAAAGAGGTCTGAATATCCACTTGCAGAGTTTACAAACAGAGTGTTTCCTAACTGCTGTATGAAAAGAAAGGTTAAACTCTGTGAGTTGAACGCACACATCACAATGAAGTTTCTGAGAATCATTCTGTCTAGTTTTTATACGAAGATATTTCCTTTTCTACCATTGACCTCAAAGCGGCTGAAATCACCACTAGCCAATTGCACAAAAAGAGTGTTTCAAATCTGCTCTATCTAAGGGAACGTTCAACTCTGTGAGTTGAATGTACACAAAACAAGGAAGTTACTGGGAATTCTTCTGTCTAGCCTTACATGAAAAAAACCCGTTTCCAACGAAGGCCTCTAAGTGGTCAAATTATTCACGTGCAGACGTTACAAACAGATTGTTTCCAAACTGCTGAATGAAAAGAAAAGTTAAACTCTGAGAGTTGAACGCACACATCGCAGAGCAGTTTCTGAGAATGATTCTGTCTAGTTTTTATACGAAGATATTTCCTTTTCTGCCTTTGGCCTCAAAGCGCTTGAAATCTCCACTTGCAAATTCCACAAAAAGAGTGTTTCAAATCTGCTCTTTGTAAATGAAAGTTCAACTCTGTGAGTTGAACACACACAACACAAGGAAGTTACTGGGAATCCTTCTGTCTGGCAGAATATGAAGAAATCCCGTTTCCAACGAAGGCCTCAAGGAGGTCTGAATATCCACTTGCAGACTTTACAAACAGAGTGTTTCCTAACTGCTCTATGAGAAGAAAAGTTAAACTCTGTGAGTTGAACGCACACATCACAAAAGATTTTCTGAGAATCATTCTGTCTAGTTTCTATAGGAAGATATTTCCTATTCTACCATTGACCACAAAGCGGCTGAAATCTCCACTTGCAAATTCCACAAAAAGAGTGTTTCAAGTCTGTTCTGTGTAAAGGATCATTCAACTCTGTGAGTTGAATACACACAACACAAGGAAGTTACTGAGAATTCTTCTGTCTAGCAGAATATGAATAAATCCCGTTTCCAACGAAGGCCACAAGATGTCAGAATATCCACTTACAGACTTTACAAACAGAGTGTTTCCTAACTGCTCTATGAACAGAAAGGTTAAACTCTGTGAGTTGAACGAACACATCACAACGCAGTTTGTGGGAATGATTCTGTCTAGTTTTGAAACGAAGATATTTCCTTTTCTGCCATTGACCTTAAAGCGCTTGAAATCTCCACTTGCCAATTGCACAAAAAGAGTGTTTCAAATCTGCTCTGTCTAAGGGAACGTTCAACTCTGTGAGTTGAATGTACACAACACAAGGAAGTTACTGCGAATTCTTCTGTCTAGCCTTACAGGAAAAAAACCCATTTCCAACGAAGGCCTCTAAGTGGTCAAAATATCCACGTGCAGACTTTACAAACAGAGTGTTTCCAAACTGCTGAATGAAAAGAAAAGTTAAACTCTGAGAGTTGAACGCACACATCGCAGAGCAGTTTCTGAGAATGATTCTGTCTAGTTTTTATACGAAGATATTTGCTTTTCTGCCTTTGGCCTCAAAGCGCTTGAAATCTCCATTTGCAAATTCCACAAAAAGAGTGTTTCAAATCTGCTCTGTGTAAATGAAAGTTCAACTATGTGAGTTGAACACACACAACACAAGGAAGTTACTGGGAATTCTTCTGTCTAGCATAATATGAAGAAATCCCGTTTCCAACGAAGGCCTCAAATGGGTCTGAATATCCATTTGCAGACTTTATAAACAGAGTGTTTACTAACTGTTCTATGAAAAGAAAGGTTAAACTCAGTGAGTTGAACACACACATCACAAAGGAGTTTCTGAGAATCATTCTGTGTAGTTTTTCTACGAAGATATTTCCTTTTCTACTATTGACCTCAAAGCGGCTGAAATCTCCACTTGCAAATTCCACAAAAAGAGTGTTTCAAGTCTGCTCTGTGTAAAGGATCGTGCAACTCTGTGAGTTGAATACACACAACACAAGGAAGTTACTGAGAATTATTCTGTCTAGCAGAACATGAAGAAATCCCGTTTCCAATGAAGGCCTCAAGGAGGTCTGAATATCCACTTGCAGACTTTACAAACAGAGTGTTTCCTAACTGCTCTATGAAAAGTAAGGTTAAACTCTGTGAGTTGAACGCACACATCACAAAGGAGTTTCTGAGAATCATTCTGTATAGTTTTGAAACGAAGATATTTCCTTTTCAGCCGTTGACCTTAAAGCGCTTGAAATCTACACTTGCAAATTGCACAAATAGGCTGTTTCAAATCTGCTCTGTCTAAGGGAACGTTCAACTCTGTGAGTTGAATGCACACAACACAAGGAAGTTACTGGGAATTCTTCTGTCTAGCCTTACATGAAAAAAACACGTTTCCAACGAAGGCCTCTAAGTGGCCAAATTATCCACGTGCAGACTTTACAAACAGAGTGTTTCCAAACTGCTGAATGAAAAGAAAAGTTAAACTCTGAGAGTTGAACGCACACATCGCAGAGCAGTTTCTGAGAATGATTCTGTCTAGTTTTTATACGAAGATATTTACTTTTCTGCCTTTGGCCTCAAAGCGCTTGAAATCTCCACTTGCAAATTCCACAAAAAGAGTGTTTCAAATCTGCTCTTTGTAAATGAAAGTTCAACTCTGTGAGTTGAACACACACAACACAAGGAAGTTACTGGGAATCCTTCTGTCTAGCAGAATATAAAGAAATCCCGTTTCCAACGAAGGCCTCAAGGAGGTCTGAATATCCACTTGCAGACTTTACAAACAGAGTGTTTCCTAACTGCTCTATGAAAAGAATGGTTAAACTCTGTGAGTTGAACGCACACATCACAAAGGAGTTTCTGAGAATCATTCTGTCTAGTTTTTATACGAAGATATTTCCTTTTCTACCATTGACCTCAACGCGGCTGAAATCTCCACTTGCAAATTCCACAAGAACAGTGTTCCAAGTCTGCTCTGTGTAAAGGATCGTTCAACTCTGTGAGTTGAATACACACAACACAAGGAAGTTACTGAGAATTCTTCTGTCTAGCAGAATATGAAGAAATCCCGTTTCCAACGAAGGCCTCAAAGAGGTCTGAATATCCACTTGCAGACTTTACAAACAGAGTGTTTCCTAACTGCTCTATGAAAAGAAAAGTTAAACTCTGTGAGTTGAACGCACACATCACAACGCAGTTTGTGGGAATGATTCTGTCTAGTTTTGAAACGAAGATATTTCCTTTTCTGCCATTGACCTTAAAGCGCTTGAAATCTCCACTTGCCAATTGCACAAAAAGAGTGTTTCAAATCTGCTCTGTGTAAGGGAACGTTCAACTCTGTGAGTTGAATGTACACAACACAAGGAAGTTACTGGGAATTCTTCTGTCGAGCCTTACATGAAAAAAACCCGTTTCCAACGAAGGCCTCTAAGTGGTCAAAATTTCCACGTGCAGACTTTACAAACAGAGTGTTTCCAAACCGCTGAATGAAAAGAAAAGTTAAACTCTGAGAGTTGAACGCACACATCACGCAGCAGTTTCTGAGAATGATTCTGTCTAGTTTTTTTATGAAGATATTTCCTTTTCTACCATTGACCTCAAAGTGGCTGAAATCTCCGCTTGCAAAATCCACAAAAATATTGTTTCTAATCTGCTCTGTGTAAAGGATCTTTCAACTCTGTGAGTTGAATGCACACAACACAAGGAAGTTACTGAGAATTCTTCTGTCTAGCATAATATGAAGAAATCCCGTTTCCAACGAAGGCCTCAGAGAGGTCTGAATATCTACTTGCAGACTTTACAGAGTGTTTCCTAACTGCTCTATGAAAAGAAAGGTTAAACTCCGTGAGTTGAACGCACACATCACAAAGGAGTTTCTGAGAATCATTCTGTCTAGTCTTTATATGAAGATAGTTTCCTTTTCTACCATTGACCACAAAGCGGCTGAAATCTCCACTTGCAAATTCCACAAAAAGAGTGTTTCAAGTCTGCTCTGTGTAAAGGATCATTCAACTCTGTGTGTTGAATAAACACAACACAAGGAAGTTACTGAGAATTCTTCTGTCTAGCAGAATATGAAGAAATCCCGTTTCCAACGAAGGCCACAAGATGTCAGAATATCCACTTACAGAATTGACAAACAGACTGTTTCCTAAATGCTCTATGAAAAGAAACGTTAAACTCTGTGAGTTGAACGAACACATCACAACGCAGTTTGTGGGAATGATTCTGTCTAGTTTTGAAACGAAGATATTTCCTTTTCTGCCGTTGACCTTAAAGAGCTTGAAAACTACACTTGCAAATTGCACAAATAGAGTGTTTCAAATCTGCTCTGTCTAAGGGAACGTTCAACTCTGTGAGTTGAATGCACACAACACAAGGGAAGTTACTGGGAATTCTTCTGTCTAGCCTTACATGAAAAAACCCGTTTCCAACGAAGGCCTCTAAGTGGTCAAAATATCCACGTGCAGACTTTACAAACAGAGTGTTTCCAAACCGCTGAATGAAAAGAAAAGTTAAACTCTGAGAGTTGAACGCACACATCATGCAGCAGTTTCTGAGAATGATTCTGTCTAGTTTTTATACGAGGATATTTCCTTTTCTGCCTTTGGCCTCACAGCGCTTGAAATCTCCACTTGCAAATTCCACAAAAAGAGTGTTTCAAATCTGCTCTGTGTAAATGAAAGTTCAACTCTGTGAGTTGAACACACACAACACAAGGAAGTTACTGGGAATTCTTCTGTCTAGCAGAATATGAAGAAATCCCATTTCAAAGAAAGCCTCAAAGATGTCTGAATATCCACTTGCAGACTTTACAAACAGAGTGTTTCCTAACTGCTCTATGAAAAGAAAGGTTAAACTCTGTGAGTTGAACGCACACATCACAAAGGAGTTTCTGAGAATCATTCTGTCTAGTTTCTATAGGAAGATATTTCCTATTCTACCATTGACCTCAAAGCGGCTGAAATCTCCACTTGCAAATTCCACAAAAAGAGTGTTTCAAGTATGCTCTGTGTAAAGGATCGTTCAACTCTGTGAGTCGAATACACACAACACAAGGAAGTTACTGAGAATTCTTCTGTCTAGCAGAGTATGAGGAAATCCCGTTTCCAACGAAGGCCACAAGATGTCAGAATATCCACTTACAGAATTGACAAACAGACTGTTTCCTAACTGCTCTATGAAAAGAAAGGTTAAACTCTGTGAGTTGAACGAACACATCACAACGCAGTTTGTGGGAATGATTCTGTCTAGTTTTGAAACGAAGATATTTCCTTTTCTGCCATTGACCTTAAAGCGCTTGAAATCTCCATTTGCCAATTGCACAAAAAGAGTGTTTCAAATCTGCTCTGTCTAAGGGAACGTTCAACTCTGTGAGTTGAATGTACACAACACAAGGAAGTTACTGGGAATTCTTCTGTCTAGCCTTACAGGAAAAAAACCCGTTTCCAACGAAGGCCTCTAAGTGGTCAAAATATCCACGTGCAGACTTTACAAACAGAGTGTTTCCAAACTGCTGAATGAAAAGAAAAGTCAAACTCTGAGAGTTGAACGCACACATCGCAGAGCAGTTTCTGAGAATGATTCTGTCTAGTTTTTATACGAAGATATTCCCTTTTCTGCCTTTGGCCTCAAAGCGCTTGAAATCTCCACTTGCAAATTCCACAAAAAGAGTGTTTCAAATCTGCTCTGTGTAAATGAAAGTTCAACTCTGTGAGTTGAACACACACAACACAAGGAAGTTACTGGGAATTCTTCTGTCTAGCATAATATGAAGAAATCCCGTTTCCAACGAAGACCTCAAAGGGGTCTGAATATCCACTTGCAGACTTTATAAACAGAGTGTTTACTAACTGCTCTATGAAAAGAAAGGTTAAACTCTGTGAGTTGAACACACACATCACAAAGGAGTTTCTGAGAATCATTCTGTCTAGTTTCTATAGGAAGATATTTCCTATTCTACCATTGACTTCAAAGCGGCTGAAATCTCCACTTGCAAATTCCACAAAAAGAGTGTTTCAAGTCTGCTCTGTGTAAAGGATCGTTCAACTCTGTGAGTTGAATACACACAACACAAGGAAGTTACTGAGAATTCTTCTTTCTAGCAGAATATGAAGAAATCCCGTTTCCAACGAAAGCCTCAAGGATGTCTGAATATCCAATTGCAGACTTTACAAACAGAGTGTTTCCTAACTGCTCTATGAAAAGAAAGGGTAAACTCTGTGAGTTGAACGCACACATCACAAAGGAGTTTCTGAGAATCATTCTGTCTAGTTTTTATACGAAGATATTTCCTTTTCTACCATTGACCTCAAAGCGGCTGAAATCACCACTTGCCAATTGCACAAAAAGAGTGTTTCAAATCTGCTCTCTCTAAGGAAACGTTCAACTCTGTGAGTTGAATGTACACAACACAAGGAAGTTACTGGGAATTCTTCTGTCTAGCCTTACAAGAAAAAAACCCGTTTCCAACGAAAGCCTCTAAATGGTCAAAATATCCACGTGCAGACTTTACAAACAGAGTGTTTCCAAACTGCTGAATGAAAAGAAAAGTTAAACTCTGAGAGTTGAACGCACACATCGCAGAGCAGTTTCTGAGAATGATTCTGTCTAGTTTTGAAACGAAGATATTTCCTTTTCTGCCTTTGGCCTCAAAGCGCTTGAAATCTCCACTTGCAAATTCCACAAAAAGAGTGTTTCAAATCTTCTCTGTGTAAATGAAAGTTCAACTCTGTGACTTGAACACACACAACACAAGGAAGTTACTGGGAATTCTTCTGTCTAGCACAGTATGAAGAAATCCCGTTTCCAACGAAGGCCTCGAAGAGGTCTGAATATCCACTTGCAGAGTTTACAAACAGAGTGTTTCCTAACTGCTCTATGAAAAGAAAGGTTAAACTCTGTGAGTTGAACGCACACATCACAAAGAAGTTTCTGAGAATCATTCTGTCTAGTTTTTATAGGAAGATATTTCCTTTTCTACCTTTGACTTCAAAGCGGCTGAAATCTCCACTTGCAATTTCCACAAAAAGAGTGTTACAAGTCTGCTCTGTGTAAAGGATCGTTCAACTCTGTGAATTGAATACACACAACACAAGGAAGTTACTGAGAATTCTTCTGTCTAGCACAGTATGAAGAAATCCCGTTTCCAACGAAGGCCTCAAAGAGGTCTGAATATCCACTTGCAGACTTTACAAACAGAGTGTTTCCTAACTGCTCTATGAAAAGAAAGGTTAAACTCTGTGAGTTGAACGCACACATCACAAAGGAGTTTCTGACAATCATTCTGTCTAGTTTTTATAGGAAGATATTTCCTTTTCTACCTTTGACTTCAAAGCGGCTGAAATCTCCACTTGCAAATTCCACAAAAAGAGTGTTACAAGTCTGCTCTGTGTAAAGGATCGTTCAACTCTGTGAGTTGAATGTACACAACACAAGGAAGTTACTGAGAATTCTTCTGTCTAGCCTTACATGAAAAAAACCCGTTTCCAACGAAGGCCTCTAAGTGGTCAAAATATCCACGTGCAGACTTTACAAACAGAGTGTTTCCAAACCGCTGAATGAAAAGAAAAGTTAAACTCTGAGAGTTGAACGCACACATCACACAGCAGTTTCTGAGAATGATTCTGTCTAGTTTTGAAACGAAGATATTTCCTTTTCTGCCTTTGGTCTCAAATCGCTTGAAATCTCCACTTGCAAATTCCACAAAAAGAGTGTTTCAAATCTGCTCTGTGTAAATGAAAGTTCAACTCTGTGAGTTGAACACACACAACACAAGGAAGTTACTGGGAATTCTTCTGTCTAGCCTTATATGAAAAAAACCCGTTTCCAATGAAGGCCTCAAAGAGGTCTGAATATCCACTTGCAGACTTTACAAACAGAGTGTTTCCTAACTGCTCTATGAAAAGAAAGGTTAAACTCTGTGAGTTGAACACACACATCACAAAGGAGTTTCTGAGAATCATTCTGTCTAGTTTTTATACGAAGATATTTTCTTTTCTACCATTGACCTCAACGCGGCTGAAATCTCCACTTGCAAATTCCACAAAAAGAGTGTTTCAAGTCCGCTCTGTGTAAAGGATCGTTCAACTCTGTGAGTTGAATACACACAACACAAGGAAGTTACTGAGAATTCTTCTGTCTAGCATAATATGAAGAAATCCCGTTTCCAACGAAGGCCTCAAAGAGGTCTGAATATCCACTTGCAGACTTTACAAACAGAGTGTTTCCTAACTGCTCTATGAACAGAAAGGTTAAACTCTGTGAGTTGAACGAACACATCACAACGCAGTTTGTGGGAATGATTCTGTCTAGTTTTTATACGAAGATATTTCCTTTTATACCATTGACCTCAAAGCGGCTGAAATCACCACTTGCCAATTGCACAAAAAGAGTGTTTCAAATCTGCTCTGTCTAAGGGAACGTTCCACTCTGTGAGTTGAATGTACACAACACAAGGAAGTTACTGGGAATTCTTCTGTCTAGCCTTACAGGAAAAAAACCCGTTTCCAACGAAGGCCTCTAAGTGGTCAAAATATCCACGTGCAGACTTTACAAACAGAGTGTTTCCAAACTGCTGAATGAAAAGAAAAGTTAAACTCTGAGAGTTGAACGCACACATCGCAGAGCAGTTTCTGGGAATGATTCTGTCTAGTTTTGAAACGAAGATATTTCCTTTTCCGCCTTTGGCCTCAAAGCGCTTGAAATCTCCACTTGCAAATTCCACAAAAAGAGTGTTTCAAATCTGCTCTGTGTAAATGAAAGTTCAACTCTGTGAGTTGAACACACACAACACAAGGAAGTTACTGGGAATTCTTCTGTCTAGCAGAATATGAAGAAATCCCGTTTCCAACGAAGGCCTCAAAGAGGTCTGAATATCCACTTGCAGACATTACAAACAGAGTGTTTCCTAACTGGTCTATGAAAAGAAAAGTTAAACTCTGTGAGTTGAACGCACACATCACAAAGGAGTTTCTGAGAGTCATTCTGTCTAGTTTTTATACGAAGATATTTCCTTTTCTACTATTGACCACAAATCGGCTGAGATCTCCACTTGCAAATTCCACAAAAAGAGTGTTTCAAGTCTGCTCTGTATAAAGGATCGTTGAACTCTTTGAGTTGAATACACACAACACAAGGAAGTTACTGAGAATTCTTCTGTATAGCAGAATATGAAGAAATCCCGTTTCCAACGAAGGCCACAAGATGTCACAATATCCACTTACAGAATTTACAAACAGACTGTTTCCTAACTCCTCTATGAAAACAAAGGTTAAACTCTGTGAGTTGAACGAACACATCACAACGCAGTTTGTGGGAATTATTCTGTCTAGTTTTGAAACGAAGATATTTCCTTTTCTGCCATTGACCTCAAAGCGCTTGAAATCTCCACTTGCCAATTGCACAAAAAGAGTGTTTCAAATCTGCTCTGTCTAAGGGAACGTTCAACTCTGTGAGTTGAATGTACACAACACAAGGAAGTTACTGGGAATTCTTCTGTCTAGCCTTACAGGAAAAAAACCCGTTTCCAACGAAGGCCTCTAAGTGGTCAAAATATCCACGTGGAGACTTTACAAACAGAGTGTTTCCAAACTGCTGAATGAAAAGAAAAGTTAAACTCTGAGAGTTGAACGCACACATCGCAGAGCAGTTTCTGAGAATGATTCTGTCTAGTTTTGAAACGAAGATATTTCCTTTTCTGCCTTTGGCCTCAAAGCGCTTGACATCTCCACTTGCAAATTCCTCAAAAAGAGTGTTTCAAATCTGCTCTGTGTAAATGAAAGTTCAACTCTGTGAGTTGAACACACACAACACAAGGAAGTTACTGGGAATTCTTCTTTCTAGCAGAATATGAAGAAATCCCGTTTCCAAGGAAAGCCTCAACGATGTCTGAATATCCACTTGCAGACTTTACAAACAGAGTGTTTCCTAACTGCTCTATGAAAAGAAAGGTTAAACTCTGTGAGTTCAACGCACACATCACAAAGGAGTTTCTGAGAATCATTCTGTCTAGTTTTGAAACGAAGATATTTCCTTTTCTGCCATTGACCTTAAAGCGCTTGAAATCTACACTTGCAAATTCCACAAAAAGAGTGTTTCAAGTCTGCTCTGTGTAAAGGATCGTTCAACTCTGTGAGTTGAATACACACAACACAAGGAAGTTACTGAGAATTATTCTGTCTAGCAGAATATGAAGAAATCCCGTTTCCAACGAAGGCCTCAAGGAGGTCTGAATATCCACTTGCAGACTTTACAAACAGAGTGTTTCCTAACTGCTCTATGAACAGAAAGGTTAAACTCTGTGAGTTGAACGAACACATCACAACGCAGTTTGTGGGAATGATTCTGTCTACTTTTTATAGGAAGATATTTCCTTTTCTACCTTTGACTTCAAAGCGGCTGAAATCTCCACTTGCAAATTACACAAAAAGAGTGTTACAAGTCTGCTCTGTCTAAGGGAACGTTCAACTCTGTGAGTTGAATGTACACAACACAAGGAAGTTACTGGGAATTCTTCTGTCTAGCCTTACAGGAAAAAAACCCGTTTCCAACGAAGGCCTCTAAGTGGTCAAAATATCCACCTTCAGACTTTACAAACAGAGTGTTTCCAAACTGCTGAATGAAAAGAAAAGTTAAACTCTGAGAGTTGAACGCACACATCGCAGAGCAGTTTCTGAGAATGATTCTGTCTAGTTTCTATAGGAAGATATTTCCTATTCTACCATTGACCTCAAAGCGGCTGAAATCTCCACTTGCAAATTCCACAAAAAGAGTGTTTCAAGTCTGCTCTGTGTAAAGCATCGTTCAACTCTGTGAGTTGAAAACACACAACACAAGGAAGTTTCTGAGAATTCTTCTGTATAGCAGAATATGAAGAAATCCCGTTTCCAACGAAAGCCTCAAAGATGTCTGAATATCCACTTGCAGACTTTACAAACAGAGTGTTTCCTAACTGCTCTATGAAAAGAAAGGTTAAACTCTGTGAGTTGAACGCACACATCACAAAGGAGTTTCTGAGAATCATTCTGTCTAGTGTTTATACGAAGATATTTCCTTTTCTACCATTGACCTCAAAGCGGCTGAAATCTCCATTTGCAAATTCCACAAAAAGAGTGTTTCAAGTCTGGTCTGTGTAAAGGATCGTTCAACTCTGTGAGTTGAATACACACAACACAAGGAAGTTACTGAGAATTCTTCTGTCTAGCATAATATGAAGAAATCCCGTTTCCAACGAAGGCCTCAAAGAGGTCTGAATATCCACTTGCAGACTTTACAAACAGAGTGTTTCCTAACTGTTCTATGAACAGAAAGGTTAAACTCTGTGAGTTGAACGAACACATCACAACGCAGTTTGTGGGAATGATTCTGTCTAGTTTTGAAACGAAGATATTTCCTTTTCTGCCATTGACCTTAAAGCGCTTGAAATCTACACTTGCAAATTGCACAAATAGAGTGTTTCAAATCTGCTCTGTCTAAGGGAACGTTCAACTCTGTTAGTTGAATGCACACAACACAAGGAAGTTACTGGGAATTCTTCTGTCTAGCCTTACATAAAAAAAACCCGTTTCCAACGAAGGCCTCTAAGTGGTCAAATTATCCACGTGCAGACTTTACAAACAGAGTGTTTCCAAACTGCTGAATGAAAAGCAAAGTTAAACTCTGAGAGTTGAACGCACACATCGCAGAGCAGTTTCTGAGAATGATTCTGTCTAATTTTTATACGAAGATATTTCCTTTTCTGCCTTTGGCCTCAAAGCGCTTGAAATCTCCACTTGCAAATTCCACAAAAAGAGTGTTTCAAATCTGCTCTGTGTAAATGAAAGTTCAACGCTGTGAGTTGAACACACACAACACAAGGAAGTTACTGGGAATTCTTCTGTCTTGCATAATATGAAGAAATCCCGATTCCAACGAAGGCCTCAAAGGGGTCTGAATATCCACTTGCAGACTTTATAAACAGAGTGTTTACTAACTGCTCTATGAAAAGAAAGGTTAAATTCTGTGAGTTGAACACACACATCACAAAGGAGTTTCTGAGAATCATTCTGTCTAGTTTCTATAGGAAGATATTTCCTATTCTACCATTGACCTCAAAGCGGCTGAAATCTCCACTTGCAAATTCCACAAAAAGAGAGTTTCAAGTCTGCTCTGTGTAAAGGATCGTTCAACTCTGTGAGTTGAATACACACAACACAAGGAAGTTACTGAGAATTCTTCTGTCTACCATAATATGAAGAAATCCCGTTTCCAACGAAGGCCTCAAGGAGGTCTGAATATCCACTTGCAGACTTTACAAACAGAGTGTTTCCTAACTGCTCTATGAAAAGAAAGGTTAAACTCTGTGAGTTGAACGCACACATCACAAAGGAGTTTCTGAGAATCATTCTGTCTAGTTTTGAAACGAAGATATTTCCTTTTCTGCCATTGACCTTAAAGCGCTTGAAATCTACACTTGCAAATTGCACAAATAGAGTGTTTCAAATCTGCTCTGTCTAAGGGAACGTTCAACTCTGTGAGTTGAATGCACACAACACAAGGAAGTTACTGGGAATTCTTCTGTCTAGCCTTACAAGAAAAAAACCCGTTTCCAACGAAGGCCTCTAAGTGGTCAAAATTTCCACGTTCAGACTTTACAAACAGAGTGTTTCCAAACCGCTGAATGAAAAGAAAAGTTAAACTCTGAGAGTTGAACGCACACATCACGCAGCAGTTTCTGAGAATGATTCTGTCTAGTTTTGAAACGAAGATATTTCCTTTTCTGCCTTTGGCCTCAAAGCGCTTGAAATCTCCACTTGCAAATTCCACAAAAAGAGTGTTTCAAATCTGCTCTCTGTAAATGAAAGTTCAACTCTGTGAGTCGAACACACACAACACAAGGAAGTTACTGGGAATTCTTTTGTCTAGCCTTACAGGAAAAAAACCCGTTTCCAACGAAGGCCTCTAAGTGGTCAAATTATCCACGTGCAGACTTTACAAACAGAGTGTTTCCAACCTGCTGAATGAAAAGAAAAGTTAAACTCTGAGAGTTGAACGCACACATCACAAAGGAGTTTCTGAGAATCATTCTGGCTAGTTTCTATAGGAAGATATTTCCTATTCTACCATTGACCTCAAAGCGGCTGAAATCTCCAATTGCAAATTCCACAAAAAGAGTGTTTCAAGTCTGCTCTGTGTAAAGGATCGTTCAACTCTGTGAGTTGAATACACACAACACAAGGAAGTTACTGAGAATTCTTCTGTCTAGCAGAATATGAAGAAATCCCGCTTCCAACGAAGGCCTCAAAGAAGTCTGAATATCCACTTGCAGACTTTACAAACAGAGTGTTTCCCAACTGCTCTATGAAAAGAAAGGTTGAACTCTGTGAGTTGAACGCACACATCACAAAGGACTTTCTGAGAATCATTCTGTCTAGTTTTGAAACGAAGATATTTCCTTTTCTGCCATTGACCTTAAAGCGCTTGAAATCTCCATTTGCCAATTGCACAAAAAGAGTGTTTCAAATCTGCTCTGTCTAAGGGAACGTTCAACTCTGTGAGTTGAATGTACACAACACAAGGAAGTTACTGGGAATTCTTCTGTCTAGCCTTATATGAAAAAAACCCGTTTCCAACGAAGGCCTCTAAGTGGTCAAATTATCAACGTGCAGACTTTACAAACAGAGTGTTTACAAACTGCTGAATGAAAAGAAAAGTTAAACTCTGAGAGTTGAACGCACACATCGCAGAGCAGTTTCTGAGAATGATTCTGTCTAGTTTTTATAAGAAGATATTTCCTTTTCTGCCTTTGGCCTCAAAGCGCTTGAAATCTCCATTTGCAAATTCCACAAAAAGAGTGTTTCAAATCTGCTCTGTGTAAATGAAAGTTCAACTCTGTGAGTTGAATACACACAACACAAGGAAGTTACTGAGAATTCTTCTGTCTAGCCTTATATGAAAAAATCCCGTTTCCACGGAAGGCCTCAAAGAGGTCAAAATATCCACGTGCAGACTTTACAAACAGAGTGTTTCCTAACTGCTCTATGAAAAGAAAGGTTAAAATCTGTGAGTTGAACGCACTCATCACAAAGGAGTTTCTGAGAATCATTGTGTCTAGTTTTTATACGAAGATATTTCCTTTTCTACCATTGACCTCAAAGCGGCTGAAATCTCCACTTGCAATTTCCACAAAAAGAGTGTTTCAAGTCTGCTCTGTGTAAAGGATCGTTCAACTCTGTGAGTTGAATACACACAACACAAGGAAGTTACTGAGAATTCTTCTGTCTAGCATAATATGAAGAAATCCCGTTTCCAACGAAGGCCTCAAAGAGGTCTGAATATCCACTTGCAGACTTTACAAACAGAGTGTTTCCTAACTGTTCTATGAAAAGAAAGGTTAAACTCTGTGAGTTGAATGCACACATCACAAAGGAGTTTCTGAGAATCATTCTGTCTAGTTTTTATACGAAGATATTTCCTTTTCTACCGTTGACCTCAAAGCGGCTGAAATCTCTACTTGCAAATTACACAAAAAGAGTGTTTCAAGTCTACTCTGTGTAAAGCATCGTTCAACTCTGTGAGTTGAAAACACACAACACAAGGAAGTTTCTGAGAATTCTTCTGTCTAGCCTTACATGAAAAAAACCCGATTCCAACGAAGGCCTCTAAGTGGTCAAAATATCCACGTGCAGACTTTACAAACAGAGTGTTTCCAAACCGCTGAATGAAAAGAAAAGTTAAACTCTGAGAGTTGAACGCACACATCACGCAGCAGTTTCTGAGAATGGTTCTGCCTAGTTTTTATACGAAGATATTTCCTTTTCTGCCTTTGGCTCCGAAGCGCTTGAAATCTCCAATTGCAAATTCCACAAAAACAGTGTCTCAAATCTGCTCCCTCTAAATGAAAGTTCAACTCTGTCAGTTGAATACACACAACACAAGGAAGTTACTGAGAATTCTTCTGTCTAGCAGAATATGAAGAAATCCCGTTTCCAACGAAGGTCTCAAAGAGGTCTGAATATCCACTTGCAGACTTTACAAACAGAGTGTTTCCTAACTGCTCTATGAAAAGAAAGGTTAAACTCTGTGAGTTGAACGCACACATCACAAAGGAGTTTATGAGAATCATTTTGTCTAGTTTCTATAAGAAGATATTTCCTATTCTACCATTGACCTCAAAGCGGCTGAAATCTCCACTTGCAAATTCGACAAAAAGAGTGTTTCAAGCCTGCTCGCTGTAAAGGATCCTTCAACTACTGTGAGTTGAATACACACAACACAAGGAAGTTACTGAGAATTATTCTGTCTAGCAGAATATGAAGAAATCCCGTTTCCAACGAAGGCCACAAGAGGTCAGAATATCCACTTACAGACTTTACAAACAGAGTGTTTCCTAACTGCTCTATGAACAGAAAGGTTAAACTCTATGAGTTGAACGAACACATCACAACGCAGTTTGTGGGAATGATTCTGTGTAGTTTTGAAACGAAGATATTTCCTTTTCTGCCATTGACCTTAAAGCGCTTGAAATCTACACTTGCAAATTGCACAAATAGAGTGTTTCAAATCTGCTCTGTCTAAGGGAACGTTCAACTCTGTGAGTTGAATGCACACAACACAAGGAAAGTTACTGGGAATTCTTCTGTCTAGCCTTACATGAAAAAAACCCGTTTCCAACGAAGGCCTCTAAGCGGTCAAATTATGCACGTGCAGACTTTACAAACAGAGTGTTTCCAAACTGCTGAATGAAAAGAAAAGTTAAACTCTGAGAGTTGAACGCACACATCGCAGAGCAGTTTCTGAGCATGATTCTGTCTCGTTTTTATACGAAGATATTTCCTTTTCTGCCTTTGGCCTCAAATCGCTTGAAATCTCCACTTGCAAATTCCACAAAAAGAGTGTTTCAAATCTGCTCTGTGTAAATGAAAGTTCAACTCTGTGAGTTGAACACACACAACACAAGGAAGTTACTGGGAATTCTTCTGTCTAGCCTTACATGAAAAAAACCCGTTTCCAACGAAGGCCTCAAAGAGGTCAAAATATCCACTTGCAGACTTTACAAACAGAGTGTTTCCTAACTACTCTATGAATAGAAAGGTTAAACTCTGTGAGTTGAACACACACATCACAAAGGAGTTTCTGAGAATCATTCTGTCTAGTTTTTATAGGAAGATATTTCCTTTTCTACCATTGACCTCAAAGCGGCTGAAATCTCCACTTGCAAATTCCACAAAAAGAGTGTTTCAAGTCTGCTCTGTGTAAAGGATCGTTCAACTCTCTGAGTTGAATACACACAACACGCGGAAGTTACTGAGCATTCTTCTGTCTAGCAGAATATGAAGAAATCCCGTTTCCAACGAAGGCCCCAAGATGTCAGAATATCCACTTACAGAATTTACAACAGAGTGTTTCCTAACTGCTCTATGAAAAGAAAGGTTAAACTCTGTGAGTTGAACGAACACATCACAACGCAGTTTGTGGGAATGATTCTGTCTAATTTTGAAACGAAGATATTTCCTTTTCTGCCATTGACCTTAATGCGCTTGAAATCTACACTTGCAAATTGCACAAATAGAGTGTTTCAAATCTGCTCTGTCTAAGGGAACGTTCAACTCTGTGAGTTGAATGCACACAACACAAGGAAGTTACTGGGAATTCTTCTGTCTAGCCTTACATGAAAAAAACCCGTTTCCAACGAAGGCCTCTAAGTGGTCAAATTATCCACGTGCAGACTTTACAAACAGAGTGTTTCCAAACTGCTGAAAGAAAAGCAAAGTTAAACTCTGAGAGTTGAACGCACACATCGCAGAGCAGTTTCTGAGAATGATTCTGTCTAGTTTTTATACGAAGACATTTCCTTTTCTACCATTGACCTCAACGCGGCTGAAATCTCCACTTGCAAATTCCACAAAACGAGTGTTTCAAGTCCGCTCTGTGTAAAGGATCGTTCAACTCTGTGAGTTGAATACACACAACACAAGGTAGTTACTGAGAATTCTTCTGTCTAGCACAGTATGGAGAAATCCCGTTTCCAACGAAGGCCTCAAAGAGGTCTGAATATCCACTTGCAGAGTTTACAAACAGAGTGTTTCCTAACTGCTCTATGAAAAGAAAGGTTAAACTCTGTGAGTTGAACGCACACATCACAAAGAAGTTTCTGAGAATCATTCTGTCTAGTTTTTATACGAAGATATTTCCTTTTCTACCATTGACCTCAAAGCGGCTGAAATCTCCACTTGCAAATTACACAAAAAGAGTGTTTCAAGTCTACTCTGTGTAAAGCATCGTTCAACTCTGTGAGTTGAAAACACACAACACATGGAAGTTTCTGAGAATTCTTCTGTCTAGCAGAATATGAAGAAATCCCGTTTCCAACGAAGGCCTCAAGGAGGTCTGAATATCCACTTGCAGACTTTACAAACAGAGTGTTTCCTACCAGCTCTATGAACAGAAAGGTTAAACTCTGTGAGTTGAACGCACACATCACAAAAGAGTTTCTGAGAATCATTCTGTCTAGTCTTTATACGAAGATATTTCCTTTTCTACCATTGACCTCAAAGCGGCTGAAATCTCCACTTGCAAATTCCACAAAAAGAGTGTTTCAAGTCTGCTTTGTGTAAAGGATCGTTCAACTCTGTGAGTTGAATACACACAACACAAGGAAGTTACTGAGAATTCTTCTGTCTAGCAGAATATGAAGAAATCCCGTTTCCAACGAAGGCCACAAGATGTCAGAATATCCACTTACAGAATTTACAAACAGACTGTTTCCTAACTGCTCTATGAAAAGAAAGGTTAAACTCTGTGAGATGAACGAACACATCACAAAGGAGTTTCTGAGAATCTTTCTGTCTAGTTTTTATAGGAAGATATTTCCTTTTCTACCTTTGACTTCAAAGCGGCTGAAATCTCCACTTGCAAATTCCACAAAAAGAGTGTTACAAGTCTGCTCTGTGTAAAGGATCGTTCAACTCTGTGAGTTGAATGTACACAACACAAGGAAGTTACTGGGAATTCTTCTGTCTAGCCTTACATGAAAAAAACCCGTTTCCAACGAAGGCCTCTAAGTGGTCAAATTATCCACGTGCAGACTTTACAAACAGAGTGTTTCCAAACTGCTGAATGAAAAGCAAAGTTAAACTCTTGAGAGTTGAACGCACACATCGCAGAGCAGTTTCTGAGAATGATTCTGTCTAGTTTTTATACGAAGATATTTCCTTTTCTACCATTGACCTCAACGCGGCTGAAATCTCCACTTGCAAATTCCACAAAACGAGTGTTTCAAGTCTGCTCTGTGTAAAGGATCGTTCAACTCTGTGAGTTGAATACACACAACAAAAAGAAGTTACTGAGAATTCTTCTGTCTAGCATAGTATGAAGAAATCCCGTTTCCAACGAAGGCTTCAAAGAGGTCTGAATATCCACTTGCAGAGTTTACAAACAGAGTGTTTCCTAACTGCTCTATGAAAAGAAAGGTTAAACTCTGTGAGTTGAACGCACACATCACAAAGAAGTTTCTGAGAATCATTCTGTCTAGTCTTTATACGAAGATATTTCCTTTTCTACCGTTGACCTCAAAGCGGCTGAAATCTCCACTTGCAAATTCCACAAAAAGAGTGTTTCAAGTCTGCTCTGTGTAAAGGATCGTTCAACTCTGTGAGTTGAATACACACAACACAAGGAAGTTACTGAGAATTCTTCTGTCTAGCAGAATATGAAGAAATCCCGTTTCCAACGAAGGCCACAAGATGTCAGAATATCCACTTTCAGACTTTACAAACAGAGTGTTTCCTAACTGCTCTATGAACAGAAAGGTTAAACTCTGTGAGTTGAACGAACACATCACAACGCAGTTTGTGGGAATGATTCTGTCTAGTTTTGAAACGAAGATATTTCCTTTTCTGCCATTGACCTTAAAGCGCTTGAAATCTACACTTGCAAATTGCACAAATAGAGTTTTTCAAATCTGCTCTGTCTAAGGGAACGTTCAACTCTGTGAGTTGAATGCACACAACACAAGGGAAGTTACTGGGAATTCTTCTGCCTAGCCTTACATGAAAAAATCCCGTTTCCAACGAAGGCCTCTAAGTGGTCAAAATTTCCACGTGCAGACTTTACAAACAGAGTGTTTCCAAACCGCTGAATGAAAAGAAAAGTTAAACTCTGAGAGTTGAACGCACACATCACGCAGCAGTTTCTGAGAATGATTCTGTCTAGTTTTTATACGAAGATATTTCCTTTTCTGCCTTTGGCCTCAAAGCGCTTCAAATCTCCACTTGCAAATTCCACAAAAAGAGTGTTTCAAATCTGCTCTGTGTAAATGAAAGTTCAACTCTGTGAGTTGAACACACACAACACAAGGAAGTTACTGGGAATTCTTCTGTCTAGCCTTATATGAAAAAACCCGTTTCCAACGAAGGCCTCAAAGAGGTCTGAATATCCACTTGGAGACTTTACAAACAGAGTGTTTCCTAACTGCTCTATGAAAAGAAAGGTTAAACTCTGTGAGTTGAACGCACACATCACAAAGGAGTTTCTGAGAATCATTCTGTCTAGTTTTTATATGAAGATATTTCCTTTTCTACCAATGACCACAAAGCGGCTGAAATCTCCACTTACAAATTCCACAAAAAGAGTGTCTCAAGTCTGCTCTGTGTAAACGATCGTTCAACTCTGTGAGTTGAATACACACAACACAAGGAAGTTACTGAGAATTCTTCTGTCTAGCCTTACATGAAAAAAACCCGTTTCCAACGAAGGCCTCTAAGTGGTCAAATTATCCACGTGCAGACTTTACAAACAGAGTGTTTCCAAACTACTGAATGAAAAGAAAAGTTAAACTCTGAGAGTTGAACGCACACATCGCAGAGCAGTTTCTGAGAATGATTCTGTCTAGTTTTTATACGAAGATATTTCCTTTTCTGCCTTTGGCCCCAAAACGCTTGAAATCACCACTTGCAAATTCCACAAAAACAGTGTTTCAAATCTGCTCTCTCTAAATGAAAGTTCAACTCTGTCAGTTGAATACACACAACACAAGGAAGTTACTGAGAATTCTTCTGTCTAGCCTTACATGAAAAAAAACCGTTTCCAACGAAGGCCTCTAAGTGGTCAAGTTATCCACGTGCAGACTTTACAAACAGAGTGTTTCCAAACTGCTGAATGAAAAGAAAAGTTAAACTCTGAGAGTTGAACGCACACATCGCAGAGCAGTTTCTGAGAATGATTCTGTCTAGTTTTTATACGAAGATATTTCCTTTTCTGCCTTTGGCCTCAAAGCCCTTGAAATCTCCACTTGCAAATTCCACAAAAAGAGTGTTTCTAATCTGCTCTGTCTAAATGAAAGTTCAACTCTGTCAGTTGAATACACACAACACAAGGAAGTTACTGAGAATTCTTCTGTATAGCAGAATATGAAGAAATCCCGTTTCCAACGAAAGCCTCAAAGTTGTCTGAATATCCACTTGCAGACTTTACAAACAGAGTGTTTCCTAACTGCTCTATGAAAAGAAAGGTTAAACTCTGTGAGTTGAACGCACACATCACAAAGGATTTTCTGAGAATCATTCTGTCTAGTTTCTATAGGAAGATATTTCCTATTCTACCATTGAACACAAAGCGGCTGAAATCTCCACCTGCAAATTCCACAAAAAGAGTGTTTCAAGTCTGCTCTGTGTAAAGGATCGTTCAACTCTGTGAGTTGAATACACACAACACAAGGAAGTTACTGAGAATTCTTCTGTCTAGCAGAATGTGAAGAAATCCCGTTTCCAACGAAGGCCACAAGATGTCAGAATATCCACTTACAGAATTTACAAACAGACTGTTTCCTAACTGCTCTATGAAAAGAAAGGTTAAACTCTGTGAGTTGAACGAACATATCACAACGCAGTTTGTGGGAATGATTCTGTCTAGTTTTGAAACGAAGATATTTCCTTTTCTGCCATTGACCTTAAAGCGCTTGAAATCTCCATTTGCCAATTGCACAAAAAGAGTGTTTCAAATCTGCTCTGTCTAAGGGAACGTTCAACTCTGTGAGTTGAATGTACACAACACAAGGGAGTTACTGGGAATTCTTCTGTCTAGCCTTACATGAAAAAAACCCGTTTCCAACGAAGGCCTCTAAGTGGTCAAATTCTCCACGTGCAGACTTTACAAACAGAGTGTTTCCAAACTGCTGAATGAAAAGAAAAGTTAAACTCTGAGAGTTGAACGCACACATCGCAGAGCAGTTTCTGAGAATGATTCTGTCTAGTTTTGAAACGAAGATATTTCCTTTTCTGCCTTTGGCCTCAAAGCGCTTGAAATCTCCACTTGCAACTTCCACAAAAAGAGTGTTTCAAATCTGCTCTGTGTAAATGAAAGTTCAACTCTGTGAGTTGAACACACACAACACAAGGAAGTTACTGGGAATTCTTCTGTCTAGCAGAATATGAAGAAATCCCGTTTCCAACGAAGGCCTCAAAGAGGTCTGAATATCCACTTGCAGACTTTACAAACAGAGTGTTTCCTAACTGCTCTATGAAAAGAAAAGTTAAACTCTGTGAGTTGAACGCACACATCACAAAGGAGTTTATGAGAATCATTCTGTCTAGTTTCTATAGGAAGATATTTCCTATTCTACCATTGACCTCAAAGCGGCTGAAATCTCTACTTGCAAATTCCACAAAAAGAGTGTTTCAAGTCTGCTCTGTGTAAAGGATCGTTCAACTCTGTGAGTTGAATACACACAACACAAGGAAGTTACTGAGAATTCTTCTGTCTAGCAGAATATGAAGAAATCCCGTTCCCAACGAAGGCCACAAGATGTCAGAATATCCACTTACAGACTTTACAAACAGAGTGTTTCCTAACTGCTCTATGAACAGAAAGGTTAAACTCTGTGAGTTGAACGAACACATCACAACGCAGTTTGTGGGAATGATTTCTGTCTAGTTTTGAAAAGAAGAAATTTCCTTTTCTGCCATTGACCTTAAAGCGCTTGAAATCTACACTTGCAAATTGCACAAATAGAGTGTTTCAAATCTGCTCTGTCTAAGGGAACGTTCAACTCTGTGAGTTGAATGCACACAACACAAGGAAGTTACTGGGAATTCTTCTGTCTAGCCTTACATGAAGAAAACCCGTTTCCAACGAAGGCGTCTAAGAGGTCAAAATATCCACGTGCAGACTTTACAAAGAGAGTGTTTCCAAACCGCTGAATGAAAAGAAAAGTTAAACTCTGAGAGTTGAACGCAGACATCACGCAGCAGTTTCTGAGAATGATTCTGTCTAGTTTTTATACGAAGATATTTCCTTTTCTGCCTTTGGCCCCAAAGCGCTTGAAATCTCCACTTGCAAATTCCACAAAAACAGTGTTTCAAATCTGCTCTCTCTAAATGAATGTTCAACTCTGTCAGTTGAATACACACAACACAAGGAAGTTACTGAGAATTCTTCTGTATAGCAGAATATGAAGAAATCCCGTTTCCAACGAAGGCCTCAAAGATGTCTGAATATCCACTTACAGACTATAAAAACAGAGTGTTTCCTAACTGGTCTATGAAAAGAAAGGTTAAACTCTGTGAGTTGAACGCACACATCACAAAGGAGTTTCTGAGAATCATTCTGTCTAGTTTCTATAGGAAGATATTTCCTATTCTACCATTGAACTCAAAGCGGCTGAAATCTCCACTTGCAAATTCCACAAAAAGAGTGTTTCAAGTCTGCTCTGTGTAAAGGATCGTTCAACTCTGTGAGTTGAATACACACAACACAAGGAAAGTTACTGAGAATTCTTCTGTCTAGCAGAATATGAAGAAATCCCGTTTCCAACGAAGGCCACAAGATGTCAGAATATCCACTTACAGAATTGACAAACAGACTGTTTCCTAACTGCTCTATGAAAAGAAAGGTTAAACTCTGTGAGTTGAACGAACACATCACAACGCTGTTTGTGGGAATGATTCTGTCTAGTTTTGAAACGAAGATATTTCCTTTTGTGCCGTTGACCTTAAAGAGCTTGAAAACTACACTTGCAAATTGCACAAATAGAGTGTTTCAAATCTGCTCTGTCTAAGGGAACGTTCAACTCTGTGAGTTGAATGCACACAACACAAGGAAGTTACTGGGAATTCTTCTGTCTAGCAGAATATGAAGAAATCCCGTTTCCAACGAAGGCCACAAGATGTCAGAATATCCACTTACAGAATTTACAAACAGACTGTTTCCTAAGTGCTCTATGATAAGAAAGGTTAAACTCTGTGAGTTGAACGAACACATCACAACGCAGTTTGTGGGAATGATTCTGTCTAGTTTTGAAACGAAGATATTTCCTTTTCTGCCATTGACCTTAATGCGCTTGAAATCTACACTTGCAAATTGCACAAATAGAGTGTTTCAAATCTGCTCTGTCTAAGGGAACGTTCAACTCTGTGAGTTGAATGCACACAACACAAGGGAAGTTACTGGGAATTCTTCTGTCTAGCATAATATGAAGAAATCCCGTTTCCAACGAAGGCCACAAAGAGGTCTGAATATCCACTTGCAGACTTTACAAACAGAGTGTTTCCTAACTGCTCTATGAAAAGAAAAGTTAATCTCTGTGAGTTGAACGCACCCATCACAAACGAGTTTCTGAGAATCATTCTGTCTAGTCTTTATACGAAGATATTTCCTTTTCTACCATTGACCTCAAAGCGGCTGAAATCTCCACTTGCAAATTCCACAAAAAGAGTGTTTCAAGTCTGCTCTGTGTAAAGGATCGTTCACCTCTGTGAGTTGAATACACACAACACAAGGAAGTTACTGAGAATTCTTCTTTCTAGCAGAACATGAAGAAATCCCGTTTCCAACGAAAGCCTCAAGGATGTCTGAATTTCCACTTGCAGACTTTACA
The DNA here is from genome assembly GCF_000001405.40 of Homo sapiens. Classification (NCBI taxonomy): domain Eukaryota; kingdom Metazoa; phylum Chordata; class Mammalia; order Primates; family Hominidae; genus Homo; species Homo sapiens. The sequence goes on along the minus strand of NC_000001.11, from coordinate 124,501,211 downwards.
AAAAGAGTGTTTCCTAACTGCTCTATGAAAAGAAAGGTTAAACTCTGTGAGTTGAACGCACACATCACAAAGGAGTTTCTGAGAATCATTCTGTCTAGTTTCTATAGGAAGATATTTCCTATTCTACCATTGACCCCAAAGCGGCTGAAATCTCCACTTGCAAATTCCACAAAAAGAGTGTTTCAAGTCTGCTCTGTGTAAAGGATCGTTCAACTCTGTGAGTTGAATACACACAACACAAGGAAGTTACTGAGAATTCTTCTGTTTAGCCTTACAGGAAAAAAACCCGTTTCCAACGAAGGCCTCTAAGTGGTCAAAATATCCACGTGCAGACTTTACAAACAGAGTGTTTCCAAACTGCTGAATGAAAAGAAAAGTTAAACTCTGAGAGTTGAACGCACACATCGCAGAGCAGTTTCTGAGAATGATTTCTGTCTAGTTTTTATACGAAGATATTTCCTTTTCTGCCTTTGGCCCGAAAGCGCTTGAAATCTCCACTTGCAAATTCCACAAAAACAGTGTTTCAAATCTGCTCTCTCTAAATGAAAGTTCAACTCTGTCAGTTGAATACACACAACAGAAGGAAGTTAGTGAGAATTCTTCTGTCTAGCATAATATGAAGAAATCCCGTTTCCAACGAAGGCCTCAAAGGGGTCTGAATATCCACTTGCAGACTTTATAAACAGAGTGTTTACTAACTGCTCTATGAAAAGAAAGGTTAAACTCTGTGAGTTGAACGCACACATCACAAAGGAGTTTCTGAGAATCATTCTGTCTAGTTTCTATAGGAAGATATTTCCTATTCTACCATTGACCTCAAAGCGGCTGAAATCTCCATTTGCAAATTCCACAAAAAGAATGTTTCAAGTCTGCTCTGTGTAAAGGATCGTTCAACTCTGTGAGTTGAATACACACAACACAAGGAAGTTACTGAGAATTCTTCTGTCTAGCAGAATATGAAGAAATCCCGTTTCCAACGAAGGCCACAACATGTCAGAATATCCACTTACAGAATTTACAAACAGACTGTTTCCTAACTGCTCTATGAAAAGAAAGGTTAAACTCTGTGAGTTGAACGAACACATCACAACGCAGTTTGTGGGAATGATTCTGTCTAGTTTTGAAACGAAGATATTTCCTTTTCTGCCGTTGACCTTAAAGAGCTTGAAATCTACACTTGCAAATTGCACAAATAGAGTGTTTCAAATCTGCTCTGTCTAAGGGAACGTTCAACTCTGTGAGTTGAATGCACACAACACAAGGAAGTTACTGGGAATTCTTCTGTCTAGCCTTACATGAAAAAAACCCGTTTCCAACGAAGGCCTCTAAGTGGTCAAATTATCCACGTGCAGACTTTACAAACAGAGTGTTTCCAAACTGCTGAATGAAAAGAAAAGTTAAACTCTGAGAGTTGAACGCACACATCGCAGAGCAGTTTCTGAGAATGATTGTGTCTAGTTTCTATAGGAAGATATTTCCTATTCTAACATTGACCTCAAAGCGGCTGAAATCTCCACTTGCATATTCCACAAAAAGAGTGTTTCAAGTCTGCTCTGTGTAAAGGATCGTTCAACTCTGAGTTGAATACACACAACACAAGGAAGTTACTGAGAATTCTTCTTTCTAGCAGAATATGAAGAAATCCCGTTTCCAACGAAAGCCTCAAGGATGTCTGAATATCCACTTGCAGACTTTACAGAGTGTTTCCTAACTGCTCTATGAAAAGAAAGGTTAAACTCTGTGAGTTGATCGCACACATCACAAAGGAGTTTCTGAGAATCATTCTGTCTAGTCTTTATACGAAGATATTTCCTTTTCTACCATTGACCTCAAAGCGGCTGAAATCTCTACTTGCAAATTCCACAAAAAGAGTGTTTCAAGTCTGCTCTGTGTAAAGGATCGTTCAACTCTGTGAGTTGAATACACACAACACAAGGAAGTTACTGAGAATTCTTCTGTCTAGCAGAATATGAAGAAATCCCGTTTCCAACGAAGGCCTCAAGGAGGTCTGAATATCCACTTGCAGACTTTACAAACAGAGTGTTTCCTAACTGCTCTATGAACAGAAAGGTTAAACTCTGTGAGTTGAACGAACACATCACAACGCAGTTTGTGGGAATGATTCTGTCTAGTTTTGAAACGAAGATATTTCCTTTTCTGCCATTGACCTTAAAGCGCTTGAAATCTACACTTGCAAATTGCACAAATAGAGTGTTTCAAATCTGCTCTGTCTAAGGGAACGTACAACTCTGTGAGTTGAATGCACACAACACAAGGAAGTTACTGGGAATTCTTCTGTCTAGCCTTACATGAAAAAAACCCGTTTCCAACGAAGGCCTCTAAGTGGTCAAAATATCCACGTGCAGACTTTACAAACAGAGTGTTTCCAAACCGCTGAATGAAAAGAAAAGTTAAACTCTGAGAGTTGAACGCACACATCACGCAGCAGTTTCTGAGAATGATTCTGTCTAGTTTTTATACGAAGATATTTCCTTTTCTGCCTTTGGCCCCAAAGCGCTTGATATCTCCACTTGCAAATTCCACAAAAACAGTGTTTCAAATCAGCTCTCTCTAAATGAAAGTTCAACTGTGTCAGTTGAATACACACAACACAAGGAAGTTACTGAGAATTCTTCTGTCTAGCAGAATATGAAGAAATCCCGTTTCCAACGAAGGCCTCAAAGAGGTCTGAATATCCACTTGCAGACTTTACAAACAGAGTGTTTCCTAACTGCTCTATGAAAAGAAAGGTTAAACTCTGTGAGTTGAACGCACACATCACAAAGGAGTTTCTGAGAATCATTTCTGTCTAGTTTCTATAGGAAGATATTTCCTAGTCTACCATTGACCTCAAAGCGGGTGAAATCTCCACTTGCAAATTCCAAAAAAAGAGTGTTTCAAGTCTGCTCTGTGTAAAGGATCGTTCAACTCTGTGAGTTGAATACACACAACACAAGGAAGTTACTGAGAATTCTTCTGTATAGCAGAATATGAAGCAATCCCGCTTCCAACGAAGGCCTCAAAGAAGTCTGCATATCCACTTGCAGACTTTACAAACAGAGTGTTTCCTAACTGCTCTATGAAAAGAAAGGTTAAACTCTGTGAGTTGAACGCACACATCACAAAGGAGTTTCTGAGAATCATTCTGTCTAGTTTTGAAACGAAGATATTTCCTTTTCTGCCATTGACCTTAAAGCGCTTGAAATCTCCACTTGCCAATTGCACAAAAAGAGTGTTTCAAATCTGCTCTGTCTAAGGGAACGTTCAACTCTGTGAGTTGAATGTACACAACACAAGGAAGTTACTGGGAATTCTTTTGTCTAGCCTTACAGGAAAAAACCCGTTTCCAACGAAGGCCTCTAAGTGGTCAAAATATCCACGTGCAGACTTTACAAACAGAGTGTTTCCAAACTGCTGAATGAAAAGAAAAGTTAAACTCTGAGAGTTGAACGCACACATCGCAGAGCAGTTTCTGAGAATGATTCTGTCTAGTTTTTATACGAAGATATTTCCTTTTCTGCCTTTGGCCCCAAAGCGCTTGAAATCTCCACTTGCAAATTCCACAAAAACAGTGTTTCAAATCTGCTCTCTCCAAATGAAAGTTCAACTCTGTTAGTTGAATAAACACAACACAAGGAAGTTACTGAGAATTATTCTGTCTAGCAGAATATGAAGAAATCCCGCTTCCAACGAAGGCCTCAAGGAAGTCTGAATATCCACTTGCAGACTTTACAAACAGAGTGTTTCCCAACTGCTCTATGAAAAGAAAGGTTGAACTCTGTGAGTTGAACGCACACATCACAAAGGAGTTTCTGAGAATCATTCTGTCTAGTTTTTATACGAAGATATTTCCTTTTCTACCATTGACCTCAACGTGGCTGAAATCTCCACTTGCAAATTCCACAAAACGAGTGTTTCAAGTCCGCTCTGTGTAAAGGATCGTTCAACTCTGTGAGTTGAATACACACAACACAAGGAAGTTATTGAGAATTCTTCTGTCTAGCACAATATGAAGAAATCCCGTTTCCAACGAAGGCCACAAGATTTCAGAATATCCACTTACAGACTTTACAAACAGAGTGTTTCCTAACTGCTCTATGAACAGAAAGGTTAAACTCTGTGAGTTGAACGAACACATCACAACGCAGTTTGTGGGAATGATTCTGTCTAGTTTTGAAACGAAGATATTTCCTTTTCTGCCATTGACCTTAAAGCGCTTGAAATCTCCACTTGCCAATTGCACAAAAAGAGTGTTTCAAATCTGCTCTGTCTAAGGGAACGTTCAACTCTGTGAGTTGAATGTACACAACGCAAGGAAGTTACTGGGAATTCTTCTGCCTAGCCTTACATGAAAAAATCCCGTTTCCAACGAAGGCCTCTAAGTGGTCAAAATTTCCACGTGCAGACTTTACAAACAGAGTGTTTCCAAACCGCTGAATGAAAAGAAAAGTTAAACTCTGAGAGTTGAACGCACACATCACGCAGCAGTTTCTGAGAATGATTCTGTCTAGTTTTTATACGAAGATATTTCCTTTTCTGCCTTTGGCCTCAAAGCGCTTGAAATCTCCATTTGCAAATTCCACAAAAAGAGTGTTTCAAATCTGCTCTGTGAAAATGAAAGTTCAACTCTGTGAGTTGAACACACACAACACAAGGAAGTTACTGGGAATTCTTCTGTCTAGCCTTATATGAAAAAAACCCGTTTCCAACGAAGGCCTTAAAGAGGTCTGAATATCCACTTGCAGACTTTACAAACAGAGTGTTTCCTAACTGCTCTATGAAAAGAAAGGTTAAACTCTGTGAGTTGAACGCACACATCACAAAGAAGTTTCTGAGAATCATTCTGTCTATTCTTTATACGAAGATATTTCCTTTTCTACCATTGACCTCAAAGCGGCTGAAATCTCCACTTGCAAATTCCACAAAAAGAGTGTTTCAAGTCTGCTCTCTGTAAAGGATCGTTCAACTCTGTGAGTTGAATACACACAACACAAGGGAAGTTACTGAGAATTCTTCTGTCTAGCAGAATATGAAGAAATCCCGTTTCCAACGAAGGCCACAAGATATCAGAATATCCACTTACAGACTTTACAAAGAGAGTGTTTCCTAACTGCTCTATGAACAGAAAGGTTAAACTCTGTGAGTTGAACGAACACATCACAACGCAGTTTGTGGGAATGATTCTGTCTACTTTTGAAACGAAGATATTTCCTTTTCTGCCATTGACCTTAAAGCGCTTGAAATCTCCACTTGCCAATTGCACAAAAAGAGTGTTTCAAATCTGCTCTGTCTAAGGGAACGTTCAACTCTGTGAGTTGAATGTACAGAACACAAGGAAGTTACTGGGAATTCTTCTGTCTAGCCTTACAGGAAAAAAACCCGTTTCCAAAGAAGGCCTCTAAGTGGTCAAAATATCCACGTGCAGACTTTACAAACAGAGTGTTTCCAAACTGCTGAATGAAAAGAAAAGTTAAACTCTGAGAGTTGAACGCACACATCGCAGAGCAGTTTCTGAGAATGATTCTGTCTAGTTTTGAAACGAAGATATTTCCTTTTCTGCCTTTGGCCCCAAAGCGCTTGAAATCTCCACTTGCAAATTCCACAAAAAGAGTGTTTCAAATCTGCTCTGTGTAAATGAAAGTTCAACTCTGTGAGTTGAACACACACAACACAAGGAAGTTACTGGGAATTCTTCTTTCTAGCAGAATATGAAGAAATCCCGTTTCAAACGAAAGCCTCAAGGATGTCTGAATATCCACTTGCAGACTTTACAAACAGAGTGTTTCCTAACTGCTCTATGAAAAGAAAGGTTAAACTCTGTGAGTTGAACGCACACATCACAAAGGAGTTTCTGAGAATCATTCTGTCTAGTTTCTATACGAAGATATTTCATTTTCTACCATTAACCTCAAAGCGGCTGAAATCTCCACTTGCAAATTCCACAAAAAGTGTGTTTCAAGTCTGCTCTGTGTAAAGGATCGTTCAACTCTGTGAGTTGAATGCACACAACACAAGGAAGTTACTGGGAATTCTTCTGTCTAGCAGAATATGAAGAAATCCCGTTTCCAACGATGGCCACAAGATGTCAGAATATCCACTTACAGACTTTACAAACAGAGTGTTTCCTAACTGCTCTATGAACAGAAAGGTTAAACACTGTGAGTTGAACGAACACATCACAACGCAGTTTGTGGGAATGATTCTGTCTAGTTTTGAAACGAAGATATTTCCTTTTCTGCCGTTGACCTTAAAGCGCTTGAAATCTACACTTGGAAATTGCACAAATAGAGTGTTTCAAATCTGCTCTGTCTAAGGGAACGTTCAACTCTGTGAGTTGAATGCACACAACACAAGGAAGTTACTGGGAATTCTTCTGTCTAGCCATACATGAAAAAAACCCGTTTCCAACGAAGGCCTCTAAGTGGTCAAAATATCCATGTGCAGACTTTACAAACAGAGTGTTTCCTAACTGCTCTATGAAAAGAAAGGTTAAACTCTGTGAGTTCAACGCCCACATCACAAAGGAGTTTCTGAGAATCATTCTGTCTAGTTTTTCTACGAAGATATTTCCTTTTCTACTATTGACCTCAAAGCGGCTGAAATCTCCACTTGCAAATTCCACAAAAACAGTGTTTCAAATCTGCTCTCTCTAAATGAAAGTTCAACTCTGTCAGTTGAATACACACAACACAAGGAAGTTACTGAGAATTCTTCTGCCTAGCATAATATGAAGAAATCCCGTTTCCAACGAAGGCCTCAAGCAGGTCTGAATATCCACTTGCATACTTTACAAACAGAGTGTTTCCTAACTGCTCTATGAAAAGAAAGGTTAAACTCTGTGAGTTGAACGCACACATCACAAAGGAGTTTCTGAGAATCATTCTGTCTAGTTTTTATACGAAGATATTTCCTTTTCTAACATTGACCTCAACGCGGCTGAAATCTCCACTTGCAAATTCCACAAAAAGAGTGTTTCAAGTCTGCTCTGTGTAAAGGATCGTTCAACTCTGTGAGTTGAATACACACAACACAAGGAAGTTACTGAGAATTCTTCTGTCTAGCAGAATATGAAGAAATCCCGTTTCCAACGAAGGCCACAAGATGTCAGAATATCCACTTACAGACTTTACAAACAGAGTGTTTCCTAACTGCTCTGTGAACAGAAAGGTTAAACTCTGTGAGTTGAACGAACACATCACAACGCAGTTTGTGGGAATGATTCTGTCTAGTTTTGAAACGAAGATATTTCCTTTTCTGCAGGTTGATCTTAAAGAGCTTGAAAACTACACTTGCAAATTGCACAAATAGAGTGTTTCAAATCTGCTCTGTCTAAGGGAACGTTCAACTCTGTGAGTTGAATGCACACAACACAAGGAAGTTACTGGGAATTCTTCTGTCTAGCCTTACATGAAAAAAACCCGTTTCCAACGAAGGCCTCTAAGTGGTCAAAATTTCCACGTGCAGACTTTACAAACAGAGTGTTTCCAAACCGCTGAATGAAAAGAAAAGTTAAACTCTGAGAGTTGAACGCACACATCACGCAGCAGTTTCTGAGAATGATTCTGTCTAGTTTTTATAGAAAGATATTTCCTTTTCTGCCTTTGGCCTCAAAGCGCTTGAAATCTCCATTTGCAAATTCCACAAAAAGAGTGTTTCAAATCTGCTCTGTGTAAATGAAAGTTCAACTCTGTGAGTTGAACACACACAACACAAGGAAGTTACTGGGAATTCTTCTGTCTAGCCTTATATGAAAAAATCCCGTTTCCAACGAAGGCCTGAAGGAGGTCTGAATATCCACTTGCAGACTTTACAAACAGAGTGTTTCCTAACTGCTCTATGAAAAGAAAGGTTAAACTCTGTGAGTTGAACGCACACATCACAAAGGAGTTTCTGAGAATCATTCTGTCTAGTTTTTATACGAAGATATCTCCTTTTCTACTATTGACCTCAAAGCGGCTGAAATCTCCACTTGCAAATTCCACAAAAAGAGTGTTTCAAGTCTGCTCTGTGTAAAGGATCGTTCAACTCTGTGAGTTGAATACACACAACACAAGGAAGTTACTGAGAATCCTTCTGTCTAGCAGAATATGAAGAAATCCCTTTTCCAACGAAGGCCACAAGATGTCAGAATATCCACTTACAGAGTTTACAAACAGAGTGTTTCCTCACTGCTCTGTGAACAGAAAGGTTAAACTGCTGTGAGTTGAACGAACACATCACAACGCAGTTTGTGGGAATGATTCTGTCTAGTTTTGAAACGAAGATATTTCCTTTTCTGCCATTGACCTTAAAGCGCTTGAAATCTACACTTGCAAATTGCACAAATAGAGTGTTTCAAATCTGCTCTGTCTAATGGAACGTTCAACTCTGTGAGTTGAATGCACACAACACAAGGAAGTTACTGGGAATTCTTCTGTCTAGCCTTACAGGAAAAAAACCCGTTTCCAACGAAGGCCTCTAAGTGGTCAAAATATCGACGTGCAGACTTTACAAACAGAGTGTTTCCAAACTGCTGAATGAAAAGAAAAGTTAAACTCTGAGAGTTGAACGCACACATCGCAGAGCAGTTTCTGAGAATGATTCTGTCTAGTTTTTATACGAAGATATTTCCTTTTCTGCCTTTGGCCTCAAAGCGCTTGAAATCTCCACTTGCAAATTCCACAAAAAGAGTGTTTCAAATCTGCTCTGTGTAAATCAAAGTTCAACTCTGTGAGTTGAATGTACACAACACAAGGAAGTTACTGGGAATTCTTCTGTCTAGCAGAATACGAAGAAATCCCGTTTCCAACGAAGGCCTCAAAGAGGTCTGAATATCCACTTACAGACTTTACAAACAGAGTGTTTCCTAACTGCTCTATGAAAAGAAAGGTTAAACTCTGTGAGTTGAACGCACACATCACAAAGGAGTTTCTGAGAATCATTCTGTCTAGTTTTTATACGAAGATATTTCCTTTTCTACCATTGACCTCAAAGCGGCTGAAATCTCCACTTGCAAATTACACAAAAAGAGTGTTTCAAGTCTACTCTGTGTAAAGCGTCGTTCAACTCTGTGAGTTGAAAACACACAACACAAGGAAGTTTCTGAGAATTCTTCTGTCTAGCAGAATATGAAGAAATCCCTTTTCCAACGAAGGCCACAAGATGTCAGAATATCCACTTACAGACTTTACAAACAGAGTGTTTCCTAACTGCTCTATGAACAGAAAGGTAAAACTCTGTGAGTTGAACGAACACATCACAACGCAGTTTGTGGGAATGATTCTGTCTAGTTTTGAAACAAAGATATTTCCTTTTCTGCCATTGACCTTAAAGCGCTTGAAATCTACACTTGCAAATTGCACAAATAGAGTGTTTCAAATCTGCTCTGTCTAAGGGAACGTTCATCTCTGTGAGTTGAATGCACACAACACAAGGAAGTTACTGGGAATTCTTCTGTCTAGCCTTACATGAAAAAAACCCGTTTCCAACGAAGGCCTCTAAGTGGTCAAGTTTTCCACATGCAGACTTTACAAACAGAGTGTTTCCAAACTGCTGAATGAAAAGAAAAGTTAAACTCTGAGAGTTGAACGCACACATCGCAGAGCAGTTTCTGAGAATGATTCTGTCGAGTTTTTATACGAAGATATTTCCTTTTCTGCCTTTGGCCTCAAAGCGCTTGAAATCTCCATTTGCAAATTCCACAAAAAGAGTGTTTCAAATCTGCTCTGTGTAAATGAAAGTTCAACTCTATGAGTTGAACACACACAACACAAGGAAGTTACTGGGAATTCTTCTGTCTAGCATAATATGAAGAAATGCCGTTTCCAAAGAAGGCCTCAAAGAGGTCTGAGTATCCACTTGCAGACTTTACAAACAGAGTGTTTCCTAACTGCTCTATGAAAAGAAAGGTTAAACTCTGTGAGTTGAACGCACACATCACAAAGGAGTTTCTGAGAATCATTCTGTCTAGTTTTTATACGAAGATATTTCCTTTTCTATCATTGACCTCAACGCGGCTGAAATCTCCACTTGCAAATTCCACAAAAAGAGTGTTTCAAGTCCGCTCTCTCTAAAGGATCGTTCAACTCTGTGAGTTGAATACACACAACACAAGGAAGTTACTGAGAATTCTTCTGTCTAGCACAGTATGAAGAAATCCCGTTTCCAACGAAGGCCTCAAAGAGGTCTGAATATCCACTTGCAGACTTTACAAACAGAGTGTTTCCTAACTGCTCTATGAAAAGAAAGGTTAAACTCTGTGAGTTGAACGCACACATCACAATGAAGTTTCTGAGAATCATTCTGTCTAGTTTTTATACGAAGATATTTCCTTTTCTACCATTGACCTCAAAGCGGCTGAAATCTCCACTTGCAAATTCCACAAAAAGAGTGTCTCAAGTCTGCTCTGTGTAAAGGATCGTTCAACTCTGTGAGTTGAATACACACAACACAAGGAAAGTTACTGAGAATTCTTCTGTCTAGCCTTACAGGAAAAAAACCCGTTTCCAACGAAGGCCTCTAAGTGGTCAAAATATCCACGTGCAGACTTTACAAACAGAGTGTTTCCAAACTGCTGAATGAAAAGAAAAGTTAAACTCTGAGAGTTGAACGCACACATCGCAGAGCAGTTTCTGAGAAAGATTCTGTCTAGTTTTTATACGAAGATATTTCCTTTTCTGCCTTTGGCCCCAAAGCGCTTGAAATCTCCACTTGCAAATTCCACAAAAACAGTGTTTCAAATCTGCTCTCTCCAAATGAAAGTTCAACTCTGTCAGTTGAAAACACACAACACAAGGAAGTTACTGAGAATTCTTCTGTCTAGCCTTATATGAAAAAATCCCGTTTCCAACGAAGGCCTCAAAGAGGTCTGAATATCCTCTTGCAGACTTTACAAACAGAGTGTTTCCTAACTGCTCTATGAAAAGAAAGGTTAAACTCTGTGAGTTGGACACACACATCACAAAGGAGTTTCTGAGAATCATTCTGTCTAGTTTTTATAGGAAGATATTTCCTTTTCTACCTTTGACTTCAAAGCGGCTGAAATCTCCACTTGCAAATTCCACAAAAAAGTTTTACAAGTCTGCTCTGTGTAAAGGATCGTTCAACTCTGTGAGTTGAATACACACAACACAAGGAAGTTACTGAGAATTCTTCTGTCTAGCAGAATATGAAGAAATCCCGTTTCCAACGAAGGCCACAAGATGTCAGAATATCCACTTACAGAATTTTCAAACAGACTGTTTCCTAACTGCTCTATGAAAAGAAAGGTTAAACTCTGTGAGTTGAACGAACACATCACAACGCAGTTTGTGGGAATGATCTGTCTAGTTTTGAAACGAAGATATTTCCTTTTCTGCCATTGACCTTAAAGCGCTTGAAATCTCCACTTGCCAATTGCACAAAAAGAGTGTTTCAAATCTGCTCTGTCTAAGGGAACGTTCAACTCTGTGAGTTGAATGTACACAACACAAGGAAGTTACTGGGAATCTTCTCTGTCTAGCCTTACAGGAAAAAAACCCGTTTCCAACGAAGGCCTCTAAGTGGTCAAATTATCCACGTGCAGAATTTACAAACAGAGTGTTTCCAAACTGCTGAATGAAAAGAAAAGTTAAACTCTGAGAGTTGAACGCACACATCGCAGAGCAGTTTCTGAGAATGATTCTGTCTAATTTTTATACGAAGATATTTCCTTTTCTGCCTTTGGCCTCAAAGCGCTTGAAATCTCCATTTGCAAATTCCACAAAATGAGTGTTTCAAATCTGCTCTGTGTAAATGAAAGTTCAACTCTGTGAGTTGAACACACACAACACATGGAAGTTACTGGGAATTCTTCTGTCTAGCCTTATATGAAAAAAACCCGTTTCCAACGAAGGCCTCAAAGAGGTCTGAATATCCACTTGCAGACTTTACAAACAGAGTGTTTCCTAACTGCTCTATGAAAAGAAAGGTTAAACTACTGTGAGTTGAACGCACACATCACAAAGGAGTTTCTGAGAATCATTCTGTCTAGTTTTTATACGAAGATATTTCCTATTCTACCATTGACCTCAAAGCGGCTGAAATCTCCACCTTGCCAATTCCACAAAAAGAGTGTTTCAAGTCTACTCTGTGTAAAGGATCGTTGAACTCTGTGATTTGAAAACACACAACACAACGAAGTTTCTGAGAATTCTTCTGTCTAGCAGAATATGAAGAAATCCCGTTTCCAACGAAGGCCACAAGATGTCAGAATATCCACTTACAGAATTGACAAACAGACTGTTTCCTAACTGCTCTATGAAAAGAACGGTTAAACTCTGTGAGTTGAACGAACACATCACAACGCAGTTTGTGGGAATGATTCTGTCTAGTTTTTATTGGAAGATATTTCCTTTTCTACTTTGACTTCAAAGCGGCTGAAATCTCCACTTGCAAATTCCACAAAAAGAGTGTTACAAGTCTGCTCTGTGTAAAGGATCGTTCAACTGTGTGAGTTGAATACACACAACACAAGGAAGTTACTGAGAACTCTTCTGTCTAGCCTTACATGAAAAAAACCCGTTTCCAACGAAGGCCTCTAAGTGGTCAAATTATCCACGTGCAGACTTTACAAACAGAGTGTTTCTAAACTGCTGAATGAAAAGAAAAGTTAAACTCTGAGAGTTGAACGCACACATCGCAGAGCAGTTTCTGAGAATGATTCTGTCTAGTTTTTATACGAAGATATTTCCTTTTCTGCCTTTGGCCTCAAAGCGCTTGAAATCTCCACCTGCAAATTCCACAAAAAGAGTGTTTCAAATCTGCTCTGTGTAAACGAAAGTTCAACTCTGTGAGTTGAACACACACAACCCAAGGAAGTTACTGGGAATTCTTCTGTCTAGCATAATATGAAGAAATCCCGTTTCCAACGAAGGCCTCAAGCAGGTCTGAATATCCACTTGCATACTTTACAAACAGAGTGTTTCCTAACTGCTCTATGAAAAGAAAGGTTAAACTCTGTGAGTTGAACGCACACATCACAAAGGAGTTTATGAGAATCATTCTGTCTAGTTTCTATAGGAAGATATTTCCTATTCTACCATTGACCTCAAAGCGGCTGAAATCTCCATTGCAAATTCCACAAAAAGAATGTTTCAAGTCTGCTCTGTGTAAAGGATCGTTCAACTCTGTGAGTTGAATACACACAACACAAGGAAGTTACTGAGAATTCTTCTGTCTAGCAGAATATGAAGAAATCCCGTTTCCAACGAAGGCCACAAGATGTCAGAATATCCACTTACAGACTTTACAAACAGAGTGTTTCCTAACTGCTCTATGAACAGAAAGGTTAAACTGCTGTGAGTTGAACGAACACATCACAACGCAGTTTGTGGGAATGATTCTGTCTAGTTTTGAAACGAAGAAATTTCCTTTTCTGCCATTGACCTTAAAGCGCTTGAAATCTACACTTGCAAATTGCACAAATAGAGTGTTTCAAATCTGCTCTGTCTAAGGGAACGTTCAACTCTGTGAGTTGAATGCACACAACACAAGGAAGTTACTGGGAATTCTTCTGTCTAGCCTTACATGAAAAAAACCCTTTTCCAACGAAGGCCTCTAAGTGGTCAAATTATCCACGTGCAGACTTTACAAACAGAGTGTTTCCAAACTGCTGAATGAAAAGAAAAGTTAAACTCTGAGAGTTGAACGCACACATCACAGAGCAGTTTCTGAGAATGATTCTGTCTAGTTTTTATACGAAGATATTTCCTTTTCTGCCTTTGACCCCAAAGCGCTTGAAATCTCCATTGGAAATTCCACAAAAACAGTGTTTCAAATCTGCTCTCTCTAAATGAAAGTTCAACTCTGTCAGTTGAATACACACAACACAAGGAAGTTACTGAGAATTCTTCTGTCTAGCCTTATATGAAAAAAACCCGTTTCCAACGAAGGCCTCAAAGAGGGCTGAATATCCACTTGCAGACTTTACAAGCAGAGTGTTTCCTAACTGCTCTATGAAAAGAAAGGTTAAACTCTGTGAGTTGAAGGCACACATCACAAAGGAGTTTCTGAGAATCATTCTGTCTAGTTTCTATAGGAAGATATTTCCTATTCTACCATTGACCTCAAAGCGGCTGAAATCTCCACTTGCGAATTCCACAAAAAGAGTGTTTCAAGTCTGCTCTGTGTAAAGTATCGTTCAACTCTGTGAGTTGAATACACACAACACAAGGAAGTTCCTGAGAATTCTTCTGTCTAGCAGAATATGAAGAAATCCCGTTTCCAACGAAGGCCTCAAAGAGGTCTGAATATCCACTTGCAGACTTTACAAACAGAGTGTTTCCTAACTGCTCTATGGAAAGAAAGGTTAAACTGTGTGAGTTGAACGCACACATCACAAAGGAGTTTCTGAGAATCATTCTGTCTAGTTTTGAAACCAAGATATTTCCTTTTCTGCCGTTGACCTTAAAGAGCTTGAAAACTACACTTGCAAATTGCACAAATAGAGTGTTTCAAATCTGCTCTGTCTAAGGGAACGTTCAACTCTGTGAGTTGAATGCACACAACACAAGGAAGTTACTGGGAATTCTTCTGTCTAGCCTTACATGAAAAAAACCCGTTTCCAACGAAGGCCTCTAAGTGGTCAAAATTTCCACGTGCAGACTTTACAAACAGAGTGTTTCCAAACCGCTGAATGAAAAGAAAAGTTAAACTCTGAGAGTTGAACGCACACATCGCGCTGCAGTTTCTGAGAATGATTCTGTCTAGTTTTTATACGAAGATATTTCCTTTTGTGCCTTTGGCCCCAAAGCGCTTGAAATCTCCACTTGCAAATTCCACAAAAACAGTGTTTCAAATCTGCTCTCTCTAAATGATAGTTCAACTCTGTCAGTTGAATACACACAACACAAGGAAGTTACTGAGAATTCTTCTGTCTAGCAGAATATGAAGAAATCCCGTTTCCAACGAAGGCCTCAAAGAGGTCTGAATATCCACTTGCAGACTTTACAAACAGAGTGTTTCCTAACTGCTCTATGAAAAGAAAGGTTAAACTCTGTGACTTGAACGCACACATCACAAAGGAGTTTCTGAGAATCATTCTGTCTAGTTTTTATACGAAGATATTTCCTTTTCTACCATTGACCTCAATGCGGCTGAAATCTCCACTTGCAAATTCCACAAAAAGAGTGTTTCAAGTCTGCTCTGTGTAAAGGATCGTTCAACTCTGTGAGTTGAATACACACAACACAAGGAAGTTACTGAGAATTCTTCTGTCTAGCAGAATATGAAGAAATCCCGTTTCCAACGAAGGCCACAAGATGTCAGAATATCCACTTACAGACTTTACTAACACAGTGTTTCCTAACTGCTCTATGAACAGAAAGGTTAAACTCTGTGAGTTGAACGAACACATCACAACGCAGTTTGTGGGAATGATTCTGTCTAGTTTTGAAACGAAGATATTTCCTTTTCTGCCATTGACCTTAAAGCGCTTGAAATCTACACTTGCAAATTGCACAAATAGAGTGTTTCAAATCTGCTCTGTCTAAGGGAACGTTCAACTCTGTGAGTTGAATGCACACAACACAAGGAAGTTACTGGGAATTCTTCTGTCTAGCCTTACATGAAAAAAACCCGTTTCCAACGAAGGCCTCTAAGTGGTCAAATTATCCACGTGTAGACTTTAGAAACAGAGTGTTTCCAAACTGCTGAATGAAAAGAAAAGTTAAACTCTGAGAGTTGAACGCACACATCGCAGAGCAGTTTCTGAGAATGATTCTGTCTAGTTTTTATACGAAGATATTTCCTTTTCTGCCTTTGGCCTCAAAGCGCTTGAAATCTCCACCTGCAAATTCCACAAAAAGAGTGTTTCAAATCTGCTCTGTGTAAATGAAAGTTCAACTCTGTGAGTTGAACACACACAACACAAGGAAGTTACTGGGAATTCTTCTGTCTAGCATAGTATGAAGAAATCCTGTTTCCAACGAAGGCCTCAAAGTAGGTCTGAATATCCACTTGCAGACTTTACAAACAGAGTGTTTCCTAACTACTCTATGAATAGAAAGGTTAAACTCTGTGAGTTGAACACACACATCACAAAGGAGTTTCTGAGAATCATTCTGTCTAGTTTCTATAGGAAGATATTTCCTATTCTACCGTTGACCTCAAAGCGGCTGAAATCTCCACTTGCAAATTCCACAAAAAGAGTGTTTCAAGTCTGCTCTGTGTAAAGGATCGTTCAACTCTGTGAGTTAAATACACACAACACAAAGAAGTTTCTGAGAATTCTTCTGTCTAGCATAATATGAAGAAACCCCGTTTCCAACGAAGGCCACAAGATGTCAGAATATCCACTTACAGACTTTACAAACAGAGTGTTTCCTAACTGCTCTATGAACAGAAAGGTTAAACTCTGTGAGTTGAACGAACACATCACAACGCAGTTTGTGGGAATGATTCTGTCTAGTTTTGAAACGAAGATATTTCCTTTTCTGCCATTGACCTTAAAGCGCTTGAAATCTACACTTGCAAATTGCACAAATAGAGCGTTTCAAATCTGCTCTGTCTAAGGGAACGTTCATCTCTGTGAGTTGAATGCACACAACACAAGGAAGTTACTGGGAATGCTTCTGTCTAGCCTTACAGGAAAAAAACCCGTTTCCAACGAAGGCCTCTAAGTGGTCAAAATATCCACGTGCAGACTTTACAAACAGAGTGTTTCCACACTGCTGAATGAAAAGAAAATTTAAACTCTGAGAGTTAAACGCACACATCGCAGAGCAGTTTCTGAGAATGATTCTGTCTAGTTTTTATACGAAGATATTTCCTTTTCTGCCTTTGGCCTCAAATCGCTTGAAATCTCCACTTGCAAATTCCACAAAAAGAGTGTTTCAAATCTGCTCTGTGTAAATCAAAGTTCAACTCTGTGAGTTGAACACACACAACACAACGAAGTTACTGGGAATTCTTCTGTCTAGCATAATATGAAGAAATCCCGTTTCCAACGAAGGCCTCAAGGAGATCTGAATATCCACTTGCAGACTTTACAAACAGAGTGTTTCCTAACTGCTCTATGAAAAGAAAGGTTAAACTCTGTGAGTTGAACGCACACATCACAAAGGAGTTTCTCAGAATCATTCTGTCTAGTTTCTATAAGAAGATATTTCCTATTCAACCATTGACCTCAAAGCGGCTGAAATCTCCACTTGCAAATTCGACAAAAAGAGTGTTTCAAGCCTGCTCTCTGTAAAGGATCCTTCAACTCTGTGAGTTGAATACACACAACACAAAGAAGTTACTGAGAATTATTCTGTCTAGCAGAATATGAAGAAATCCCGTTTCCAACGAAGGCCACAAGATGTCAGAATATCCACTTACAGAATTGACAAACAGACTGTTTCCTAACTGCTCTATGAAAAGAAAGGTTAAACTCTGTGAGTTGAACGAACACTTCACAACGCAGTTTGTGGGAATGATTCTGTCTAGTTTTGAAACGAAGATATTTCCTTTTCTGCCATTGACCTTAAAGCGCTTGAAATCTCCATTTGCCAATTGCACAAAAAGAGTGTTTCAAATCTGCTCTGTCTAAGGGAACGTTCAACTCTGTGAGTTGAATGTACACAACACAAGGAAGTTACTGGGAATTCTTCTGTCTAGCCTTACAGGAAAAAAACCCGTTTCCAACGAAGGCCTCTAAGTGGTCAAAATATCCACGTGCAGACTTTACAAACAGAGTGTTTCCAAACTGCTGAATGAAAATAAAAGTTAAACTCTGAGAGTTGAACGCACACATCGCAGAGCAGTTTCTGAGAATGATTCTGTCTAGTTTTTATACGAAGGATATTTCCTTTTCTGCCTTTGGCCCCAAAGCGCTTGAAATCTCCACTTGCAAATTCCACAAAAACAGTGTTTCAAATCTGCTCTCTCTAAATGAAAGTTCAGCTCTGTCAGTTGAATACACACAACACAAGGAAGTTACTGAGAATTCTTCAGTCTAGCCTTATATGAAAAAAACCCGTTTCCAACGAAGGCCTCAAAGAGGTCTGAATATCCACTTGCAGACTTTACAAACAGAGTGTTTCCTAACTGCTCTATGAAAACAAAGGTTAAACTCTGTGAGTTGAACGTACACATCACAAAGGAGTTTCTGAGAATCATTCTGTCTAGTTTTTCTACGAAGATATTTCCTTTTCTACTATTGACCTGAAAGCAGCTGAAATCTCCACTTGCAAATTCCACAAAAGGAGTGTTTCAAGTCTGCTCTGTGTAAAGGATCGTTCAACTCGGTGAGTTGAATACACACAACACAAGGAAGTTACTGAGAATTCTTCTGTCTAGCAGAATAGGAAGAAATCCCGTTTCCAACGAAGGCCTCAAAGAGGTCTGAATATCCACTTGCAGAGTTTACAAACAGAGTGTTTCCTAACTGCTCTATGAAAAGAAAGGTTAAACTCTGTGAGTTGAACACACACATCACAAAGGAGTTTCTGAGAATCGTTCTGTCTAGTTTTTATACGAAGATATTTCCTTTTCTACCATTGACCTCAAAGAGGCTGAAATCACCACTTGCCAATTGCACAAAAAGAGTGTTTCAAATCTGCTCTGTCTAAGGGAACGTTCAACTCTGTGAGTTGAATGTACACAACACAAGGAAGTTACTGGGAATTCTTCTGTCTAGCCTTACAGGAAAAAAACCGTTTCCAACGAAGGCCTCTAAGTGGTCAAAATATCCACGTGCAGACTTTACAAACAGAGTGTTTCCAAACTGCTGAATGAAAAGAAAAGTTAAACTCTGAGAGTTGAACGCACACATCGCAGAGCAGTTTCTGAGAATGATTCTGTCTAGTTTTTATACGAAGATATTTCCTTTTCTGCCTTTGGCCTCAAAGCGCTTGAAATCTCCCCTTGCAAATTCCACAAAAAGAGTGTTTCCAATCTGCTCTGTGTAAATGAAAGTTCAACTGCTGTGAGTTGAACACACACAACACAAGGAAGTTACTGGGAATTTCTTCTTTCTAGCAGAATATGAAGAAATCCCGTTTTCAACGAAAGCCTCAAGGATGTCTGAATATCCACTTGCAGACTGTACAAACAGAGTGTTTCCTAACTGCTCTATGAAAAGAAAGGTTAAAGTCTGTGAGTTGAACACACACATCACAAAGGAGTTTCTGAGAATCATTCTGTCTAGTTTTTATACGAAGATATTTCCTTTTCAAAAATTGACCTCAAAGCGGCTGAAATCTCCACTTGCAAATTCCACAAAAAGAGTGTTTCAAGTCTACTCTGTGTAAAGCATCGTTCAACTCTGTGAGTTGAAATTACACAACACAAGGAAGTTTCTGAGAATTCTTCTGTCTAGCAGAATATGAAGAAATCCCGTTTCCAACGAAGGCCTCAAGGAGGTCTGAATATCCACTTGCAGACTTTACAAACAGAGTGTTTCCTAACTGCTCTATGAACAGAAAGGTTAAAGTCTGTGAGTTGAACGAACACATCACAACGCAGTTTGTGGGAATGATTCTGTCTAGTTTTGAAACGAAGATATTTCCTTTTCTGCCGTTGACCTTAAAGCGCTTGAAATCTACACTTGCAAATTGGACAAATAGAGTGTTTCAAATCTGCTCTGTCTAAGGGAACGTTCAACTCTGTGAGTTGAATGCACACAACACAAGGAAGTTACTGGGAATTCTTCTGTCTAGCCTTACATGAAAAAAACCCGTTTCCAACGAAGGCCTCTAAGTGGTCAAAATATCCACGTGCAGACTTTACAGAGTGTTTCGAAACCGCTGAATGAAAAGAAAAGTTAAACTCTGAGAGTTGAACGCACACATCACGCAGCAGTTTCTGAGAATTATTCTGTCTAGTTTTTATACGAAGATATTTCCTTTTCTGCCTTTGGTCCCAAAGCGCTTGAAATCTCCACTTGCAAATTCCACAAAAACAGTGTTTCAAATCTGCTCTCTCCAAATGAAAGTTCAACTCTGTCAGTTGAATACACACAACACAAGGAAGTTACTGAGAATTCTTCTGTCTAGCATAAAATGAAGAAATCCCTTTTCCAACGAAGGCCTCAAAGAGGTCTGAATATCCACTTGCAGACTTTACAAACAGAGTGTTTCCTAACTGCTCTATGAAAAGAAAGGTTAAACTCTGTGAGTTGAACGCACACATCCAAAAGGAGTTTCTGAGAATCATTCTGTCTAGTCTTTATACGAAGATATTTCCTTTTCTACCATTGATCTCAAAGCGGCTGAAATCTCCACTTGCAAATTCCACAAAAAGAGTGTTTCAAGTCTGCTCTGTGTAAAGGATCGTTCAACTCTGTGAGTTGAATACACACAACACAAGGAAGTTACTGAGAATTCTTCTGTCTAGCAGAATATGAAGAAATCCCGTTTCCAACGAAGGCCACAAGATGTCAGAATATCCACTTACAGACTTTACAAACAGAGTGTTTCCTAACTGCTCTATGAACAGAAAGGTTAAACTCTGTGAGTTGAACGAACACATGACAACGCAGTTTCTGGGAATGATTCTGTCTAGTTTTGAGACGAAGATATTTCCTTTTCTGCCATTGACCTTAAAGCGCTTGAAATCTACACTTGCAAATTGCACAAATAGAGTGTTTCAAATCTGCTCTGTCTAAGGGAACATTCAACTCTGTGAGTTGAATGCACACAACACAAGGAAGTTACTGGGAATTCTTCTGTCTAGCCTTACATGAAAAAAAACCCGTTTCCAACGAAGGCCTCTAAGAGGTCAAAATATCCACGTGCAGACTTTACAAAGAGAGTGTTTCCAAACCGCTGAATGAAAAGAAAAGTTAAACTCTGAGAGTTGAACGCACACATCACGCAGCAGTTTCTGAGAATGATTCTGTCTAGTTTTTATACGAAGATATTTCCTTTTCTGCCTTTGGCCCCAAAGCGCTTGAAATCTCCAATTGCAAATTCCACAAAAACAGTGTTTCAAATCTGCTCTCTCTAAATGAAAGTTCAACTCTGTCACTTGAATACACACAACACAAGGAAGTTACTGAGAATTCTTCTGTCTAGCAGAATATGAAGAAATCCCGTTTCCAACGAAGGCCTCAAAGAGGTCTGAATATCCACTTGCAGACTTTACAAACAGAGTGTTTCTTAACTGCTCTATGAAAAGAAAGGTTAAACTCTGTGAGTTGAACGCACACATCACAAAGGAGTTTCTGAGAATCGTTCTGTCTAGTTTCTATAGGAAGATATTTCCTATTCTACCATTGACCTCAAAGCGTCTGAAATCTCCACTTGCAAATTCCACAAAAAGAATGTTTCAAGTCTGCTCTGTGTAAAGGATCGTTCAACTCTGTGAGTTGAATACACACAACACAAGGAAGTTACTGAGAATTCTTCTGTCTAGCAGAATATGAAGAAATCCCGTTTCCAACGAAGGCCACAAGATGTCAGAATATCCACTTACAGAATTTTCAAACAGACTGTTTCCTAACTGCTCTATGAAAAGAAAGGTTAAACTCTGTGAGTTGAACGAACACATCACAACGCAGTTTGTGGGAATGATTCTGTCTAGTTTTGAAACGAAGATATTTCCTTTTCTGCCATTGACCTTAAAGCGCTTGAAATCTACACTTGCAAATTGCACAAATAGTGTGTTTCAAATCTGCTCTGTCTAAGGGAACGTTCAACTCTGTGAGTTGAATGCACACAACACAAGGAAAGTTACTGGGAATTCTTCTGTCTAGCTTTACATGAAAAAAACCCGTTTCCAACGAAGGCCTCTAAGTGGTCAATATATCCTCGTGCAGACTTTACAAACAGTGTGTTTCCAAACCGCTGAATGAAAACAAAAGTTAAACTCTGAGAGTTGAACGCACACATCACGCAGCAGTTTCTGAGAATGATTCTGTCTAGTTTTTATACGAAGATATTTCCTTTTCTGCCTTTGGCCTCAAAGAGTTTGAAATCTCCATTTGCAAATTCCACAAAAAGAGTGTTTCAAATCTGCTCTGTGTAAATGAAAGTTCAACTCTGTGAGTTGAACACACACAACACATGGAAGTTACTGGGATTTCTTCTGTCTAGCAGAATATGAAGAAATCCCGTTTCCAACGAAGGCCTCAAGGTGGTCTGAATATCCACTTGCAGACTTTACAAACAGAGTGTTTCCTAACTGCTCTATGAAAAGAAAGGTGAAACTCTGTGAGTTGAATGCACACATCACAAAGGAGTTTATGAGAATCATTCTGTCTACTTTCTATAGGAAGATATTTCCTATTCTACCATTGACCTCAAAGCGGCTGAAATCTCCACTTGCAAATTCCACAAAAAGAGTGTTACAAGTCTGCTCTCTGTAAAGGATCGTTCAACTCTGTGAGTTGAATACACACAACACAAGGAAGTTACTGAGAATTATTCTGTCTAGCATAATATGAAGAAATCCCGTTTCCAACGAAGGCCTGAAAGAGGTCTGAATATCCACTTGCATACTTTACAAACAGAGTGTTTCCTAACTGCTCTATGAAAAGAAAGGTTAAACTCTGTGAGTTGAACGCACACATCACAAAGGAGTTTATGAGAATCATTCTGTCTAGTTTTGAAACGAAGATATTTCCTTTTCTGCCATTGACCTCAAAGCGCTTGAAATCTCCACTTGCCAATTGCACAAAAAGAGTGTTTCAAATCTGCTCTGTCTAAGGGAACGTTCAACTCTGTGAGTTGAATGTACACAACACAAGGAAGTTACTGGGAATTCTTCTGTCTAGCCTTACAGGAAAAAAACCCGTTTCCAACGAAGGCCTCTAAGTGGTCAAAATATCCACGTGCAGACTTTACAAACAGAGTGTTTCCAAACTGCTGAAAGAAAAGAAAAGTTAAACTCTGAGAGTTGAACGCACACATCGCAGAGCAGTTTCTGAGAATGATTCTGTCTAGTCTTTATACGAAGATATTTCCTTTTCTACCATTGACCTCAAAGCGGCTGAAATCTCCACTTGCAAATTCCACAAAAAGAGTGTTTCAAGTCTGCTCTGTGTAAAGGATCGTTCAACTCTGTGAGTTGAATACACACAACACAAAGAAGTTACTGAGAATTCTTCTGTCTAGCAGAATATGAAGAAATCCCGTTTCCAACGAAGGCCGCAAGGAGGTCTGAATATCCACTTGCAGACTTTACAAACAGAGTGTTTCCTACCAGCTCTATGAACAGAAAGGTTAAACTCTGTGAGTTGAACGCACACATCACAAAGGAGTTTCTGAGAATCATTCTGTCTAGTTTCTATAGGAAGATATTTCCTATTCTACCATTGAACTCACAGCGGCTGAAATCTCCACTTGCAAATTTCACAAAAAGAGTGTTTCAAGTCTGCTCTGTGTAAAGGATCGTTCAACTCTGTGAGTTGAATACACACAACACAAGGAAGTTACTGAGAATTCTTCTGTCTAGCAGAATATGAAGAAATCCCGTTTCCAACGAAGGCCACAGGATGTCAGAATATCCACTTACAGAATTTACAAACAGACTGTTTCCTAACTGCTCTACGAAAAGAAAGGTTAAACTCTGTGAGATGAACGAACACATCACAACGCATTTTGTGGGAATGATTCTGTCTAGTTTTGAAACGAAGATATTTCCTTTTCTGCCATTGACCTCAAATCGCTTGAAATCTCCACTTGCCAATTGCACAAAAAGAGTGTTTCAAATCTGCTCTGTCTAAGGGAACGTTCAACTCTGTGAGTTGAATGTACACAACACAAGGAAGTTACTGGGAATTCTTCTGTCTAGCCTTACATGAAAAAAACCCGTTTCCAACGAAGGCCTCTAAGTGGTCAAATTATTCACGTGCAGACTTTACAAACAGAGTGTTTCCAAACTGCTGAATGAAAAGAAAAGTTAAACTCTGAGAGTTGAACGCACACATCGCAGAGCAGTTTCTGAGAATGATTCTGTCTAGTCTTTATACGAAGATATTTCCTTTTCTACCATTGACCTCAAAGCGGCTGAAATATCCACTTGCAAATTCCACAAAAAGAGTGTTTCAAGTCTGCTCTCTGTAAAGGATCGTTCAACTCTGTGAGTTGAATACACACAACACAAGGAAGTTACTGAGAATTCTTCTGTCTAGCAGAATATGAAGAAATCCCGTTTCCAACGAAGGCCTCAAGGAGGTCTGAATATCCACTTGCAGACTTTACAAACAGAGTGTTTCCTAACAGCTCTATGAACAGAAAGGTTAAACTCTGTGAGTTGAACGCACACATCACAAAGGAGTTTCTGAGAATCATTCTGTCTAGTTTCTATATGAAGATATTTCCTATTCTACCATTGACCTCAAAGCGGCTGAAATCTCCACTTGCAAATTCCACAAAAAGAATGTTTCAAGTCTGCTCTGTGTAAAGGATCGTTCAACTCTGTGAGTTGAATACACACAACACAAGGGAAGTTACTGAGAATTCTTCTGTCTAGCAGAATATGAAGAAATCCCGTTCCCAACGAAGGCCACAAGATGTCAGAATATCCACTTACAGACTTTACAAACAGAGTGTTTCCTAACTGCTCTATGAACAGAAAGGTTAAACTCTGTGAGTTGAACGAACACATCACAACGCAGTTTGTGGGAATGATTCTGTCTAGTTTTGAAACGAAGATATTTCCTTTTCTGCCATTGACCTTAAAGCCCTTGAAATCTCCATTTGCCAATTGCACAAAAAGAGTGTTTCAAATCTGCTCTGTCTAAGGGAACGTTCAACTCTGTGAGTTGAATGTACACAACACAAGGAAGTTACTGGGAATTCTTCTGTCTAGCCTTACAGGAAAAAAACCCGTTTCCAACGAAGGCCTCTAAGTGGTCAAAATATCCACGTGCAGACTTTAGAAACAGAGTGTTTCCAAACTGCTGAATGAAAAGAAAAGTTAAACTCTGAGAGTTGAACGCACACATCGCAGAGCAGTTTCTGAGAATGATTCTGTCTAGTTTCTATACGAAGATATTTCCTTTTCTACCATTGACCTCAACGCGGCTGAAATCTCCACTTGCAAATTCCACAAAAAGAGTGTTTCAAGTCCGCTCTGTGTAAAGGGTCGTTCAACTCTGTGAGTTGAATACACACAACACAAGGAAGTTACTGAGAATTCTTCTGTCTAGCATAGTATGAAGAAATCCCGTTTCCAACGAAGGCCTCAATGAGGTCTGAATATCCACTTGCAGAGTTTACAAACAGAGTGTTTCCTAACTGCTCTATGAAAAGAAAGGTTAAACTCTGTGAGTTGAACGCACACATCACAAAGAAGATTCTGAGAATCATTCTGTCTAGTTTTTATACGAAGATATTTCCTTTTCTGCCTTTGGCCTCAAAGCGCTTGAAATCTCCACTTGCAAATTCCACAAAAAGAGTGTTTCAAGTCTGCTCTGTGTAAAGGATCGTTCAACTCTGTGAGTTGAATACACACAACACAAGGAAGATTCTGAGAATTCTTCTGTCTAGCAGAATATGAAGAAATCCCGTTTCCAACAAAGGCCACAAGATGTCAGAATATCCACTTACAGAATTTACAAACAGACTGTTTCCTAACTGCTCTATGAAAAGAAAGGTTAAACTCTGTGAGTTGAACGAACACATCACAACGCAGTTTGTGGGAATGATTCTGTCTAGTTTTGAAACGAAGATATTTCCTTTTCTGCCATTGACCTTAAAGCGCTTGAAATCTCCACTTGCCAATTGCACAAAAAGAGTGTTTCAAATCTACTCTGTCTAAGGGAACGTTCAACTCTGTGAGTTGAATGTACACAACACAAGGAAGTTACTGGGAATTCTTCTGTCTAGCCTTACATGAAAAAAACCCGTTTCCAACGAAGACCTCTAAGTGGTCAAAATATCCACGTGCAGACTTTACAAACAGAGTGTTTCCAAACTGCTGAATGAAAAGAAAAGTTAAACTCTGAGAGTTGAACGCAGACATCACAGAGCAGTTTCTGAGAATGATTCTGTCTAATTTTTATACGAAGATATTTCCTTTTCTGCCTTTGGCGTCAAAGCGCTTGAAATCTCCACTTGCAAATTCCACAAAAAGAGTGTTTCAAATCTGCTCTGTGTAAATGAAAGTTCAACTCTGTGAGTTGAACTCACACAACACAAGGAAGTTACTGGGAATTCTTCTGTCTAGCATAGTATGAAGAAATCCCGTTTCCAACGAAGGCCTCAAACAGGTCTGAACATCCACTTGCAGAGTTTACAAACAGAGTGTTTCCTAACTGCTCTATGAAAAGAAAGGTTAAACTCTGTGACTTGAACGCACACATCACAAAGAAGTTTCTGAGAATCATTCTGTCTAGTTTTTATACGAAGATATTTCCTTTTCTACCATGGACCTCAAAGCGGCTGAAATCTCCACTTGCAAATTCCACAAAAAGAGTGTTTCAAGTCTGCTCTGTGTAAAGGATGGTTCAACTCTGTGAGTTGAATACACACAACACAAGGAAGATTCTGAGAATTCTTCTGTCTAGCAGAATATGAAGAAATCCCGTTTCCAACGAAGGCCTCATGGAGGTCTGAATATCCACTGGCAGACTTTACAAACAGAGTGTTTCCTAACTGCTCTATGAACAGAAAGGTTAAACTCTGTGAGTTGAACGAACACATCACAACGCAGTTTGTGGGAATGATTCTGTCTAGTTTTTATAGGAAGTTATTTCCTTTTCTACCTTTGACTTCAAAGCGGCTGAAATCTCCACTTGCAAATTCCACAAAAAGAGTGTTACCAGTCTGCTCTGTGTAAAGGATCTTTCAACTCTGTGAGTTGAATACACACAACACAAGGAAGTTACTGAGAAATCTTCTGTCTAGCCTTACAGGAAAAAAACCCGTTTCCAACGAAGGCCTCTAAGTGGTCAAATTATGCACGTGCAGACGTTACAAACAGAGTTTTTCCAAACTGCTGAATGAAAAGAAAAGTTAAACTCTGAGAGTTGAACGCACACATCGCAGAGCAGTTTCTGAGAATGATTCTGTCTAGTTTTTATACGAAGATATTTCCTTTTCTGCCTTTGGCCTCAAAGCGCTTGAAATCTCCACCTGCAAATTCCACAAAAAGAGTGTTTCAAATCTGCTCTGTGTAAATGAAAGTTCAACTCTGTGAGTTGAACACACACAACACAAGGAAGTTACTGCGAATTCTTCTGTCTAGCAGAATATGAAGAAATCCCTTTTCCAACGAAGGCCTCAAGGAGGTCTGAATATCCACTTGCAGACTTTACAAACAGAGTGTTTCCTAACTGCTCTATGAAAAGAAAGGTTAAACTCTGTGAGTTGAATGCACACATCACAAAGGAGTTTATGAGAATCATTCTGTCTAGTTTTTATAGGAAGATATTTCCTTTTCTACCTTTGACTTCAAAGCGGCTGAAATCTCCACTTGCAAATTCCACAAAAAGAGTGTTACAAGTCTGCTCTGTGTAAAGGATCGTTCAACTCTGTGAGTTGAATACACACAACACAAGGGAAGTTACTGAGAATTCTTCTGTCTAGCAGAATATGAAGAAATCCCGTTTCCAACGAAGGCCTCAAGGAGGTCTGAATATCCACTTGCAGACTTTACAAACAGAGTGTTTCCTAACTGCTCTATGAACAGAAAGGTTAAACTCTGTGAGTTGAACGAACACATCACAGCACAGTTTGTGGGAATGATTCTGTCTAGTTTTGAAACGAAGATATTTCCTTTTCTGCCGTTGACCTTAAAGCGCTTGAAATCTACACTTGCAAATTGCACAAATAGAGTGTTTCAAATCTGCCCTCTCTAAGGGAACGTTCAACTCTGTGAGTTCAATGCACACAACACAAGGAAGTTACTGGGAATTCTTCTGTCTAGCCTTACATGCAAAAAACCCGTTTCCAACGAAGGCCTCTAAGTGGTCAAAATATCCACGTGCAGACTTTACAAACAGAGTGTTTCCAAACCGCTGAATGAAAAGAAAATTTAAACTCTGAGAGTTGAACGCACACATCACGCAGCAGTTTCTGAGAATGATTCTGTCTAGTTTTTATACGAAGAATATTTCCTTTTCTGCCTTTGGCCTCAAAGCGCTTGAAATCTCCACCTGCAAATTCCACAAAAAGAGTGTTTCAAATCTGCTCTGTGTAAATCAAAGTTCAACTCTGTGAGTTGAACACACACAACACAAGGAAGTTACTGGGAATTCTTCTGTCTAGACTTATATGTAAAAAACACGTTTCCAACGAAGGCCTCAAAGAGGTCTGAATATCCACTTGCAGACTTTACAAACAGAGTGTTTCCTAACTTCTCTATGAAAAGAAAGGTTAAACTCTGTGAGTTGAACGTACACATCACAAAGGAGTTTCTGAGAATCATTCTGTCTAGTCTTTATACGAAAATATTTACTTTTCTACCATTGACCTCAAAGCGGCTGAAATCTCCACTTGCAAATTCCACAAAAAGAGTGTTTCAAGTCTGCTCTGTGTAAAGGATCATTCAACTCTGTGAGTTGAATAAACACAACACAAGGAAGTTACTGAGAATTCTTCTGTCTAGCAGAATATGAAGAAATCCCGTTTCCAACGAAGGCCTCAAGGAGGTCTGAATATCCACTTGCAGACTTTACAAACAGAGTGTTTCCTAACTGCTCTATGAACAGAAAGGTTAAACTCTGTGAGTTGAACGAACACATCACAACGCAGTTTGTGGGAATGATTCTGTCTAGTTTTGAAACGAAGATATTTCCTTTTCTGCCATTGACCTTAAAGCGCTTGAAATCTCCATTTGCCAATTGCACAAAAAGAGTGTTTCAAATCTGCTCTGTCTAAGGGAACGTTCAACTCTGTGAGTTGAATGTACACAACACAAGGAAGTTACTGGGAATTCTTCTGTCTAGCCTTACATGAAAAAAACCCGTTTCCAACGAAGGCCTCTAAGTGGTCAAAATATCCACGTGCAGACTTTACAAACAGAGTGTTTCCAAACCGCTGAATGAAAAGAAAAGTTAAACTCTGAGAGTTGAACGCACACATAACGCAGCAGTTTCTGAGAATGATTCTGTCTAGTTTTTATACGAAGATATTTCCTTTTCTGCCTTTGGCCCCAAAGCGCTTGAAATCTCCACTTGCAAATTCCACAAAAAGAGTGTTTCAAATCTGCTCTCTCTAAATGCAAGTTCAACTCTGTCAGTTGAATACACACAACACAAGGAAGTTACTGAGAATTCTTCTGTCTAGCATAATATGAAGAAATCCCGTTTCCAACGAAGGCCTCAAAGGGGTCTGAATATCCACTTGCAGACTTTATAAACAGAGTGTTTACTAACTGCTCTATGAAAAGAAAGGTTAAACTCTGTGAGTTGAAAACACACATCACAAAGGAGTTTCTGAGAATCATTCTGTCTATTTTTTATATGAAGATATTTCCTTTTCTACCATTGACCTCAATGCGGCTGAAATCTCCACTTGCAAATTCCACAAAAAGTGTGTTTCAAGTCCGCTCTGTGTAAAGGATCGTTCAACTCTGTGAGTTGAATACACACAACACAAGGAAGTTACTGAGAATTCTTCTGTCTAGCACAGTATGAAGAAATCCCGTTTCCAACGAAGGCCTCAGAGAGGTCTGAATATCCACTTGCAGACTTTACAAACAGTGTTTCCTAACTGCTCTATGAAAAGAAAGGTTAAACTCTGTGAGTTGAACGCACACATCACAAAGGAGTTTCTGAGAATCATTCTGTCTAGTTTTGAAACGAAGATATTTCCTTTTCTGCCATTGACCTTAAAGCGCTTGAAATCTCCATTTGCCAATTGCACAAAAAGAGTGTTTCAAATCTGCTCTGTCTAAGGGAACGTTCAACTCTGTGAGTTGAATGTACACAACACAAGGAAGTTACTGGGAATTCTTCTGTCTAGCCTTACAGGAAAAAAACCCGTTTCCAACGAAGGCCTCTAAGTGGTCAAAATATCCACGTGCAGACTTTACAAACAGAGTGTTTCCAAACTGCTGAATGAAAAGAAAAGTTAAACTCTGAGAGTTGAACGCACCCATCGCAGAGCAGTTTCTGAGAATGATTCTGTCTAGTTTTTATACGAAGATATTTCCTTTTCTGCCTTTGGCCCCAAAGCGCTTGAAATCTCCACTTGCAAATTCCACAAAAACAGTGTTTCAAATCTGCTCTCTCTAAATGAAAGTTCAACTCTGTCAGTTGAATACACACAACACAAGGACGTTACTGAGAATTCTTCTGTCTAGCCTTATATGAAAAAACCCGTTTCCAACGAAGGCCTCAAAGAGGTCTGAATATCCACTTGCAGACTTTACAAACAGAGTGTTTCCTAACTGCTCTATGAAAAGAAAGGTTAAACTCTGTTAGTTGAACGCACACATCACAAAGGAGTTTCTGAGAATCATTCTGTCTAGTTTTTATATGAAGATATTTCCTTTTCTACCATTGACCTCAAAGCGGCTGAGATCTCCACTTACAAATTCCACAAAAAGAGTGTTTCAAGTCTGCTCTGTGTAAACGATCGTTCAACTCTGTGAGTTGAATACACACAACACAAGGAAGTTTCTGAGAATTCTTCTGTCTAGCAGAATATGAAGAAATCCCGTTTCCAACGAAGGCCACAAGATGTCAGAATATCCACTTACAGAATTTACAAACAGAGTGTTTCCTAACTGCTCTATGAAAAGAAAGGTTAAACTCTGTGAGATGAACGAACACATCACAACGCAGTTTTTGGGAATGATTCTGTCTAGTTTTGAAACGAAGATATTTCCTTTTCTGCCATTGACCTCAAAGCGCTTGAAATCTCCACTTGCCAATTGCACAAAAAGAGTGTTTCAAATCTGCTCTGTTTAAGGGAACGTTCAACTCTGTGAGTTGAATGTACACAACACAAGGAAGTTACTGGGAATTATTCTGTCTAGCCTTACATGAAAAAAACCCGTTTCCAACGAAGGCCTCTAAGTGGTCAAATTATCCACGTGCAGACTTTACAAACAGAGTGTTTCCAAACTGCTGAACGAAAAGAAAAGTTAAACTCTGAGAGTTGAACGCACACATCGCAGAGCAGTTTCTGAGAATGATTCTGTCTAGTTTTTATACGAAGATATTTCCTTTTCTGCCTTTGGCCTCAAAGCGCTTGAAATCTCCACTTGCAAATTCCACAAAAAGAGTGTTTCAAATCTGCTCTGGGTAAATGAAAGTTCAACTCTGTGAGTTGAACACACACAACACAAGGAAGTTACTGGGAATTCTTCTGTCTAGCAGAACATGAAGAAATCCCGCTTCCAACTAAGGCCTCAAATAAGTCTGAATATCCACTTGCAGACTTTACAAACAGAGTGTTTCCCAACTGCTCTATGAAAAGAAAGGTTGAACTCTGTGAGTTGAACGCACACATCACAAAGGAGTTTCTGAGAATCATTCTGTCTAGTTTCTATAGGAAGATATTTCCTATTCTACCATTGACCTCAAAGCGGCTGAAATCTCCACTTGCAAATTCCACAACAAGAGTGTTTCAAGTATGCTCTGTGTAAAGGATCGTTCAACACTGTGAGTTGAATACACACAACACAAGGAAGTTACTGAGAATTCTTCTGTCTAGCATAATATGAAGAAAACCCGTTTCCAACGAAGGCCTCAAGGAGGTCTGAATATCCACTTGCAGACTTTACAAACAGAGTGTTTCCTAACTGCTCTATGAAAAGAAAGGTTAAACTCTGTGAGTTGAACGGCACACATCACAAAGGAGTTTCTGAGAATCATTCTGTCTAGTTTTGAAACGAAGATATTTCCTTTTCTGCCGTTGACCTTAAAGCGCTTGAAATCTACACTTGCAAATTGCACAAATAGAGTGTTTCAAATCTGCTCTGTCTAAGGGAACGTTCAATTCTGTGAGTTGAATGCACACAACACAAGGAAGTTACTGGGAATTCTTCTGTCTAGCCTTACAGGAAAAAAACCCGTTTCCAACGAAGGCCTGTAAGTGGTCAAAATATCCACGTGCAGACTTTACAAACAGAGTGTTTCCAAACTGCTGAATGAAAAGAAAAGTTAAACTCTGAGAGTTGAATGCACACATCGCAGAGCAGTTTCCTGAGAATGATTCTGTCTAGTTTTGAAACGAAGATATTTCCTTTTCTGCCTTTGGCCTCAAAGCGCTTGAAATCTCCACTTGCAAATTCAACAAAAAGAGTGTTTCAAATCTGCTCTGTGTAAATGAAAGTTCAACTCTGTGAGTTGAACACACACAACACAAGGAAGTTACTGGGAATTCTTCTGTCTAGCAGAATATGAAGAAATCCCGTTTCCAACGAAGGCCTCAAAGAGGTCTGAATATCCACTTGCAGAGTTTATAAACAGAGTGTTTCCTAACTGCTCTATGAAAAGAAAGGTTGAACTCTGTGAGTTGAACGCACACATCACAAAGGAGTTTCTGAGAATCATTCTGTCTAGTTTCTATAAGAAGATATTTCCTTTTCTGCGATTGACCTCAAAGCGGCTGAAATCTCCACTTGCAAATTCCACAAAAACATTGTTTCAAATCTGCTCTGTGTAAAGGACCGTTCAACTCTGTGAGTTGAATACACACAACACAAGGAAGTTACTGAGATTTCTTCTGTCCAGCATCATATGAAGAAATCCCGTTTCCAACGAAGGCCTCAAAGAGGCCTGAATATCCACTTGCAGACTTTATACACAGAGTGTTTCCTAACTGCTCTATGAAAAGAAAGGTTAAACTCTGTGAGTTGAAAGCACACATCACAAAGGAGTTTCTGAGAATCATTCTGTCTAGTTTTGAAACGAAGATATTTCCTTTTCTGCCGTTGACCTTAAAGCGCTTGAAATCTACACTTGCAAATTGGACAAATAGAGTGTTTCAAATCTGCTCTGTCTAAGGGAACGTTCAACTCTGTGAGTTGAATGCACACAACACAAGGAAGTTACTGGGAATTCTTCTGTCTAGCCTTACATGAAGAAAACCCGTTTCCAACGAAGGCCTCTAAATGGTCATAATATCCACGTGCAGACTTTACAAACAGAGTGTTTCCAAACCGCTGAATGAAAAGAAAAGTTAAACTCTGAGAGTTGAACGCACACATCACGCAGCAGTTTCTGAGAATGATTCTGTCTAGTTTTTATAGGAAGATATTTCCTTTTCTGCCTTTGGCCTCAAAGCGCTTGAAATCTCCACTTGCAAATTCCACAAAAAGAGTGTTTCAAATCTGCTCTGTGTAAATGAAAGTTCAACTCTGTGAGTTGAACACACACAACACAAGGAAGTTACTGGGAATTCTTCTGTCTAGCACAGTATGAAGAAATCCCGTTTCCAACGAAGGCCTCAAAGAGGTCTGAATATCCACTTGCAGAGTTTACAAACAGAGTGTTTCCTAACTGCTCTATGAAAAGAAAGGTTAAACCCTGTGAGTTGAACGCACACATCACAAAGAAGTTTCTGAGAATCATTCTGTCTAGTTTCTATAAGAAGATATTTCCTATTCTACCATTGACCTCAAAGCGGCTGAAATCTCCACTTGCAAATTCGACAAAAAGAGTGTTTGAAGCCTGCTCTCTGTAAAGGATCCTTCAACTCTGTGAGTTGAATACACACAACACAAGGAAGTTACTGAGAATTCTTCTGTCTAGCAGAATATGAAGAAATCCCGTTTCCAACGAAGGCCTCAAAGAGGTCTGAATATCCACTTGCACACTTTACAAACAGAGTGTTTCCTAACTGGTCTATGAGAAGAAAAGTTAAACTCTGTGAGTTGAACGCACACATCACAAAAGATTTTCTGAGAATCATTCTGTATAGTTTTGAAACGAAGATATTTCCTTTTCTGCCGTTGACCTTAAAGCGCTTGAAATCTACACTTGCAAATTGCACAAATAGAGTGTTTCAAATCTGCTCTGTCTAAGGGAACGTTCAACTCTGTGAGTTGAATGCACACAACACAAGGAAGTTACTGGGAATTCTTCTGTCTAGCAGAATATGAAGAAATCCCGTTTCCAACGAAGGCCTCAAGGAGGTCTGAATATCCACTTGCAGACTTTAGAAACAGAGTGTTTCCTAACTGCTCTATGAACAGAAAGGTTAAACTCTGTGAGTTGAACGCACACATCACAAAGGAGTTTCTGAGAATCATTCTGTCTAGTCTTTATACGAAGATATTTACTTTTCTACCATTGACCTCAAAGCGGCTGAAATCTCCACTTGCAAATTCCACAAAAAGAGTGTTTCAAGTCTGCTCTGTGTAAAGGATCATTCAACTCTGTGAGTTGAATAAACACAACACAAGGAAGTTAGTGAGAATTCTTCTTTCTAGCAGAATATGAAGAAAACCCGCTTCCAACGAAGGCCTCAAAGAAGTCTGAATATCCACTTGCAGACTTTACAAACAGAGTGTTTCCTAACTGCTCTATGAAAAGAAAGGTTGAACTCTGTGAGTTGAACGCACACATCACAAAGGAGTTTCTGAGAATCATTCTGTCTAGTTTTTATACGAAGATATTTCCTTTTCTACCATTGACCTCAACGCGGCTGAAATCTCCACTTGCAAATTCCACAAAAAGAGTGTTTCAAGTCTGCTCTGTGTAAAGGATCGTTCAATTCTGTGAGTTGAATACACACAACACAAGGAAGTTACTGAGAATTCTTCTGTCTAGCAGAATAGGAAGAAATCCCTTTTCCAACGAAGGCCACAAGATGTCAGAATATCCACTTACAGACTTTACAAACAGAGTGTTTCCTCACTGCTCTATGAACAGAAAGGTTAAACTCTGTGAGTTGAACGAACACATCATAACGCAGTTTGTGGGAATGATTCTGTCTAGTTTTGAAACAAAGATATTTCCTTTTCTGCCATTGACCTTAAAGCGCTTGAAATCTACACTTGCAAATTGCACAAATAGAGTGTTTCAAATCTGCTCTGTCTAAGGGAACGTTCAACTCTGTGAGTTGAATGCACACAACACAAGGAAGTTACTGGGAATTCTTCTGTCTAGCCTTACTTGAAAAAAACCCGTTTCCAACGAAGGCCTCTAAGTGGTCAAAATATCCACGTGCAGACTTCACAGAGTGTTTCCAAACCGCTGAATGAAAAGAAAAGTTAAACTCTGAGAGTTGAACGCACACATCACGCAGCAGTTTCTGAGAATGATTCTGTCTAGTTTTTATACGAAGATATTTCCTTTTCTGCCTTTGGCCTCAAAGCGCTTGAAATCTCCACTTGCAAATTCCACAAAAAGAGTGTTTCAAATCTACTCTGTCTAAATGAAAGTTCAACTCTGTCAGTTGAATACACACAACACAAGGAAGTTACTGAGAATTCTTCTGTCTAGCCTTATATGAAAAAAACCCGTTTCCAACGAAGGCCTCAAGGAGGTCTGAATATCCACTTGCAGACTTTACAAACAGAGTGTTTCCTAACTGCTCTATGAAAAGAAAGGTTAAACTGCTGTGAGTTGAACGCACACATCACAAAGGAGTTTCTGAGAATCATTCTGTCTAGTCTTTATATGAAGATAGTTTCCTTTTCTACCATTGACCTCAAAGCGGCTGAAATCTCCACTTGCAAATTCCACAAAAAGAGTGTTTCAAGTCTGCTCTGTGTAAAGGATCATTCAACTCTGTGAGTTGAATAAACACAACACAAGGAAGTTACTGAGAATTCTTCTGTCTAGCAGAATATGAGGAATTCCCGTTTCCAACGAAGGCCTCAAGGAGGTCTGAATATCCACATGCAGACTTTACAAACACAGTGTTTCCTAACTGCTCTATGAAAAGAAAGGTTAAACTCTGTGAGTTGAACGCACACATCACAAAGGAGTTTATGAGAATCATTCTGTCTAGTTTTGAAACGAAGATATTTCCTTTTCTGCCATTGACCTTAAAGCGCTTGAAATCTACACTTGCAAATTGCACAAATAGAGTGTTTCAAATCTGCTCTGTCTAAGGAAACGTTCAACTCTGTGAGTTGAATGCACACAACACAAGGAGGTTACTGGGAATTCTACTGTCTAGCCTTACAGGAAAAAAACCCGTTTCCAACGAAGGCCTCTAAGTGGTCAAAATATCCACGTGCAGACTTTACAAACAGAGTGTTTCCAAACTGCTGAATGAAAAGAAAAGTTAAACTCTGAGAGTTGAACGCACACATCGCAGAGCAGTTTCTGAGAATGATTCTGTCTAGTTTTTATACAGAAGATATTTCCTTTTCTGCCTTTGGCCCCAAAGCGCTTGAAATCTCCACTTGCAAATTCCACAAAAACAGTGTTTCAAATCTGCTCTCTCTAAATGAAAGTTCAACTCTGTCAGTTGAATACACACAACACAAGGAAGTTACTGAGAATTCTTCTGTCTAGCCTTATATGAAAAAAACCCGTTTCCAACGAAGGCCTCAAAGAGGTCTGAATATCCACTTGCAGAGTTTACAAACAGAGTGTTTCCTAACTGCTCTATGAAAAGAAAGGTTAAACTCTGTGAGTTGAACGCACACATCACAAAGGAGTTTCTGAGAATCATTCTGTCTAGTTTTTATACGAAGATATTTCCTTTTCTACCATTGACCTCAAAGCGGCTGAAATGTCCACTTGCAAATTCCACAAAAAGAGTGTTTCTAATCTGCTCTGTGTAAAGGATCATTCAACTCTGTGAGTTGAATGCACACAACACAAGGAAGTTATTGAGAATTCTTCTGTCTAGCAGAATATGAAGAAATCCCGTTTCCAACGAAGTCCTCAAGGAGGTCTGAATATCCACTTGCAGACTTTACAAACAGAGTGTTTCCTAACAGCTCTATGAACAGAAAGGTTAAACTCTGTGAGTTGAACGCACACATCACAAAGGAGTTTCTGAGAATCATTCTGTCTAGTTTTTATAGGAAGATATTCCCTTTTCTACCTTTGACTTCAAAGCGGCAGAAATCTCCACTTGCAAATTCCACAAAAAGAGTGTTACAAGTCTGCTCTGTGTAAAGGATCGGTCAACTGTGTGAGTTGAATACACACAACACAAGGAAGTTACTGAGAATTCTTCTGTCTAGCCTTACATGAAAAAAACCCGTTTCCAACGAAGGCCTCTAAGTGGTCAAATTATCCACGTGCAGACTTTACAAACAGAGTGTTTCCAAACTGCTGAATGAAAAGCAAAGTTAAACTCTGAGAGTTGAACGCACACATCGCAGAGCAGTTTCTGAGAATGATTCTGTCTAGTTTTTATACGAAGATATTTCCTTTTCTGCCTTTGGCCTCAAAGCGCTTGAAATCTCCACTTGCAAATTCCAGAAAAAGAGTGTTTCAAATCTGCTCTGTGTAAATGAAAGTTCAACTCTGTGAGTTGAACACACACAACACAAGGAAGTTACTGGGAATTCTTCTGTCTAGCCTTCTATGAAAAAAACCCGTTTCCAATGAAGGCCTCAAAGAGGTCTGAATATCCACTTGCAGACTTTACAAACAGAGTGTTTCCTAACTGCTCTATGAAAAGAAAGGTTAAACTCTGTGAGTTGAACACACACATCACAAAGGAGTTTC
Organism: Homo sapiens; assembly: GCF_000001405.40. Classification (NCBI taxonomy): domain Eukaryota; kingdom Metazoa; phylum Chordata; class Mammalia; order Primates; family Hominidae; genus Homo; species Homo sapiens. Next base: position 124,463,752 of record NC_000001.11, on the reverse strand, counting down.
TGAGAATCATTCTGTCTAGTCTTTATACGAAGACATTTCCTTTTCTACCATAGACCTCAAAGCGGCTGAAATCTCCACTTGCAAATTCCACAAAAAGAGTGTTTCAAGTCTGCTCTCTGTAAAGGATCGTTCAACTCTGTGAGTTGAATACACACAACACAAGAAAGTTACTGAGAATTCTTCTGTCTAGCAGAATATGAAGAAATCCCGTTTCCAACGAAGGCCACAAGATGTCAGAATATCCACTTACAGACTTTACAAACAGAGTGTTTCCTAACTGCTCTATGAAAAGAAAGGTTAAACTCTGTGAGTTGAACGCACACATCACAAAGGAGTTTATGAGAATCATTCTGTCTAGTTTTGAAACCAAGATATTTCCTTTTCTGCCGTTGACCTTAAAGAGCTTGAAAACTACACTTGCAAATTGCACAAATAGAGTGTTTCAAATCTGCTCTGTCTAAGGGAACGTTCAACTCTGTGAGTTGAATGCACACAACACAAGGAAGTTACTGGGAATTCTTCTGTCTATCCTTACATGAAAAAAACCCGTTTCCAACGAAGGCCTCTAAGTGGTCAAATTATCCACGTACAGACTTTACAAACAGAGTGTTTCCAAACTGCTGAATGAAAAGAAAAGTTAAACTCTTAGAGTTGAACGCACACATCGCAGAGCAGTTTCTGAGAATGATTCTGTCTAGTTTTTATCCGAAGATATTTCCTTTTCTGCCTTTGGCCCCAAAGCGCTTGAAATCTCCACTTGCAAATTCCACAAAAACAGTGTTGCAAATCTGCTCTCTCTAAATGAAAGTTCAACTCTGTCAGTTGAATACACACAACACAAGGAAGTTACTGAGAATTCTTCTGTCTAGCCCTATATGAAAAAAACCCGTTTCCAACGAAGGCCTCAAAGAGGGCTGAATATCCACTTGCAGACTTTACAAGCAGAGTGTTTCCTAACTGCTCTATGAAAAGAAAGGTTAAACTCTGTGAGTTGAACGCTCACATCACAAAGGAGTTTCTGAGAATCATTCTGTCTAGTTTTTATAAGAAGATATTTCCTTTTCTACCTTTGACTTCAAAGCGGCTGAAATCTCCACTTGCAAATTCCACAAAAAGAGTGTTACAAGTCTGCTCTGTGTAAAGGATCGTTCAACTCTGTGAGTTGAATACACACAACACAAGGAAGTTACTGAGAATTCTTCTGTATAGCCTTACATGAAAAAAACCCGTTTCCAACGAAGGCCTCTAAGTGGTCCAATTATCCACGTGCAGACTTTACAAACAGAGTGTTTCCAAACTGCTGAATGAAAAGAAAAGTTAAACTCTGAGAGTTGAACACACACATCGCAGAGCAGTTTCTGAGAATGATTCTGCCTAGTTTTTATACGAAGATATTTCCTTTTCTGCCTTTGGCCCCAAAACGCTTGAAATCTCCACTTGCAAATTCCACAAAAACAGTGTTTCAAATCTGCTCTCTCTAAATGAAAGTTCAACTCTGTCAGTTGAATACACACAACACAAGGGAAGTTACTGAGAATTCTTCTGTCTGGCCTTACATGAAAAAAACCCGTTTCCAACGAAGGCCTCTAAGTGGTCAAAATTTCCACGTGCAGACTTTACAAACAGAGTGTTTCCAAACCGCTGAATGAAAAGAAAAGTTAAACTCTGAGAGTTGAAAGCACACATCACGCAGCAGTTTCTGAGAATGATTCTGTCTAGTTTTTATACGAAGGTATTTCCTTTTCTGCCTTTGGCCCAAAGCGCTTGAAGTCTCCACTTGCAAATTCCACAAAAACAGTGCTTCAAATCTGCTCTCTCTAAATGAAAGTTCAACTCTGTCAGTTGAATACACACAACACAAGGAAGTTACTGAGAATTCTTCTGTCAAGCATAATATGAAGAAATCCCGTTTCCAACGAAGGCCTCAAGGAGGTCTGAATATCCACTTCCAGACTTTACAAACAGAGTGTTTCCTAACTGCTCTATGAAAAGAAAGGTTAAACTCTGTGAGTTGAACGCACACATCACAAAGGAGTTTCTGAGAACAATTCTGTCTAGTTTTTCTACGAAGCTATTTCCTTTTCTACTATTGACCTCAAAGCGGCTGAAATCTCCACTTGCAAATTCCACAAAAAAAGTGTTTCAAGTCTGCTCTGTGTAAAGGATCGTTCAACTCTGTGAGTTGAATACACACAACACAAGGAAGTTACTGAGAATTCTTCTGTCTAGCCTTATATGAAAAAAACCCGTTTCCAACGAAGGCCTCAAAGAGGTCTGAATATCCACTTGTAGACTTTACAAACAGAGTGTTTCCTAACTGCTCTATGAAAAGAAAGGTTAAACTCTGTGAGTTGAACGAACACATCACAACGCAGTTTGTGGGAATGATTCTGTCTAGTTTTGAAACGAAGATATTTCCTTTTCTGCCATTGACCTTAAAGCGCTTGAAATCTCCACTTGCCAATTGCACAAAAAGAGTGTTTCAAATCTGCTCTGTCTAAGGGAACGTTCAACTCTGTGAGTTGAATGTACACAACACAAGGAAGTTACTGGGAATTCTTCTGTCTAGCCTTACAGGAAAGAAAACCGTTTCCAACGAAGGCCTCTAAGTGGTCAAAATATCCACGTGCAGACTTTACAAACAGAGTGTTTCCAAACTGCTGAATGAAAAGAAAAGTTAAACTCTGAGAGTTGAACGCACACATCGCAGAGCAGTTTCTGAGAATGAGTCTGTCTAGTTTTTATACGAAGATATTTCCTTTTCTGCCTTTGGCCTCAAAGCGCTTGAAATCTCCACCTGCAAATCCCACAAAAAGAGTGTTTCAAATCTGCTCTGTGTAAATGAAAGTTCAACTCTGTGAGTTGAACACACACAACACAAGGAAGTTACTGGGAATTCTTCTGTCTAGCCTTATATGAAAAAAACCCGTTTCCAACGAAGGCCTCAAAGAGGTCTGAATATCCACTTGCAGACTTTACAAACAGAGTGTTTCCTAACTGCTCTATGAAAAGAAAGGTTTAACTCTGTGAGTTGAACACACACATCACAAAGGAGTTTCTGAGAATCATTCTGTCTAGTTTTTATACGAAGATATTTCCTTTTCTACCATTGACCTCAAAGCGGCTGAAATCTCAACTTGCAAATTCCACAAAACGAGTGTTTCAAGTCTGCTCTGTGTAAAGCATCGTTCAACTCTGTGAGTTGAATACACACAACACCAAGAAGTTACTGAGAATTCTTCTGTCTAGCAGAATATGAAGAAATCCCGTTTCCAACTAAGGCCACAAGATGTCAGAATATCCACTTACAGAATTGACAAACAGACTGTTTCCTAACTGCTCTATGAAAAGAAAGGTTAAACTCTGTGAGTTGAACGAACACATCACAACGCAGTTTGTGGGAATGATCCTGTCTAGTTTTGAAACGAAGATATTTCCTTTTCTGCCATTGACCTTAAAGCGCTTGAAATCTCCATTTGCCAATTGCACAAAAAGAGTGTTTCAAATCTGCTCTGTCTAAGGGAACGTTCAACTCTGTGAGTTGAATGTACACAACACAAGGAAGTTACTGGGAATTCTTCTGTCTAGCCTTATATGAAAAAAACCCGTTTCCAACGAAGGCCTCTAAGTGGTCAAATTATCCACGTGCAGACTTTACAAACAGAGTGTTTCCAAACTGCTGAATGAAAAGCAAAGTTAAACTCTGAGAGTTGAACGCACACATCGCAGAGCAGTTTCTGAGAATGATTCTGTCTAGTTTTGAAACGAAGATATTTCCTTTTCTGCCTTTGGCCTCAAAGCGCTTGAAATCTCCACTTGCAAATTCCACAAAAAGAGTGTTTCAAATCTGCTCTGTGTAAATGAAAGTTCAACTCTGTGAGTTGAACACACACAACACAAGGAAGTTAATGGGATTTCTTCTGTCTATCACAGTATGGAGAAATCCCGTTTCCAACGAAGGCCTCAAAGAGGTCTGAGTATCCACTTGCAGAGTTTACAAACAGAGTGTTTCCTAACTGCTCTATGAAAAGAAAGGTTAAACTCTGTGAGTTGAACGCACACATCACAAAGAAGTTTCTGAGAATCATTCTGTCTAGTTTCTGTATGAAGATATTTCCTATTCTACCATTGACCTCAAAGCGGCTGAAATCTCCACTTGCAAATTCCACAAAAAGAGTGTTTCAACTCTGCTCTGTGTAAAGGATCGTTCAACTCTGTGAGTTGAATACACACAACACAAGGAAGTTACTGAGAATTCTTCTGTCTAGCACAGTATGGAGAAATCCCGTTGCCAACGAAGGCCTCAAAGAGGTCTGAATATCCACTTACAGAATTTACAAACAGACT